>NC_000019.10:41180267-41483298 GCF_000001405.40 Homo sapiens | reverse complement strand
TTGCCTGTACTTTTGAAGTCATACTCTTGAACTCTTTACTAGACAATAACCAGAAGAGTTTTCTCTAGGTTTCTTCTCACATTTTTATTATTTCAGTACATATATTTAAGTCTATAATTCATCTTCAATTGATTTTTGTAGAAATAGTGAGAAATAGGAGTCCAGGTTTATTCTTCTGCAAATGACAATTCAATTGTTCCAGCACCAATTATTGAAAAGGGTGTGCTTTCCTCAACGTATATTCTTATCAGCTTTGTCAAAGATCAGTTGGCTATAAATGTGTGGCTTTCTTTCTGGGCTCTCTAGTCTGTTACATCAATCTGTGTGTCTATCTGTATACTACTACCATGCTGTATTGGTGATGATGGCTTTGTAATATAATTTGAAGTCAAGAAATGTGATGCTCCCAGCTTTGTTTATTTGCTTCAGAAAGGCTGAGTCAACAGCTGCAGAGATGAAGCTGCCCCTCCTCGCAGGGCTCCTTCCCGGAAAAAGATCATGGCTCCCACTGACCATATAACCATGGCTGGAACTCCTGAAATTCCCAAAGGGAGGCCCTACCCAGTGAGGGGGGATGAATGAAGGTCCTACTTAAGGAATCTGTCTGGCCACAATCAGGCACAGCAGCTGTGCTGCCTTGTGGGGGACCAGACCACCTGGATTCCCTGGAGCCTGCAGGCTAGAATGTCTGAGTCCATGGAAACACAGAAATGGAGGCCGCCCTCACCTCCCCAGAAAACTGTAGTCTCAGGCAGTCTCCAGCCGATTGCCACTGGTTGGCTGCTATTCCAAGCCAGTGGGTCTTAACTTGAGAGGTGCTGTGGAAGTGGGGCCCACGGAATGAGGCTGCTTGGCTCCCTGGATTCAGCCCCTTTTCTAAGGGAATGTACAGATGGAACTCCCGCCTTGCCCAGCTTTCCAAGTATATAAAACTCCTGAGTCTCTGTGAGTGTCTGAGCGAGTGCTCTGGCAACATTCGACACGGCTCTGTGTATCTGACCCAAGACCCTTATGGCATGAGCTAATGGGAGGATCTTCTGATCCATGCGTGGCAAAGATGCATGGGAGAAACATGGTTTGTGGGTAGGGGTTGTGCATTCACTACTGCTTCTCTTGGCTGTAGGTGAAGGTTTCTTTGGCTCTGTGCTGATACTGGGTGCACCATCACCCACCCCCTTTGTTTCTTCTCCTGGGTCAAGTCATTTGCCTAATCAGTCCCAATGTAGGAACCTGGATACTTCAGTTCAAGGTGCTGAATTCACCGTGCTTTTCATTCAGGGGAAGACAGCTGCTTCTCATTGGGCATCTTGGCCTGCCCACTTCACGTCACTTTCTGTAAAATCCACACCACTCCAGGAATATCCATTACTTAACTTCGCCTGAAATAAACAGAAGGCTCATTACACTTATCATGGGCTCACTTACTTCGCCTATAATGAAGGTGCCATGGAAATGCTAGTGGATGACGTGGTCCATTTTCTTAGGGATGAGATAGAAAAATGGTGTATGGCTTTTTAATTTAATTAAAATTTTTAGTTTGGTTTAAATTTACATTGGTCTCTTTTTGGTTTTGTTGCCTGTACTTTTGAAGTCTTACTCGTGAACTCTTTACTGGACAATGACCAGAAGAGTTTTCCCTAAGTTTCTTCTGATATTTTGACCATTTCAGTACATACATTTCAGTCTATAATTCACTTTAAATTGATTTTTGTAAACATGGTAAGAAATAGGAGTTCAGATTTATTCTTCCGCATATGACAATGCAACTGTCCCAGTACCAATTATTGAAAAGGGTGTGCTTTCCCTAGTGTATATTCTTGTCAGCTTTGTCAAAGATCAGTTGCCTATGAATGTGTGGCTTTCATTTTGGATTCTCTCGTCTGTTACATCAATCTGTGTGTCCACATTTATACCTGTACCATGCTGTATTGGTGACTATGGCTGTGTAATATATTTTAGAGTTAGGAAATGTGATGCTCCCAGCTTTGTTCATTTGCTTCAGCTGAAAAGGTTGAGTCCACAATTACAAAGATGGCAGCCGCCCATCCCCGGAGGACCTCCAACCCAGAAAGAGATCAGGCTTCCCACCAACCCTATAACCCTGGCTGGAGTTCCTGAAATTCCAACAGGGAGGACCTTCCCAGTGAGGAGGGATGAATCAAGGTCAAATTTAAAGAAACAGTCTGGCCACTATCAGGCACAGCAGCAGTGCTGCCTTGTGGGGGACCCCTCCTGCTCCAGACCAGCTGCCCTCCCTGGAGCCCGAAGGCTAGATTGTCTGAGTCTACGGAAACAGAGACGGTGGCCGCCCCAACCACCCAGAACTCGGTAGTCTCAGGCACTTGGCTTGCTATCTTGCCACTGCTTGGCTGGTATTCCAAGCCCGTGGGACTTGAGAAGTGCTGTGATGATGGGGACCACAGGATGAGGCTGTCTGGCTCCCTGTGATATGGCTGTGATGAGTGGAGGAACACCAGGGCTCATGTCTCACACAGAATTGGAGAAAATGACACAAACACATGTACAGTGGTTTTATGGCGTGCAGTTTAATAGGCAAGAACGAAGGAAGAGCTCCCCATACTGAGACAGAGGGAGGGGGGCTCCAAAGCCAAAAGAGGAAACCCGGAGTGCTGTGGATACCAATGAGTTATATGAAGAAACTGGAGGGGGTGGTGTCTGATTTGCATAGGGTTCAGGCGATTGGTTCGACCAGGCATGTCATTTATGTGGCCCACGGAAAAACTGGCCCTCCCACCTAGCCTTTGAATATGCACGTGCCGGACACCCTGATTTCCTACACTCATGGGGATATATGGGGGTGGCCATATCGCCAGGCACAGGTGGGGACAAGGGCCAGAAGAGGGCGGGAATCGCTATGTTTGGGTGGACCCAGTTTCTAATGGCCGGCATCTGCAGATCAAGGTTACCGGAGAACTCTAAAAGCCGGGGCTTTCCTGCTAGACAAGACTCATTTCTGGAGCTGCTTTAAGAAGAAACAAAACTTCCCAAGGACCCCTTTTCCTCCCTGTCTGCCCAAAATAATTTCTTAACAACTCGTATAACACCTGAATTCAGCCCCCTTACTGGGGGAATGTACCAACGGAACTCCCACCTTTCCTGGTTTCTCAAGGCTAGATTGTGTAAACCTCCTGGGTCTCGGTCTGTGTCTGAGCAGCTGCTCTGCCAACACTCCACACAGCCCTGTGTACTAGGCCCAAGGCCGCCGTGACTCAGCCCATGGGAGGATCTCCTGATTTCTTGGTTGCAAAGATCCAAGGGAGAAAAATGGTTTCTGGGGCGGGGTCACACACTCATGGCTTCTCTTGGCTGTGCAAGAAGGTTCCTTTGGCTCTGTTCCAATATAGCGTGGTTCATCACCCACCCCTGTTTTCTTTGTTCTCCTGGGTCAAGTTGTTTGCCTAGTCAGTCCCAATGTGAGAACCTGAATATTTCAGTTCACGTGCTTATCGTGAAATTCACTGAGACTTTAATTCAGTGGAAGGCAGCCTCTTCTAATTGGCCATCTTGGCCCGCCCCCTCCACGTCACCTCCCATAAAATGGCCACGCTCTCCAGGGACGATACCATTATATATCTTTACGTGAAACCGACAGAACACTCATTACACTTTTTGTGAGCTCATTTACTTCACTTATAATGAACATGGCCATGGAAATGCTAGTGGAGAAAGTGGTCGATTTTCTGATGGATGTGATAAAAAAATGGTTTGCCGACCAATTAATGACATATGTCTCAAAACTAGTAACGAGACCCTTAATCGCTGGGTTGAAGTTTCTAATCAAGAAGATGCTCATCTATGTATTCAACAAAGCAGCTTCCCTTGCTTCTGAAATGCTTCCAAACAACATCTCATATTTCCTGAAGAAGATAATGCCTGGACAAGCAGCACAAGTCATTCAGGTTTACTTTCAGCTCATAAATCCAGCAGGATATTCGCACAATTGTTGGGAAACCTTATCAGTTCATGAGTCGTGCATGTTTCCTTTAATTTCAGGAGGAAGAGGGTAATCTGGAAGAGTTTCCTGACCTACTCTGCTGCTGTGATTAAACAACCACCAGGAAATTTTGATGACACTGTTCTCCTGAGCTCCTCCCTTTCCTCGGGGAAGAAAAGCATTGAAACTACAAAAATAAAGTGTTATTTGGCTGGAGTGAGGTCTCATGTCTGCTTATGCGGTGGCTCGCTGCTCAGAACAGGGTGAGTCTCTGAGTTGTACGCTGAGGAGGGGAGGCTGTCAATCTAGAAAAAACCCATTGCATGGGACACCTCCATGGGGTCTGGGGGGCTGAGGATGAGGAGCTGGACTGGATCTAGGGAAGGAGGAGGTTTCAGAGGGTGAAATTCTGGCAGTAAATCCTGGGGGTGTTTGAAAACTTCCTCCCTCAGAAGGAGAAGACTCAGGGAGGAATAAGGACAAACCATGGGTCCCTTGAGGGGCATTTACTAACTTAAGAGGACTTTATCGGGAAGCAGAGTGACAATGGCCTCCTTGAGGACTGAGGCCCCTGGATAAATGAGGCCCAGATCCAGATCCAGTCCATGGGAGATGAGACCTTCAAGGGACATATTTTTGTTGGGACAGAGGAAAAGTGCAGCTCTGCAGCTGCAGAGGAAGCCTTGGCAGTGTGAAAGCGACCTTGGAGGGGGCCCTGTGCGTTCTGAATGCTTCTGAGGTCCATCCCCTGTCCCCGCCTCTTTTTCTGGATTTTTTGGGCTCCATGGTCTCCGCCATCTTCTGAGCGCTCCACGCTGCCACCTTCAGTTTTCTCTTCTGGGCTCCAAATACTCCAAAATCTTTCATATCTGTGCCCCTACCCCTGTTTTTAGCATGTGTTGGGACTCCAGGTCCCTGAAGGTTTCTGGCCTGAAATCCACCTCCCCAGCGGTGTGGATTCTGCTCTAGAGACCCCGCACTTGGCAAGGTTCCCAGGCCCCTGGGGGACAACCGAGTGGTATGTGCACTTCAGGGCTCCACACTCGGCAAGGTCTTTCAAGCCCTTGGGGTTCCCTCCTCAGTTTTCTTCACATGTCTGGGATGTAGTCACTCTATAAATGCCGGGATGTGATCCCCACCCCAGTGATTTTTTTTAGTTCCATGAGTGTTGCTATCTGAATAGTCATCCTGAGAGTGATGGGACCTTTTGAATTTGCAGCAAGTTTTAGATTAGTGTGAGTGGCCTGAGATCGCAAAACTGGGGCTAGCATTGGATGTGAGGTTAGGCTGGTGGAAAAATTTGCCCAGAACCTGAGGAGTGTGGGCTCACTGCAGGTGGTTAGGATCAGCACAGAATTGCAAGGATGTATAGCTTTGGGGTAAAGAATAACATGGTTCAGAAGTACATGTATTAGTCTTTTCATGCATTACTATAAAGAATTACCTGAGACTGGGTAATTAATTATAAAAACTCAGGTTTAATTGGCTCATGGTTCCACAGGCTGTACAAAAAGGATGATGCTGGCCATCAGCTCAACTTCTGGGGAGGCGTCAGAAAACTTAGAGTCATGGCAAAAAGCACAAGGGAATCAGGCTCATCCTCCATGGCCAGAGCTGGAGCTAGTGGTAGGAGAGGTGCTGCACACTTTTGAACAATCAGATCTTTTTAGAACTCTATCACCAGACAGCACCTAGAGGATGGTGCTAAATTATTCATGAAATATCCACCCATATGATCCACTCAATTCTCACCGGCCCAACCAGGACCACCTCCACCATTGGGGATTACAATTACACATGAGATGTGGGTGGGGACACAGATCCAAACTCGATCAGTGGGCATCTTGGACTGGGTCTACTATAGAAGAAGAACCAGGAGCTGACTATCATCCTTAAGACTGCCCATGATGGCCAGGCAGGGTGGCTCATGCCTGTAATCCCAGCACTTTGGGAAGCCAAGGTGGGTGAATCCCCTGAGGTCAGGAGTTTGAGACCAGCCTCGCCAACATGGTGAAACCCTGCCTCTACTAAAAACACAAAAAATTAGATGGGTGTTGTGCCAGACGCCTGTAATCACAGCTACTCCAGAGGCTGAGGCATGAGAATTGCTTGAACCTGGGAGGCGGAGGTGGCGGTGAGCCCCAGTCGCACTGCTACACTCCAGCATGGGCAACAATACCAAAACATCGTCTCAAAAAAAAAAAAAAAAAAAAAAAAGGCTGCCCATGACCACTGCCCCAGTGAGAGGGACACCAGCATGGCTAAGATCAAGTGCTGGACATTCTTCATGGGTCAGACATTAAAGCAGGCCACACTGTTACAGAGATGGGCTCCATTCATAGCAACAAAGTGGTGAGAAGATGTGGGAATGGCAGAGGCCAGCACTTTGCCATCAATGCAAGGTGGGCATAAGGAGCTGGCACCAGTGCCAGAGTGCATCAGGGGAGGACTGCTTTGCAATATCTAGCACTTACCTCTTAGAGTATGTTTCATTAGGGACAACAGATATAAATGGCAGACAAGTGAGTCCCTTCAGTAACAGGAAATAGAAATCATCAAGAGGAACAGAAACAGATGTCAGCAGCCCTCATATAAAGTCATCATCCTTCATCCAGTTAAAACCTGAGACAGTTCTCACATAAGAAGGTCTAATTCAAAAAGAGACTGGGTTCTCATGAGGCAGGTTCATGCAAAACCAAGGGAAGTATACAACTTTGGGATTCTCCAGCTTCCCTTGGAAAAGACCTACAATCATTTGCTTAGGTAACTGAGCACTGAACAAAGGTGAGTATTGTTATCTTTCAGAAGCTGTTGGCCATGAAGGTCTTGCTGGCATAAAACCCATGGTTGGAAACATCACCATGACCCCTGTTAGAGTAATGGCCTAAGGGCAAGGGTCAGGAAATTGATGTATTCCTTGCCAACTTCTGCGAGACGAGTGTTGGTCCACTCATCTCTTTCACGGAATTCACCAGTCTGGTATCTTCAAAATCCAGAAGGATGATGGCAGATGGCAGGAAACTAATGCAAACACCATCAGTTGTACCTCCACTGTAGCAGCAGTAATGGATGTTATCTCTTCATTGTAATATCCAGGGAGGGAGAAGATGACATTATTCTCAATATTCTAAACACCCTGTGTGTACAGCCTCTGTGATATTTTTTGTAATATCCGTGTGGGAGAGAATTATATTACTCCTAATATCTCAGGGGTTGTGCCCCCTCTGTGACAATGTTCCTAACACCCAGGAGGGGATAGGATGATATCACTTTTAGCATCACAGGGGGTGTACACCCCACTGTAATATTGTTCATAATATCCGGGGGGGAGAGAATGATATTACTCCCAATATCGCAAAGACTGTACACCAACCTGTGATATTATTTGTAATATCCATAAGAGGAAGAATAATATTACTCCCAATGTCACAGGAAGTGTACACCCTTCTGTGATATTGTTCAAAAGATCCAGTTAGGGAGGGGATGATATTACTCTCAATATCTTAAACACCCTGTAGGTAAACCCTCTGTGATATTCCTCATAATATCCAGAGGGAGAGGATGATATTACTCCCAATATTGCATGAGGTCTACACCCCACCTGTGATATTGTTCCTAATATCCAGGATGGGAGAGGATGATATTACTCCCAATGTCGCAGGGGATGTACACCTTCCCTGTAATATTGTTCATAATATCTAGAAAAGGAGAGGATAATATTACTTTCAACATCGCAGGGGGTGTACACCTTCCTTGTTATATTGTTGCTAATATCCAGGGAAAAAGAAGATGACATTACCACCACTATTGCAGAAGGTGTACACCCCCCCTTGATATAGTTCCTAATATCCAGAAAAGGAGAGGAGATATTACTCCAAATATTGCAAGAGGTGTACATTCCCCTGTAATATTTTTCCTAACATTCAGGAAGAAAGAGAGTGATATTGCCCTTAATATTGAAGGGAGTGTGCCCCCCCCGTGATATTGTTTCTAATATCCAAGAAATGAAAGGATGATATTACTCCCAATATCACAGGGGCTGTACAGCCCCCTCCCGTGATATTGTTCCCAACATCGGGGGGGGGTGAAATAGTATTATTCCCAGTATCACAATAGGTGTACACACCTGTCGTGATATTGTTCCTAATACCCATGGGGGAAAGGACGATATTATTCTTAATATCTCAGAGGGATGTACACCCTCCCTGTGATATTGTTCCTAATATCCAGGGTGGGAGAGGATGATATTACCCCCAAAATCTCAAAGGGTGTACACCCCTCTTGTGATATTGTTCCTAATATCCAGGGTGGAGAGGATAATATTATTCCCAATATCCAGGAAAGGAAACGATGATGTTACTGTGAATATTCCAGGGGGTGTCCTCCCCTCTGTGATATTGTTCCTAATATCCAGGTTGGGGAGATTATGATATTTCTCCAAATATCACAAGGGGTGTACACCAACCCTGTGTTATTGTTCCTAATATCGATGGGGGGAGAGGACGATATTACTCCCAATATCACAGGGGGTGTACACCACCTTTATGATATTGTTCCTAATATCCATGAAGAAAGAGGATGATATTACTTTCAATATCGCAGGGGATGTACACTCCCCCTGTGATATTGTTAGTAATACCTAGGAGAAGAAAGTGTGATATTACTCCCAATATCGCAGGGGATGTACACGCTTCCTGTGATATTGTTCCTAATATTTAGGGGGAAAGGGGATGATATTACTCCCAATATCGAATGGTGTGTACACCCCCCCGTGATTCTTTTTTTTTTTTTTTTTTTTTTTGAGATGGAGTCTTGCTCTGCCGCCCAGACTGGAGTGCAATGGCGCAATCTCGGCTCACTGCAACATTTGCCTCCCAGGTTCGCACGATTCTCCTGCCTCAGCCTTCGGAGTAGCTGGGATTATAGGCAGCTGTCACCATACCAGGCTAATTTTTGTATTTTTAGTAGAGTTGGGGTTTCACCATGTTGGTCAGGCTGGTCTTGAATTCCTGACCTCAAATAATCCACCCACCTTGGCCTCCCAAAGTCCTGGGATTACAGGCATAACTTTCCCTGTGATATTCTTCCTAATATTCAGGAAGAAAGAGGATGATATTGCTCCCAATATCGCAGAGAGTGTGCACTCCTCCTGTGATATGGTTCTTAATATTCAGAGGAGGAGAGGATGATATTACTTTCTATATTGCAGAAGGTGTACACCTCCCTCGTGATGTCTTTCCTAATATCCAGTGGGGGAGAGGTTATTAGTCTCAAAATCACAGAAGGTGTAAACCCCCATTTGATATTGTTCCTAATATTCAGGGGTGGGGAGAGAAAGGTATTACTCCTAGTATTTCAGGGCATGAACACCCCCACCGTGATATCATTCCTAATATCCAGAAGGGGAGGCAATGATATTTCTCCTAATATCACAAAGGGTGTACACCCCTTCTGTGATATTGTAAATATTCTGTGTGTACACCCCCCTGTGTTATAGTCTGTAATATCCGGGTGGGGGAGAGGGTGATATTTCTCCCCATATTGTAGGGGATGTACACCCTTCTGTGATATGGTTCGTTATATCCAGGGAAGAAAAAGGTAATATTGCTGCCCATATTGTGGAGAGTGTACACCCCCATGTAATATGGTTCGTAATATCCAGGAGTGGAGAGGGTGATACTGCTCCTTACATCGAGGAAGGTGTACACCTTATTGTTATATGATTCGCAATATCCAGGGGAGGAGAGAGTGATATTGCTCCCCATATCGCAGGGGGTGTAAACCCTCCGTGATATGATTGGTAATATCCAGGAAAGGAAAGGGTGATATTTCTCCCCATATCGCGGGGGACGTACATCCTCCTGTGATATGGTTCGTAATATCCAGGAGGAAAGAGGAAAATATTGCTCTTCATAACCCGAGGGGTGTACAACCCCTGTGATATGGTTCGTAATACCCAGAAGTGTACACCCCTCTGTGATATGGTTTGTAATATCCAGGGGGTTAGAGGGTGATATTGCTCCCCATATCGCAGTGGGGGTACACCCCCCTGGATTGGTTCATAATATTCATGGGGGGAGAAATTTACATTTATCCTCATATCAGGGGGGGTGTACACCCCCCGTGATATGGTTCGTAATATCCAGGGGAAGAAAGGGTGATATTGCTCCTTATATCGCGGAAGGATCACCCTCCCCTGTGATATGGTTCATAATACCCAGACGGGAAGAGGGTGATATTGTTCTTCATAAAGCGAAGGGTGTACAGCCCCCTGTGATATGGTTCATAATATGCAAAAGGGGAGAGGGTGATATTGCTCCCCATATCACGGAGGGTGTACTCCCTTCTTTGATATGGTTCGTAATATCCAGGGGTGTAGATGGTGATATAGCTCGCCCTATTGGGGAGGGTGTTCACCCCTCTGTGATATTGTTCGTAATGTCCAGGGAAAGAGAGGATGATATTACTCCCAATATCGCAGAAGGTTTACACCACTCTGTGATATTGTTCATAATATCCAGGGAAGGAGAAGACGATATTACTCCCAATATGGCAGGGGGTGTAGAACTCCTGTGATATTGTTTGTAATATCCAGGCAAGGAGAGGATATTACTCTCAATATCGCAGAAGGTTTACACCCCTATGTGATACTGTTCATGATATCCAGGGAAAAAGAGGATATTACTCCCTATATCACAAAGGGTGTACACCCCTTTGTGATATTTTTTGTAATATCCAGGGGAGAGAGGATAATATTACTCTCAATATCAGAAGGGGTGAAAACCCTCCTGTGTCATTGTTCGTAATATTTAGGGAAGGAGAGAGTGATATTACTCCAAATATCACAGTGGGTGTACACCCCCCTATGATATTGTTCCTAATTTCCAGAAGGGGAGATATGATATTATTGCCAATATCGCAGAAGGTGTACACCTTACTCTGACATTGTTTGTAATATCCAGATGGGGAAATGATGATATTACTCCTAATATCACAGGGGGTGTACACCCCCTTGTTTTATTGTTTGTAATATTCAGGGGAAGAGACGATTATATTACTCCCAATATCGCAGGGTGTGTACAACACTCTATGATATTGTTCATAATATCCAGGGGAGGAGAGGAAGTGTACACCCCCCCGTGATATTGTTCGTAATATCCAGAGGTAGAGAGGATGATATTACTCCCAATATTGCAGGTGGTGTACACCTTTCTGTGATATTGTCATGATATTAAGAAGGGGAGAGGATGATATTACTAACAATATCACAAAAACTGTACACTCCCTGTGATATTGTTCATAATATCCAGAAGAAGGGAGGATGATATTATTCTGAATCTCGCAGAAGATATACACCACCCTGTGATATGGTTCATAATATCCTAGGGGAAAGAGGATGACATAACTGTCAATATCGCAGGGGGTGTACAATTCCCTGTGATATTGTTCACAATATTCAGAGGGAAAAAGGATAATATTACTTTCAATATCGCAGGCGGTGTACACATTACTGTGTTATTGTTTATAATATCCGGAATGAGAGAAAATTTTCTCCCAATATCACAGGAGGTGTACACTCCCCTGTGATATTGTTTGTAATATCCAGGGAGGGGAGAGGATACTATTACTCCCAACATCTCAGGGAGTGTAGGCCCCCCCTTTGATATTGTTCCTAATATTCGGAAGTGGAGAAGATGATATTACTTCCAAAATCGCAGGGGGTGTACACTCCCTCTGTAATATTGTTTCTAATATTCATGAGTGGAAAGAAAGATATTACTCCCAGTATTGCAGGGGACATACACCACACTGTGATCTTGTTCACAATATTCGGGGGGGAGAGGATGATATTACTCCCAATATCAAAGTAGGTGTACACCCCCTTCTGATATTGATCGTAATATCCAGAATTAAAGATGATAACGTTACTCCCAATATTGCAGGGGGTGTACATTTTTGAATACTGTTCATAATATTAAGAGGGGGAGGGGATGATATCTGTCCCAATATCGCAAAGTGTGTACACCTCCTGTGACATTGTCCCAAATATCCAGAGGAAAAAAGGATGTTATTACTCTTAATATCTCAGAGAGTGTACACCTCCCTGTGATATTGTTTGTAACATCCAGAAGAAAGAGGCTGATATTACTCTTAATATCGCAGGGGGTGTACACCCCCGCCCCGGGATATTATTCGTAATATCCAGGGGGAAGTGGAATGTTCAGAATGGGAGAGGATGATATTACTTGCAATATCATAGTGGGTGTACACCCCACTGTGATATTGTTTGTAATATCCGGGAAAGGAGAAAATGACATTCCTCCCCATATGGCAGGGGCTGTACACCACCTATCATATTGTTCAAAATATCCAGAAGGGGAGAGGATATGTCTCCAAGTATCACAGGGGGTGTACACCCCGCTGTAATATTCTTCCTAATATCCAGGGTGTGAGAGGATAATAGTACTCCCAATATCCCAGGGCATGTACACCCGCCTTGTGATGTTGTTCCTAAAATTCATGGGGAGAAAGAATATTACTCCCAATATCACAGGGGGTGTACATACACTCTGTAATATTGTTGCCAATATGCAGCAGGAGAGAGGATGATATTACTCCCAATATCACAGGGGCTGTACACCCCGCTGGGATATTGTTTCTAATATCAAGGGGGAAAAAGGATGATATTACTCCCAATGTCGCAGGGTGTGTACTTCCTCTTTGTGACATTGTTCCTAATATCCAGGAGAGAAGAGGGTGACATTCCTTCCAAAACTGAAAGGGGTGTACACACCCTTTGAGATATTGTCTTTAATATCCAGAACGAAACAGGATGATATAACTCCTAATACTGCAGGGGGGTACACCCTCTCTGTGATATTGTTTCTAATATCCAGGAGGGGAAAGAAAAATATTAATCCCAATATCACAGGGGGTGTACATTCCCCCTTTAATATTGTTCCTAATATCCAGGAAGACACAGGATGATACTATTTCCAGCAGCACAGGGCATGTACACCCCTTTGTGATATTGTTCCTAATATCCAGGAAAAGAGAGGATGATATTACTGTCAATATTGCAGGGCGTATACACTGGTTCTGTGATATTGTTTCTAATATCCGGGGGTGGAGAAAATGATATTACTCCCAATATTCCAGCGGGTGTACACCCGTTCTATGATATTGTTCCTAATATCTGGGGGAGAGAGGATGATATTATTGTCAATATCACAGGGGATGTACAGATTCCCTGTGATATTGTTTCTAATATTCACAGGGGGAGAAGGGTATAATACTCCCGATATCGCAGGGGGTGTACACTCCCCCTGTGAAGTTGTTCCTAATATCCAGGGATTGAGAGAATGATATTACTCCCAATATCACAGGCGGTGTAAACCCCCTGTGTGATATTGTTCCTAACATCCAGAGGAAAAGATGATGATATTATTTTCAATATCACAGGGGGTGTACGCATCCCTGTGATATTGTTTCTAATATCCAGGGGAGGAGAGGATGATATTATTGTTAATATCGCAGGGGGTGTACCCCACCCTGTGATGTTGTTCCTAATATCCGGGGTGGAAGAGGATAATATTGCTCCCAATATCGCAAAGGGTGTACAACCTTCCTGAGATATTGGTCCTAATATCCAGGGAGGGAGAGGATGATATTACTTTCAATATCACAGGGAGTTTACACAACCCCTGCGATATTGTTCCTAATATCCAGCGGAAGAAGAGTTAGGATAATACTATTTTCAAAATTGCTGGGTCTGTACCCCCTCCCCGTGATATTGTTTCTAATATCCAGGAGGGGAGAAAGTAATATGACTCCCAATATCTTAGAAGATGTACACCCTCCCCATAATATTATTTCTTACATCCAGGGGGTAGAGGATGATTTTGCTTTCAATATCACAGAGGGAGTAAACCTTTCCGGTGATATTGTTTTTAATATTTAAAAAGAGAGAAGATAAAATTACTCCCAATACAAAGGGGATGTATTGTGTACTCCCCCCTCTGATATTCTTTTTTAATATCCAGATGGAGAGAGGATGATATTACTTTCAATATTGCATGGGATGTATAAATCCCCTGTGTTATTGTTCTGAATATACAGGTGGGGAGAGTATGATATTACTCCAAATATCGCAGGGGGTTCTTTCCCCCTGTGATATTGTTCCTAACATTCAGGGAGGGAGAGGATGATATTACTCTTAATATTGCAGGGGGTGTACCCACGCCTATGATATTGTTCCTAATATCCAGAGGGGGAGAGGATGATCTAACTCAGAATATGACAAGGGGTGTACACACAGCCTGTGATATGGTTCCTAATATACAGGGGAGAAGGGGATAATATTTCTCCCAATATCGCAGGGGGTGTACAACCCCCTGTGATACTGTTCCTAATATACAGAAGGGGACAGCATGATATTGTTCCTAATATCGCAGGAGGTGTACAACGCCCTGTGATATTGTTCCTAATATCCAGGGCGGGAGAGGATGATATTACCCTCAATATCGCAGGGGGTGTGCACTTTCCCTGTTATATTGTTCCTATGATCCGGGTGGGGGGAAATGACATTAGTCCCAATATCGCAGGGTGTGTGCACCGCTCCCCCGTGATATTGTTCCTAATATCAAGGGGGAGAGAGGAGGATATTACTCCCAATATCGCAAGGGATGTACATCCTCCATGCGATATTGTTCGTAATATTCAGGAGGAGAGAGGATGATATTACTCTTAATATCGCAGAAAGTGGACACCCACCCTGTGATATTCTTCATAATATCCAGGGAAGGAAACGATTATATGACTTTCAATATCGCTGGGAGTGTACATCCCTTTTGGGATATTGTTTCTAATATCCAGGAAGGGAGAGGATTATATTACTCTCAGTATTGCAGGCAGTGTACACCTTTTTTGTGATATTGTTCCTAATATTCAGAAAGGGAAAGGATGATATTACTCCCAATATTGCAGGTGGTGTATATCCCCCTCTGATATTGTTCCTTATATCAAGGAAGAGAAAGAATAATATTACTCCCAATATCAAAGACAGTGTAGACCCCTCCTGTGATATTGTATTTAATATCCATGGGGAAAGAGGATGATGTTACTCCCAATATCGCAGGGGGTTTACACCCACACTGTGATATTATTCCTAAAATCCAGTGGAGGAGAAAATAATATTGCTCCCAATATTGCAGGGTGTATACAGGCCCTCCCCCGTTATATTGCTCCTAATATCCAGCGGTGGAGAGGATATTACTTTCAATTTGTGTAGGGAGTGTATACCCCCCTGTGATATTTTTCTAATATCAAGGATGGGAAAGGATGACATTACTCCCAATATCGCAGGAGGTGTACACGCCCTGTGATATTGTTCCTAATATCTAGGGAAGGAGAGGATGATATTACTTTCAATATTGCAGGAGCTGTACACCCTCTGTGGTATTGTTCTTAATATTTAGGTTGGGAGAAAATGATATGAGTCCAAATATCGCAGAAGGCATACACACTTCCAATAACATTGTTCTTAATATCCGGGGGAGAGGGTGATATTACTCCCAAAATCTCTGGGGTGTGTACACCCCCTTCTGATATTTTTCCTAATATCCAGGGAAGGAAACGATGATATTACTATAAATATTCCAAGGAGTGTACACCTTCCTAATATCCTAATATTGTTCCTAATATCCAGGGGTGGGAGAGGATTATATTACTCCCGATATCGCAGTGGGTGTACACCCCTCCTGTGATATTGTTTCTAATATCCAAGCTAGGAGAAAATGATATCACTCTCAATACCACAGGGGGTGTACACCTTCCGCATCATATTGTTCCTAATATTCAGAGGGAAAGAAGATGAAGTTACTTTCAATATCGGAGGGGTTGTACACAACCCCTGTGATATTGCTGCTAGTATCCAGGAAGAAAGGGGATTATGTTACTCCCCTTATAGCAGGGGGTATACACCTCCCCTGTAATATTGTTCCTAATATCAAGGCTGGGATATACGTGGGGGGAAGGATGATATTACTCCCAATATCGCAGGGGTTATACAACCTTCTGTGATATTGCTCCTAGTAACCAGGGCAGAAGAAGATGATATTACTCCTAATATCGCAGGAGGTGTACACTCCCCCATTATGTTGTTCCCAATATGCAGAAAAGGAGAGGATGACATTATTGCCAGTATCGCAGGGTGTGTACACCACCCCTGTAATATTGTTCCAAATATTTAGGGGGAGAGAGGATGATATTACTCCCAACATCGCAGGGGGTGTACACACATCCCCTGTAATATAGTTCTTAAAATCTAGGGGAAAAGGGGATCTTATTTCTCTAAATATTGCAGAGGGTGTACACTCCCCGGTGATATTGTTCCTAATAGCCGGGAGGGAGATAATTAAATTACTTTCAATATCTCAGAGAGTGTACATCGCCCTTGCGATATTGTTCCTAATATCCAGAGCAAAAGAGAATGATATTACTCCCAATATCTTAGGAGTGTACATTTAACCTGTAATATTGTTCCTAATATCCAGGGGGAAGAGAATAGTATTACTGCCAATATCGTAGGGGTTGTACACCTTTTCTGTGATATTGTTGCAAATATTTAGTAGAGGGAAAGAATATTACTCGCAATATCACAGGGAATGTATACTTCCCCTGTGATATTGTTCTGATATCCAGAAAAAGAGAGGGTAATATTACTCCCAATATTGCAGGGGGTGTACACCCCCCTTGTGATATTGATCCTAATATAAAGGAAGGAAGAGGATATTACTCCTCATATAGAAGGGGTTGTCCACCCCCCTTGTGATATTATTCCTAATATTCAGGGAAGCAGAGGATGATATTATTTTCAATATCACAGAGGGTGTGCAGTCCACCTGTGATATTGTTCTTAATATTCGGGGGGAGAGGATGTTATTATGCCTGATATCGCAGTAGAGGTACACCCCTCAAGTGATACTGTTCCTAATAACCAGGGGTGAAGAGGATGATATTACTCCCAATATCGCAGGTGGTGTACACCCCCCCATGATGGTTTCTAATATACAGAGGGGGAGAGGAAAATATTACTCCCAAAATCGCTGGAGGTCTACACCCCCCTTGTGATATTGTTCCTAATATCCAGGAAAGGAAACGATGATATTACTGTGAATATTCCAGGGGGTGTACACCCGCTTTGTAATATTGTTCCTCATATCCAGGGTGTGGAGAGGATTATATTACTCCCAGTATCGCAGGGGGTGCACGACGCCCCTGTGATATTGTTTTTCATATCCAGGAGGGGAGATTATTATCAATATGGCAAGGGGTGAACACCCCCTGTGATATTGTACTTAATAGTTAGGTTGGCAGAAAATGATATTAGTCTCGATATCGCAGGGGGTGTGCACTCCGCCTGGTGATATTGCTTTTAATATCAAGGGGGAGAAAATGGCATTACTCCCAATATCGCAGGGGGTGTACACCGCTCATGTGATATTGTTCCTAATATCCAGGTGGAGAGAACATAATATTACTCCCAATATCGCACAAGGTGTACACCCCTCCTGTGATATGGTTCCTAATATCCATGGGAGGAGATGATGATATTACTCCCAATATCACAGGGGATGTACACCACCCTTGTGATATTGTTCCTAATATCCAGGGAAGAAAACGATGATATTATTGTGAATATTACAGGGAGTGTACACACTCCCTGTGATATTGTTTTTGATATACAGGGTGGGAGAGGATGATATTACTCCCAATATCACATAAGGTGTACACCCCCCGTGATATTGTTCTAAATATTTCGGTGGGGAGAAAATGATATTAGTCTCCATATCACAGGGGGTGTGTGCTCCTCAGGTGATATTGTTTTTAATATCAAGAGGGGGAGGAGATTATATTACTTTCATTATCACAGGGGGTGTACACCCCTCCTGTGATATTGTTCCTTATATCCAGGCGAGGGGAAAATAATATTACTCTCAATATCGCAGGAGGTGTACACACCCCATGTGATATTGTTCCTAATATTAAGGGGGAAAGAAGATAATATTACTTTCAATATCACAGGGTTTGTACTCCTTTCTTGTGATATAGTTTTTAGTATCCAGGGGGAAAGAGCATGATATTACTCCCATTGTAGCAAGGGGTGTACACACCTCCTGTGATATTGTTCCTAATATCCAGAAGTGGTGAGGATGATATTACTCCCAATATCGCAGGGGGTATACACCCCACCTATGATATTATTTCTAATATCCATGGGAAAAGAGTATGATATTACACCCAATGTCGCAGAGGGTGTGTATTTTTCCTGTGATATTGTTTCTAATATTCAGGCGGGGAGAAGATGATATTACTCTCAATATAGCAGAAATTGTACATCCCCGCTGTGATATTCTTCATAATAATCAGGGAAAAAGAGGATGATATTACTACCAATATTGCAGGGGGGTTACACTTCCCCTATGGTAGTGTTCCTAATATCCAGGAAGAAAGAGGATGATATTAATCCCATTATCCAGGAAGTGTACACCCACCCTGTCATGTTGTTCCTAATATCCAGCAGGGAAGAGGATGATATTACACCCCCCCCCCCGTGATATTCTCCTTAATATCCAGGAGGGGAGAGGCTGATATTACTGGATATATAGCAGGGGTGTTCATACCTTCTGTGATATTGTTCCTAATATCCAGAAAAGGAGAGGATGATATTACTTCCAATATCGCAGAAGGTGTACACCTCCCTGTGATATTGATCCTGACATTCAGAAGGGGAGAGGATGATATTACTCAAAATACCGCAGGGCATGTGCATTCCCTTGTGATATTGTTCCTAATACCCAGAAGGGAACAGGATAATATTACTTTCAATATCGCAGGGAGTGCACACCCCCCTTTGGTATGGTTCTTAATATCCAGAAGGAAAGAGGGTGCTATTACTTTCCATATTGCAAGGGGTGTACACCCCACTGTGGTATGGTTCATAATATCCAGGCAGGGAGAGGGTGCTATTACTCCCCACAGTGCGGGGCATGTACACCCTGCTGCGGTACGGTTCCTAATATCCAGGGGGAGAGAGGATGCTATGACTCCCTATATCGCGGGGTGTGTACACCCCTGTGTGGTATGTTTTGTATTCTCCAGGAACGGAGAGGGTGTTGTTACCCCTCATATCGCTGGAAATGTACACTCCCCTGTGGTATGGTTCGTAATATCCAGGGGATTGAGGGTACTGTTACCCCCATACTCCCCATATCGTGGGGGGAGTGCACCTCCCTGTGGTATGGTTCGAAATATCCAGGGTAAGAGAGGGTGCTATTATTCCCCATTTTGCAGGAGGCGTACACCCCCCTATGGTATGGTTCGTAATATCCGGGGTGAGGGGATGCTATCAAAAGAAGAGAGAAAGAGACCCCCCATATTGTTCTATATTATTTTATACTCAGTACCTGTTTTAAGAAGAAACAAGGAAGTGAAACCAAAAGCAGGCAGCCCGGCGCCAGGCACCAGACCCAAAACCAGACCCGAAACCAGGCCTGGGCCTGCCTGACCTTAGCCTGATAGTTAAAATTCAACCCATGACCTAGCAACCAATGTTATCCATAGATTCCAGACATTGTATGGAAGGACATTGTGAAATTTCTTGTTCTGTGCTGTTTCACTCTGATTACCGGTGCCTGCAGCCCCTGTCACATACCCACTAGATTGCTCAATCAATCATGGCCCTTTCATGTAAGATCTTTAGTGTTGTGAGCCCTTAAAAAGGACAGAAATTGTGCACTCAACAAGCTCGGATTTTGAGACGCTAGTCTTTCGATGCTTCCAGCTGATTAAAAGCCACTTCCTTCACTACCTCGGTGTCTGTGGGGTTTTGTCCGCGACTCCTCCTGCTACACTATGACTCCCCATATCAAGGGGGGTGTACACCCCCCTGTGGTTCGTAATATCCAGCAGGGGAAAAGGTGCTATTACTCCCCATATTGCAGGGAGTGTACACCCCCTTGTAGTATGGATCGTAAAATCAAGGGGGGAGGGAAGGTGTAATTATCCCCATATCTCAGGGGGTGTACACCCCTTTGTGGTAAAGTTTGTAATATCCAGGGATATTACAGGGATATTATCCCCAAATTAATACTTTTATAATTTCTTATGCCTGCCTTTACTGCAATCTCTGAACATAAATTGTGAAGATTTCATGGACATTTATCACTTCCCCAATCAATACTTTTATAATTTCCTATGCCTGTCTTTACTTTAATCTCTTAATCTCATCATCTTTGTGAGCTGAGGATGTATGTCGCCTCAGGACCCTGTGATGATTGCATTAACTCCACAAATTGTTTATAAAACATGTGTATTTGAACAATATGAAATCTGGGCACCCTGAAAAAGAACAGGATAAGAGCGATGTTCAGCGAACAAGGGAGATAAGCATAAGGTCTGACTGCCTGTGGGGCTGGGCAGAACAGAGTCACATTTTTCTTATTGCAGAAAATGAGTAGGAGAAATATCACTGGGAAGGGAACGCATTCCTAGGGGAGGCCTATGGACGGCCGCTCTGGGGGTGTATCCCTTATGTGGTTGAAGATAAGGGATGAAATACACCCTGGTCCCCTGCAGTGCCCTCAGGCTTGCTAGGATTAGAAATTCCAGCCTGGCGAATTCTAGTCAGACCAGTTCTCTGCTCTTGAACCCCGTTTCCTGTTAAGATGTTTATCAATGACAATGCGTGCACAGCAGGACATGGAACCTCAATAGTAATTCCATTTTCTCCCTGGCCTTGTGACCTTGCTAGGCCCTTCTGCCCTTGTGATCTTTTATTGCCATTTGAAGCATGTGATCTCTGTGACCCACTCCCTATTCGTATCCCCCTCCCCTTTTGAAGTCCCTAATAAAAACTTGCTGGTTTTGCAGATCAGGTGGTCATCACAGAACCTGCCGATATGTGATGTCACCCCGGAGGCTCAGCTGTAAAATTTCTCTTTCGTACTCTTTCACTTTATTTCTCAGACCAGGTGACACTTAAGGAAAATAGAAAAGAACCTACTTTGAAATATTGGGGGCTAGTTCCCCCAATAGACATTGTTCCTAATATCCAGAAAAAAAGAAGATGATATTACTCCCAATATCACAGGGGTTGTGAACCCCACCTGTGATATGGTTCCTAATATCCAGGAAGGGAGAGAATGATATTACTCTCCATATTGCAGGGGGTGTGCACATCCCTGTGATATTGTTCCTAATATCCAGGGGAGGAGAGGGTGATATTACTCCCAATATTGCAAGGGTTGTAAACTCCACCCTGTAATATTGCTCCTAATATTTAGGATTTAGGGGGGGAGAGGATAATATTACTCCCAATATCGCAGGGGATGTATATGCCCTCTTTGATATTGTTCCTAATATCCAGGGGGGGAGAGGATAATATTACTTTCCATATCACAAAGAGTGTTCACCCCCCTGTGATATTGTTCCTAATATCCAAAAAGGAAGAGGATGATATCAATCCCAATATCACAGGAAGTGTACACCCCCCCCTTTTATATTGTTTCTAATATCCAGGGGAAATGAGGGTGATATTTCTCTCAATATAGCAGAATGGGTACACTCCCCCTGGGATATTATTCCTAATATCCAGGGGAAAAAAAGAGGTTGATATTCTTCCCAGTATAGCAGGGAATGAATACACCCTTTGTGATATTGCTTCTAATATCAAGGGGAAAAGAGGATGATATGACTCCCAATATCACAGGGGATGTAAACCTGTGGCGTTGTTGCTAATATCAAGGAGGGAAGAGTATGATATTACTCCTAATGTCGCCGAAGGTGCACACTTTCCCTGTGATATTGTTCCTAATATCCAAAAGGGAAGAGAATGATATTACCCCCAGTATTGCAGGGTGTACACCACCCCTGTGATATTGCTCCTAATACCCAGGAAAAAAGAGAATGCTATTACCCCCAATATCTAAGGGGACGTATACCTTCCCTGTGATATTGTTTCTAATATCCAAGTGGGGAGAGGATGGTTTTACTCTCAATATTGCAGGGAGTGTACACTCCCCCTGTGATACTGTTTCTAATACTCGGGCTGGGAGAAATAGTATTACTCCCAATATCGCAGTGATATTGTTTCCCTGTGATATTGTTTCTAATATCTAGTGGGGGAGATAATTATATTACTACCCCATACACAGGGGAGGGTGTACATTCCCCTGTGATATTGTTTGTAATATCCAGGGAAGGAGAGGATGTTACTCCCAATATCACAGGGGTTGTACACCCCTTTTTTGATATTGTTCCTAATATCTGGGGGGCAGAGAATTATATTACTGTCAATATCACAGAGTGTGTACACCCCCTCTGTTATATTACTCTTTATATTCAGGGCGGTAGAGGATGATATTACTCCCTATATCACAGGGGGTGTTCACCCCTCCTGTGATATTGTTTATAATATCTAAGGGGAAAGAGGATGATATCACTCTCAATATCAAAGGAAATGTACACCTTTCCTGTGATATTGTTTTTATTATATAGGGGGGCAGAGGATGATATTAAGAACAATACCACAGGGGATGTACACCCACGTATTGATATTGTCCCTAATATGTATGGGGAAAGAGGACAGTGTAACTCCCGATATCGCAGAGTGTGTACACCCCCTTGTGATATTGTTTCTGATATACACGGGGAGAAAAGATAATATTTCTTCCAAAATTGCAGGGGGTGTACAACCCCCTGTGATATTGTTTTTAATATCCAGTGGGGGAGAGAATATTACTCCCAATATTGCAGGGCGTGTACACAACCCCTGTGATATTGTTCCTAATATCCAGAGTAGGGGAGGATGACATTACTTTCAATATCGCAAGGGGTGTACATTCCCCTGTGATATTGCTCCTAATATCCATGAGGGGAGAGGATGATATTATTCCTAATATGGCAGGGGCTGTACACCTTCCCTGTGATATTGTTTCTAACATCCAGTGGGGGAGAAAATGATATTACTCCCTATATCACAGAAGGTGTACACTTTCCCTGTGATATTGTTCCTAATATCCAGAAGGGGAGAGGATAATATTACTCCCAATATCGCAGGAAGCTTACAACTCCCCTGTGATATTGTTTCTAATATCCAGGGAGGTAGGGATGATATTACTCCCAATATCGCAGGGGATGTACACTCCCCCGTGACATTGTTTCTAATAACCAGGGGGTGAGAGGATGATATTACGCTTAATACCGAAGGGGGTGTACACACCCTTGTGATATTGTGCCTAATAGCCAGGGGGAAGAAAATTATATTAATTTTAATATTTATGGGGAAAAAGGATGATATTACTCCCAATATCACAGGGGCTGTACACCGACCTTTTGATATTGTTTTTAATATCCAGAAGAGAAGAGGATAATATTGCTCCCAATATCAGAAAAGGTGTAAACCCCTTCTGTGATATTGGTCCTAATATCCAGGGAGGGAGAGAATAATATTACTACCAATATCACAGAAGGTGCCCACCCCCAAGGTGATATTGCTCCTAATATCCAAAGATAATAGGGTGATGTTACTCCCAATATCACAGGAGGTGTTCACACCCCTTGTGATATTGTTTCTAACGTACAGGGAAGGGAGAGGATGATATTATTCCCAATATCACAGGAGGTGTATACTCCTCTGTGATATTGATTTTAATATTCGGGGGGAAAGGATGATATTACTCCCTATATCGCAGAGGGTGTACACCCTCTGTAATATTGATCCTAATATCCAGGGCGGGATAGGATGATATTACTCCCAATATCGCAGAAAGTCTACACAACCCCCAGTAATATTGTTTTTACTATCCAGGGGGAAGAGGATGACATTACTCCCAATTTCACAGAGTGTGTACACTCACCATTTGATATTGTTTCTAATATCTAGGGGGAGAGAATATATTACTCCCAATATCACAGGAATTGTACACCACCTCTGTGACATTCTTGTGAATATCCGGGGAAAAAGAGAATAATATTACTCCCAATATTGCAGAGCGTGTACACCCCTCCATGATATCGATACTAATATTTTTTTAAAGAGGATGATATTACTCCCATTGTCACAGGATGTGTACACCCCCCTTGTGAAATTGTTCATAATATTCTGGGGGGAGAGCATAATATTACTCCCCATATCGAAAAAGGTGTCCACCCTCCTTATAATATGGTTCCTAATATCCAGGATATTACTTAATCCAGGATACTTGTAATATCCTAAATATACAATTGCTTGAACCTCCACCTCCCAGGTTCAAGCAATTCTTCTGCCTCAGCCTCCCGAGTAGCTGGGACTACAGGTGCACACCACCACACCCAGCTAATTTTTTTTTCTTGTATTTTTAGTAGAGATGGGGTTTTGCCATATTGGCCAGGCTGGTCTCAAACTCCTGACCTTGTGATCTGCCCACCTCAGCCTCCCAAAGTGCTGGGATTATAGGCGTGACCCACCGTGCCAAGCCAGGAAGAGGATGCTCTATAGATTTCTCCAATAAGAGATGGCTTTGCAGGGCCATTCCAAAATATGTCAAAGAAATACATTTGGGGATAAAATACTTTGATTTCCTTTAGGGAATGTTATCTATTATGTGATGCTATACCAGAGTCAGGTTGGAGTCGGTTATCTTATTGCAACAAAGAGTCTGTTCCGTCACTGTTGGGATCTCTATTTTTTCCTCTTATTTCTTGAGACAGGGTCTCACTCTGTCACCCAGTCTGGAGTGCAGTGGTGCGATCTTCATTCACTGAAACCTCTGCCTCCTGTGTTCAGGTGATTCTCGTGCCTCAGCCCCTTAAGTAACTAGGATTACAGGTGTGCGCCACCACACCCAGCTAATTTTTGTATTTTCAGTAGAGATGGTATTTTGCCCTGTTGGCCAGGCTGGTCTTGAACTCCTGGCCTCGTGTCATCTGCCCACCTCGACCTCCCAAAGTGCTGGGACTGCAAATGTGAGCTATTGTGCCCAGCCAGGATCTCTGTTTTAATGTTAGTGCTGGTCACTTTGCATGAACTCCAAAGGGAAGAAATATAATGAGGTGTGTCTGACCCCCTGCCTTCTCATCGTGACCTGAATTAGTTTTTCAGGTTTGCAGGGGATACCCTTGGACAAGAAGGGGCTCTATTCGGTTGGTTGGGGGGATTAGAATTTTACTTTTTGTTTACAATATTTCTCCTGAAAGAGTTAGGGGCTCACAAGGAATTTCCGCGTGAGCAACTTATGAGGAAAGCCATCTGGGAAGATATGTGTCCTTGTGTCACTGGGATATTCTCGTTTACCCCAATGATACGGCAATGACGCAGGGTTGTGAAATTACAGCTATGTGTTTGGGGAAAAAAGAAAGCAGGATTGTGTGACTACGTTTCCAAACTTCACTTGCCCTTAGCCATAGTGAGTTGGGGGCCTGGAGATTCTGTTTTCTTTCACAATGATATAGATACAATTGAATGTATAGAAAGCAAAAAAATAAAAAGGTGAGTAATGAGGAACCTCTGATTCCTGAGTGGCCATGTAGTTACCCATGGCACAGAGCCACAGTTACTGAAGGTAAAGTTTGCTGGGGAATTTAGAAATGAATCCAACTCTTGGAGGAGTCAGTTTACTGGATGCCTAAGAAAATGCAAACAAAATAAGAAAAAAGGGTAATATTCAATCCCATAGTTATTGTTACCTGTCATAGCTAAAGTAAAATTAAAACAGAGTGCTGGCTTCAATCTTGATGCTACACTAAGCTTAGATTTCAGTGAATGTGAGTCTCAGCCACTAGCTCAGAGCCACCTCCCAAAGACCAAATCATGTAGGGACAATAGAAAGTACTTCTGAGAATTGTGGTTACCAAGAACCTAGTAACTGTTGGGGAGGAGCAAAACAAAGTACAGAAACCAGAGGGTACAATCTGAGTGAGACTGCTATCAGCTTCTGGAGGAGCCTTTACTAAAATGAATGATGAGAGTAACTGGATGATGAGAGTAACTAATGGATGATGAGAGTAAGCAATGTCTTTGGTTTTCTTTTTTTTTTTTTTTTTTTTTAGCAGACGTCTCACTCTTGTCGCCCAGGCTGGAGTGTAATGGCATGATCTCGCCTCACTGCAACCTCCACCTCCTGGGTTCAAGCAATTCTCCTGTCTCAGCCTCCCGAGTAGCTGGGACTACAGGCACTCATCACCACACCTGGCTAATTTTTGTATTTTTAGTATTTTCTGGTGAGGGTCCAGGTTTCCGGAAACAACTCAGAGACATATGTTAAGATGTTATCTTTAGTTTTCACAGGGAACCAAATATGTTACGACTCCAATTTCCTTGGCTATTGTTTTAAGTTACCATTACCTTCTCGTTGATCAAGTTGCTCATTTACTTCTCAAGCCTAGCTAGATGCCTGGAATTTCCCTTGAAGGAAGTCAAGATTTTCCTTTATCTCCATACTGGCTGATGGTGATCGAGTAAGCCCCTAAGAGGGGTCCCTGCTCCATCTCGAGATGCTGCTAGATTCTACAGTGCCTAATAAACAGCTCTCGCCTGGCCGACAAAGAGCTGCTTGCTCTCTGGATAGCAATTCCAAAGTGAACAGACAACATCCTGTTTGGAAGACTGCCACTCTGTTAGAAGAAGCATCAGGAAAACCTTTCTTTTGAGCTATTTATAACTAACAGCAATTGACCAAGTATACTTTTGTGAGTGAAACTGACCTTTCTCCCTGTAAGAATTCTCCAAAATTTGGAAACTATTTGTGAGTATTTTTACTTATGGCAATATAATTATTGGCACAAGCTCAATCAGATTCGGTTTTCTTTCGTAACAGGAACCATTGGAGATACTCATTACTCTTTGAAGGCTTACAGTGGAATGAATTCAAATACGACTTATTTGAGGAATTGAAGTTGACTTTATGGAGCTGATAAGAATCTTCTTGGAGAAAAAAAGACTGGGTATATTTTCAATATGCTTTCCTTTTAAGGTCCCTCACCTGTGGAAAGTAAAGAATGTCACTTTCTGACAGGCTCAGGAACCTCAAGTTATGTAGGGATCTCAAGAAGATGGGGGAATTCACCCAGTTCATACAGGTGAAATTGCTGTTGCAAAGATTATGAATATGAGAGAAGTCCAGCATGGCTGACTTCATCTCGTGTCTGGCCTCAGGCTGGCTGCCCTTGCTCACTCTTGGGCATAGGCCAAGCTAGCCATGGGAGGAATTTAGTTTATAGTTTAACTTTGAAGCACGGATGATAATAGTCTCTCCCTAAAATGAACCCCTTCCTTGCTCAGGGACTGAAACTACCTTTGTATGACAAATGAAAGCCCACAAGATTAAGATTATGAGAGGGGCCTGAATTCTGCTAAAATGCAGGTGTAGCTGACTGATAACAAGTCATTGTCCCACAGCTTGCCTTTCTATAATCTCTTGCTTCTCAGGAGTCACATGGCCAGAGGTCCTGAGATTTCCAGTCCTGTGACCCCCACCCAGAGATGGACTTAGTGCATGAGGACCATTTTCCACACCCCTATGATTTCATCCTCAAACAATCAGCAGCAACCATTCCCTAGCCCCCTGCCTTCCAAATTATCCATAAAAATCCTAGCCTCTGAGTTATTAGGGAGATTGATTAATAATCCCAGTCCTACCCCTTGGGTTGCTCTGATTTAATTAAACCTTCTCTACTGCAATACCACGGACTCAGTAAATTGGTTTTGTCTGTGCAATGGGCAAGAAGAACATGTTGCATGGTTATACAGGTACTACAAGCACAGTCTGATGGCAAATTATTGGTTTTGCTTCCTGCCCTTGATGTTTCTAAACATCTAGTCCAAAATTACTTGTGAAAGGTCCAGCAAAGCCAATTTTAAAAGAGGCTATATGGCCAATCACTATTCTTTCTACACATTATTGCAAATAATCAGGCCACGGCTGGGCACGGTGGCTCATGCCTGCAATCCCAGCACTTTGGGAGGCTGAGGCAGGATCACCTGAAATCAGGAGTTCAAGACCAGCCTAGGCAACATGATAAAACCCTGTCTCTACTAAAAATACAAAATTAGCCAGGCATGGTGGCATGCACCTGTAATCCCAGCTACTTGGGAGACTGAGGGAGGAGAATCACTTGAACCTGGGAGGCAGAGATTGCAGTGAGCTGAGATCACACCACTGCACTCCAGCCTGGGCAATAGAGTGAGACTTTGTCTCAAATAATAATAATAATAATCAGACCAAGTATAATGAAATTAAAATTTATTTTGCAAATAAATTGGTCCTACTACAATTTATCCTTCATAGAAATGTGGAAACTGAAGATAAAAAAAATTAGGTTTCAGAAGAAAACTATACTACACCTGTTATTAGATTCTAGCCCTAAACATTGTTTTTGAGGTTTTTATTATTTACCTGCAATTTGGTCTAAATTCTGAATTATTTCCTGACTACAAGTATCCAAGGAATAAATGGGTTTTCTTTTTCTTTATGATAGTTTTAGTTGGCTTCTAATGCAACAACAATTTTTATTGTAATCCTGTGTGCATTCTATTCCTACTATTCAAATTATTAATGTTATAGATCTTTCATTGTAGTACTTCTGAATTAACCAAAATCACAGTATTCTGAAGATGATTCTACAAAGCCTGCTGTTTCTACAAAGGCTGCTGATGATTTCTACAAAGCCTGCTGTAGTGTTGCTGTGGCCTCTGCTTAAAAAAGTAGAAAACACATTGATGCAGCATGTTCACCCCAACCTCCCTGCCTAAAGGCTCAGGGACCATCTTGGAAGAGGAAGGCGCGTGAGATTGTAAGAGCCGAATTAGGGGGATGGAGTGTGGAGAATAAGGACACTTCATCTTGGATGCTCACCTGCCAAATTGACTTCTGATGAAAGCCAGCTCCAGAAATGTGCCTACAGTTACTACTTTCACCTAAACCCTGCCCTTAGTCAAATCCTTCTCTTCTTCTAAGCAATCAACTTCAATTCCTTGTATAACCCACAGTATAAAAGGGCTTTTATACCATTCTATCCTATTGCATGTAAGCCTTGGGTCTGGGAGGTAACAGTGTGGGATTCCACCATCTCATCTCCCTGCCACCCAAACATGCCTGCTCTTCTTTAAGCAATATTAAATGTTTGTACTTCAGAAATTTGATTTGTCAGCCTCTTCTTCAGACTCTCAGCTTCTTTGGCCTTTGGGAGTAAATTTGCATAGGCCTGCTCAAAACAGGATGTTCTGGGGGTTTGGGGGTGTTGTTTTGTTTTGTTTTTTGTTTTGTTTAGAGACAGGGTCTCACTCTGTCACCCAGGTTGGAGTGCAGTGGTGCAATCATGGCACACTGCAGCCTCAAACTCCTAGGCTCAAGCAATCCCCCCACCTTGGCCTCCCAAAGTTCTGGGATTACAAGCATAAGCCACCATGCCCAGCCCTGGACTTTTCTTTAAAGACATTTACACAGTGTAGGAATTACTGTGGGTGCACTGCTCAGGTCCCCTTCTCCAGGATGCTCATTCCTACCTCATAGATGATTTTCCTGCAGAGATTTGACCTCAGCTGAAGGGCAGTCACCTGGTCCAGGTGGTTGCTATTCACCTCCTTCCTGAGAACAGCCAACAGCCAGGGACACGCTAGCACAGAGATATAAGAGCGACCAAGGTGAGGCCCCTTCTGTGCTGCGGTGCATGCTCCAGAGCCTCCCTGGGATCAGACTTAAGAGGGTCTCCAGCCAGATCTGGTCTTCGCTGCTTTCCTCGAGCTCCCCAGCGCACTCCTGCAATGCATCTTTTTTTTTTTTTTTTTTTTTTTTGAGACGGAGTTTCACTCTTGTTGCCCAGGCTGGAATGCAATGGCGCAATCTCAGCTCACCACAACCTCTGCCTCGCGGGTTCAAGTGATTCTCCTTCCTCAGCCTCCCAAGTACCTGGGATTACAGGCATGCACCACCACGCCCAGCTAATTTTGTATTTTTAGTAGAAACGGGTTTCTCCATGTTGGTCAGGCTGGTTTCGAACTCCTGACCTCAGTTGATCCTCCTGCCTCAGCCTTCCAAAGTGCTGGGATTACAGGTGTGAGCCACTGTGCCTGGCCCAATGCACCTCTTGAATCACCTCCTCATGCTTTGCTTTTAGAGAACATGATCCCCAACATGTGATTCCAGCAAAGATTCTAGAAAGCCAACCGTGACAATCACTTCTGGGTTTAGATGACCCCCCCCCACCACAAGATGGCAGTGAGCACCTCATCACAGAGGTGCTGATGGTCTGCAGCACCGCGCCAGGCCAGAACGTGCCTTTTACAGAAGAAAATAACCCAGTAGCTGACTAGGATGGTGAGGAGGGCTGGTGAGCACTGCGGTAGTGAGAGGGACACTAGCATCACTGAGATGCAAGTGATGGTCATTTTTCATAGGTCAAAGCTCAAAGCAGGGGACAGTTACAGGGCAGGGCTTCATAGCACCAGTGTGATGAAAGTATCTGGGAGTGGCTAAGGCCAGCACTATGCCATGGGAAGCAAGGTGGGCCTGAGGAGGAGGCAGCAGCGTCAGCCTGCAACAAGTGGGGGCTGCCCTGCAGAGACCTAAGAGTCATGTTATAGAGCACAGTGTCTGTAAGGCCAAGAAGTGTGGACAGCCAAGTGTGTCAATTACTAGACATACTCAAGAGGAGCAGGAAGGGCAGGGCATGGTGGCTCATGCCTGTAATCCCAGCTACTTGGGAGACTGAGGAAGGAGAATCGCTTGAACCCGGGAGGTGAAAATTGCAATGAGCCGAGATTTCGCCACTGCACTCCAGCCTGTGTGATGGGAGCGGGACTCCATCTCAAAACAAAAAAAGAAAAAGGAAAAAGAAAAAAAGAAAAACCTAGGTATACTTCTCAAGCAAATAAAAATAATCAAAACCAATATCATGCCCGGGCACAAATTTCATATATATAACAGATTTAAATATATGAGGGTGATTATCCTCTCATATCTCCATTTTTTTTTGTTTTTCCATTTTTTTCTTTACTAAAAAAAGTTAATGCCAATGACACACAATTTTTTTTTTTTTTTTTTTTTTTGAGATGGAGTCTCACTTCTTCGCCCTGGCTGGAGTGCAATGGCGTGATCTCGACTCACTGCAAAGTCTGCCTCCTGGGTTCAAGCAATTCTCCTGCCTCAGCCTCCCAAGTAGCTGGGACCACAGGAGTGAGCCACCACACCCAGCTAATTTTTGTATTTTTAATAGAGACGGGGTTTCACCATATTGGCCAGGCTGGTCTCAAACTCCTGATCTCAAATAATCTGCCCGCCTCGGCCTCCCAAGATTCTGGGATTATAGGCGTTGAGCCACTGCGCCCCGCCTATGTATGATTTTTTTTTTAATTTTATTTTCATAAGTTTTTGGGGAACAGGTGGTATTTTGTTACATGAGTAATTTCTTTAGTTGTGATTTGTGAGATTTTGGTTCACCCATCAACTGAGAAGTATACACTGAACCCAATTTGTGGTCTTTTATCCCTCACCCCCTTCCCACCCTTTCCCCCGGAGTCCCTGAAGTCCATTGTATCATTCTTATGCCTTTGCATCTTCATAGCTTAGCTCTTGAACCCTTACTTTCTGTTTGAGGGAGAAGACATATCATCTACAAGTAGATACTGTGTAAACATTCCATTGCATGACTATCCCATAACTTATTTATTATTTGTGTTTGGTTATTTGCTGCTATGTAACAACCCCACTCCCAACTAAATGGTGTGACAATTCCATGATTCTGTGGATCAAAAATTCTGAAAAGTCAAACCCAAGGAGTTTTGTCTCTGCTCCATGATGCTAAAGCCTCCGCAGGGGTGAGGCGAATGGCTCAGGGTGACTGAAAAGCTCAGGGTTGGAACAGCTGGGGATGAGGCCTCTATGTATAAGATGATTCTTCACTCACAGGTCTGAAACTATGGTGGGGACAGCCAGAAGGCTCGGCTCAGCTGGGACAGTCACCTGAGCCCTACACATGACCTCTCCAACATGGTGATCCTGAAGCAGTTGGGTTTCTTACACAGCATCACACTTTTCTTTTTTTTTTTTTTTTTTGAGATGAAATATTGCTCTATCACCCAGGCTGGAGTGCAGTGGCACGATCTCAGCTCACTGCAGCCTCCGCCTACCAGGTTCAAGCGATTCTCCTGCTCCAGCCTCCCAAGTTGCTGGGATTGCAGGCGCCTGCCACCAAGCCCAGCTAATTTTTGTATTTTTAGTAGAGACGGGGTTTCACCTTGTTGGCCAGGCTAGTCTTGACCTCTTGACCTCAGGCGATCCGCCTGCCTCGGCCTCCCAAAGTGCTGGGATTACAGGCATGAGCCACCGCGCCCGGCCAAAGCTCACACTTCTTATGATTCAGCCTTAGATGTCACATCAGTTCATTTTCCCCACACTTATTAGTGTTAGAAGTCACAAGCCCACCCATACTCAGGGGACTGGCACACAGACCCCACTCTCAATGGAAGGGGTGGGACACCACCATTCCTGCTGATGGGCATTTGGGTAACTTCCTGTTTGAAGCTATTAAGATTGGGCTGCTGTGGCCGGGCGCAGTGGCTCACGCCTCTAATCCCAGCACTTTGGGAGGCCGAGGCGGGCGGATCACGAAGTCAGGAGATCGAGACCATCCTGGCTAACACGGTGAAACCCCGTCTTTACTAAAAATACCAAAAAAAAAAAAAATTAGCTGGGCATGGTAGCGGGCGCCTGTAGTCCCAGCTACTCGGGAGGCTGAGGCAGGAGAACGGCGTGAACCCGGGAGGCGGAGCTTGCAGTGAGCCGAGATTGTGCCACTGCACTCCAGCCTAGGCGACAGAGCAAGACTCCGTCTCCAAAAAAAAAAAAAAAGATTGGGCTGCTGTGACTATTCTAGTAGGTGTCTTTGGTGAGCGCCTACACGTGTTTCTCTTTTTCTCTTTAGTATATGCCCAGGAGGGGAACTGCTGGCTCCCAGATACCGTATGTTCAGGGTCACACACACTTCCACAGGGTTTTCCAAAGCCCTTGTACCAGCACGCACTCCCAGCACCTGTGTGACTGCTCCAGCTGTCCCACAGTCTCATCAGTTCTATTGCTGATATTTTCATTTTAGCTTAAGTTATATTTAATAGGAAAATTACCGTTGCCTCTGCCCCCCGTTCCTGCCTGTAGGAGTTTCTCGTAGCTGTTGCTACAGGTGGCCACAAATCTGTCACTTAAACCCACACAAATTGATGTCCTTATGGCTTTGGAGTCAGAAGTGTCAACTGAAGGTACTAGCAGGGCTGTACTGACCTGGTGGCCTCAGGGAGCATCTGTGCTGCTTCTCCACCTTCTAGAGGCTGCTGCATCCCTCGCTCCAGCCCCTTCCTGACACCACTCACCCTCCTACTTCTGTTATCACATCCTCACCTTCTCTGTGTTCAGGGCTCCCTCTGTCTCTCTCTTGCAAGCACACTTGGGATTCCATTGAGGGCCACCCACATAACCCAGGAGAATTTCTCCACCTCAATATCCTTAACAACTGCAGAGCCCTTTTGCCATAAAAGTTACCATTCACGGGTTCCAGGGATTGTGACATGGGTAGCTTTAGGAGTGATTATTCCTGCCTGTCTCCCGCTCACCAGAACTTGGACTTTCTCTCTCAACAGGAGCCCCCTGTGTGGGAATAGCCTGTCTCAACGACGCCCTCTATAAGGACCTGCTTCCTCAAAGGACCTCATAGTCGGGTCCTGCCCCTCAGTGTCCAGTCTGCCTTGGCTGGAGGGGCTGCAGGGGTGTGTTGGCGCCACCTGGTGGAGACAGGGCATCACAGCAGGTGGGAGCCCAGTAGAAGCACAACCAAAACATGGGTAATGTTTAAAATTTTCTGGCTAAGCGCTGTGGCTCACGCCTGTAATTCCAGCACTTTGGGAGGCCGAGGTGGGTGGATCACATGAGGACGGGAGTTTGAGACCAGCCTGGCCAACATGGTGAAACATCCCCTCTACTAAAAAATACAGAAAAATTAGCTGGACATGTGGCGCGCTCCTGTAATCCCAGCTACTCGAGAGGCTGAGACACGAGAATCGCTTCAACCCCGGAGGGGTTGCCGAGATCGCGCCACTGCACTCCAGGCTGGGCGATAGAGCGAGACTCTGTCTCAAAAAAAAAAAAAGAAGAGGGGAGGCGAGGGGAGGGGAGGGGAAAAGGGGGAATTTGTTTGGAGCTGAGACATCCATCTTCTCCTGACCTCAGATATTTGCACTCCTGGTTATGAAGCCTTCACACTTGGACTGAATACACCACCAGCTTTCCCGATTTCCAGCGTGCAAATGGCAGATCGTGAGACTTCTCAGCTTCCATAATTACATGAGCCAATTTATATATATAAATTGGGTCCTCCAGAAAAACAGAATAAATTATATATATAATTATACGCATAACTTAATTAAATTATACGTATAACTTAGCTATATATATAATTTATTCTGTTTTTCTGAAGAACCCTACTGACACAAATGTTGAGCATCTTTTCATGTGCTTATTGGCTTAATAACTTGTACATCTTCTTTGGGGAAATGTCTATTCAAGTTCTTTGCCCATTTTGTAACTGAACTATTAATATTTGTCTTTACATTGTTGAGTTGTAAAAGTTCCTTATATATTCTAGATACTAGAGCCTTATCAGATATATTTCTGCAACTATTTTCTCCTAATATATAGGTTGTGTTTTTATTTTCTTTTTCTTTTTTTTTTTATTGAGACAGTCTCACTCTGTCACCCAGGCTGGAGTGCAGTGGCATGATCTTGGCTCACTGCAGACTCGACCTGCCAGGCTCAAGCAATTCTCCCACTTCAGCCTCCTGAGTAGCTGAGGTTATAGGCACTTGCCATCGCACCCAGCTAATTTTTGTATTTTTTAGTAGAGCCGAGGTTTCGCCATGTTGCCTAGGTTGGTCTTGAACTCCCTGCCTCAAAGCGATCTGTCAGCCTCAGTCTCCCTAAGTGCTGGAAGTACAGGTGTGAGCCACAGTGCCCGGCCATCTATTTTCAATAGTGTTTTTTGATGTACACAGGTTTGGAATTTTGATAATGTTCAATTCATCCATTTTTTTTTTTTTTTTTTTGGTTCTTTCTACTGGACCACCACTCTTGAGCCCTCTAATCCAACCTCCACGCGGCAGCCAGAGGGAGCTCTCTAAATGTAATTACTCTTTCCCTGCTCCACCTGCTCAAAACAGTGTCACATTTGTGATTTAAAACAGTATTTCTCAAACCTAATTTGCAAACAAAGCAGGTGGAACTCTTCTTGTATGCACAGCATCTGATTTGGTTGGTCTGGCATGGGTCTGGGAGTGAGCACACCTACCAAGCGGCTGCTGGGGTAACTTGCGTTTTCCACTGATGATTTCAGCAATGTTTCCGGTCCCACATGCTCCTCCAGAACCTTGTACTCCCCCATGAAAAGGTGGAGTCCATTTCCCCTTCCTTTATTTATTTTTTTGAGACGAAGTTTCACTCTTGTTGCCCAGGCTGGAGCGCAATGGCGTGATCTCAGCTCACCGCAACCTCCGCCTCCTGGGTTCAAGCAATGCTTCTACCTCAGCCTCCCGAGTAGCTGGGATTACAGGTATGTGCCACCACGCCCAGCTAATTTTGTATTTTTAGTAGAGACGGGGTTTCTCCATGTCGGCCAGGCTGGTCTCAAACTCCCGACCTCAGGTGATCCGCCCGCCTCAGCCTCCCAAAGTGCTGGGATTACAGGCGGGAGCCACCGCGCCCGGCTATTTCCCCTTCCTTTGAACCTGATCAGGACTTGACGATGGCATCAACATGGTGAGAGTGACCCTGCATGGCTTATGAGGCTGGGTTACACAAGGCGATGTTGCTTCTGACTGGCTCCCTCTCAGGATACATGCCCTTGGAACCCATCCTCTAAGCTCCTTGGGAGCCCAACTTAGCCCATGTGGAGACAAGACAGGGAGAGAAACAGAGGCACCCCCAGCCCTCAGCCAGCATCAACCGCCAGACAGGAGAGCAAATGCGCCAACAATGATTCCAGCTGAAGCCTCAGACAGCGTGGAGCAGAGATGAGGGATCCCTGCAGATTGCAGATGCGTGAGCAAAATGCATGCTGTCACTGTTTTGAAACAACAATGTCTGGGGGCTGTTTGTTATGCAGCAATAGACAGCTGTAACAATGCTGTTACTGCTGTATTCCATGAATGACTGCACTTTGAGTAGCAGGGGGCTAGATCACTAGATAAGCCCCATGGCTTCTGTGTATGCTATTTTTCTACTTTTATATCCTTTTCATTCACTTTTTTTTTTTTTTTTTTTGAGACAGAGTCTCACTCTGTTGCCCAGGTGGGAGTGCAGTGGTGCAATCTTGGCGGACTGCAACCTCCACTTCCCGGGTTCAAGCAATTATTGTGCCTCAGCCTCCTGAGTAGCTGCGACTATAGATGCACCCCCATGCCTGGCTAGTTTCCGTATTTTTAGTAGAGACGGGGTTTTGCCATGTTGGCCAGGCTGATCTCAGACTCCTGACCTCAGGTGATCCACCCACCTTGGCCTCCCAAAGTGCTGGGATTACAGGCGTGAACCACTGCACCCAGCCTCATTCACTTTCTTTACTTGGCTCATTTTTCCTTGTTGCCTCAATTCTCCTCTAAGATCACTTTCCTGACATTTCAGCCTGGGCCTGTTGCCTTCTCTGGGTCCCCTCCGCCTCCTGTGCCTCCCCCATCTCAGCCTTGATCCCTCAGATTATACTTCCTCTGTCCCCACCCTGACCATCTTGGCTGTCCCTGGATAGGGATGGGTATCTTCTCCCACTGGTCTGGGAGATCTGGAAGGACAGGCCTGGAAAAGACTTGGTCACTGCTGGAAGGAGCTCAGTTAGTGTGGTGCTGAGGACAGTACGGGTGAGGCTGGCCCCTTCACCCAAACTCCCACTCTCTTCCATAGATTTCACCTCTGTGGCCCAGGCCATAGGATTAGGGCAACTCCCCTTAAACATCGAGTCCATCCTCCAAGCTGTCCTTTTTTTTTTTTTTTTTTTTTTTTTTGAGACAGAGTCTCGCTCTGTTGCCCAGGCTGGAGTGCAGTGGCGCGATCTCGGCTCACTGCAAGCTCCACCTCCAGGGTTCACTCCATTCTCCTGCCTCAGCCTCCCGAGTAGCTGGGACTACAGGAGCCTGCCACCACACCCGGCTAATTTTTTGTATTTTTAGTTGAGACGGGGTTTCACCGTGTTAGTCAGGATGGTCTCGATCTCCTGACCTCGTGATCCGCCCGCCTCGGCCTCCCAAAGTGCTGGGATTACAGGCGTGAGCCATCGCGCCCGGCCTCATGCTGTTCTTGAATAGTGAGCACCTGTTACAAGTCGCCCCACCAGCCTCTCACTTGTACCCCCCTCATCTCTTTCTCCCCAAGAGACAGAGGACCCTGGCACTTGTGAAGCATGACCCAGACCCTGGGGCCATGGCATCCAACATCCTCATTCCCCATGACCCCTACTGTCTAGATGTAGCTGCCAAGAGACCCCCAGACTCCCCGGGCCTCTGTCTAGAGTGCCAAGACAGAGAGAGAATGCCCTGCCGCTTGCATGCTTTGTGGGGTGTCCTTCCCCCTTCCCTGGCTGCTAGGCGTGACTTCAACGTTCTCCCCAACCCCCAAACAGCAGCACTGACACCAGCTGCAGACCTGGCTCAGGTTAGCTAATGAGGACCAGGCTGGGGATGGAGCCTGAACCCCTAAACCCCAGTCCTGTACCCCACCCTAATCCTGGGGTCTCCACTGGACAAAACGAAGCAGCTTGGTTTTTCGTTGTTATTGTTTTTGAGATAGAGTATCTCTCTGTCTCCCAGGTTGGAGTGCAGTGGCGTGATCTCAGCTCACTGCAGCCTCCGCCTCCCGGGTTCAAGTGATTCTTGTGCCGCAGCCTCCCCAGTAGCTGGGATTACAGGCGCGTGCCACCACACCCAGCTAATTTTTGTATTTTTAGTAGAGACAGGGTTTCACCATGTTGGCCAGGCTGGTCTGAAACTCCTGACCTCAAGTGATTTCCCAGCCTCGGCCTCCCAAAGTGGAAGCGGCTTATTTTTAAGGAGAAAACTCCCGTGGAAAGGAATCAGCACCTCCTCTGTCAACATTTCACTTCTCTGAAAAGACTCTCACTTCCAACAGAAAGTGCTTTGTAACACAACAATGAGGCTGGGCGAGGTGGCTCATGCCTGTAATCCCAGCACTTTGGGAAGCTGAGGCGAGTGGATCACGAGGTCAGAAGTTCGAGACCAGCCTGACCAATATGGTGAAACCCCGTCTCTACTAAAAATACAAAAATTAGTTCCGTGTGGTGGCGTGAGCCTGTAATCCCAGCTACTCAGGAGGCTGAGGCAGGAGAATGGCTTGAACCCAGGAGATGGAGGTTGCAATGAGCCGAGATCACGCCACTGCACTCCAGCCTGGGCAACAGAGTGAGACTCCGTCTCAAAAAAAAAAAAAAAAGAATGAGAACATATGGACACAGGGAGGGGAACAATACACACAAACAAAATTTAGAAACAGGTGAAAATAATTTTAGTAATATTTTTACTAATACTGATATGCTCAAAATATTATTATTTCAATAAGTAATCTAAAAATTATTGAGATGTCTTATGTTCTTTTCATCATACTAAGCCTTTAATATTTGGTGTGTATTTTACACTCACAGCACATCTCAATTTGCAGTCCCCATGTTTCAAGCACTAAATAACCATGTGTGTCCGGTGGCTACCATACTGGACAGCGTTGATCTGAAATCGCATCTGTATGCATCACCAGCATATTTGCAGAGATCCCCATCTCAGCAGCACACCTGAGGCTCATCTGCGAAAGCACCTGCAACTTCTCTACAACCTCCCACATCACCTCCAAACACATCCTCATGTCATCTGCAAACACACCCATAGCTCACAGGCCAATGCCTAAATATCATTGCAGGCACCTTCAGAGAAAGCACTTACTAAAGGGGTATACTTGATTCCACATCTGCTTTGACCTGCAAATCTCCCTTCTCCTTTACATACATTTGCATCTCATTTGTATGTCAATCTAAATCCACTGGCAGAGCCTCAGATCATCATCTCAAAGTCAGGTGGATGTGGGGCTGGGCAGGCCTCCAGGTGTTCCTCCTCCTGCTTCCTCTGGGGCTCTTGATCCTCCTCCTCTTCCTTGCTGCTCTCCTCCTCCTCCTCCAATATGGTGACCAGTTCCTCCCGCAGCGCCCCCATCTCCAGCCCCAGGCTGCACAGCTGTCCCAGCAGCTGGACATCCACTCGGCGCAGGTTCCCCTGCCAGTAGGAAGGGGACGTCACAGGGATGCCACCCCAGAGAGCAAGGGGTCTCTCCAGGACCTGGGTGAGAGCAGGTCCCAACTCATGTCCTGGCCACAGCGCCTGGGCAGGGTCCTCACTGTGCCCATGGACCCTAACTGCCTTCCTGCTTCTCAGAGTGTCTCTTGATCTCTAACTCTTCTCTTTGTCTCTCCATTTCATTGTCCCTGACTTCTCTCTCTCTGTCTCCTCCCTCTCTTATCTATATCTGTCCCTGTTTCCCTTTGTCTCTGTCCCCATTTATTTTTTGTCTTTCCATGCCCCTGTCTCTCTGTCTTTATGTGTTGCCATTTCTCTGCCCCTGCCTTTGGCTCTCTTTCTCTCGCTTGCCCTCTCTCTGCCCTCCCCAACTTTCTCAAATTCAGTCTGTCTCTCCATCTCTGTTCCTGCTCTCCGTCTCTGCTTCCCACCTCTGTCCCTCTCTTTTGGGATCTCCCTGTCCCCACCTCTGTTCCCGTCCCTCACTCTATGTCTGTCTCTCGGTGTCTGTACATGCCTCTCATGTCTCTGCTTCTATCTCTCAGATTCTGTTTTTCGATCTCTGGCCTTCTCTATTTTTGTTCATTTCCATTCATTCTCATTTCCTCTCTTTCTCTTTCCCTTCCAAACCCCTCACTCACCAGCTCCTCCCTGATCCACAGCAGACTATCGCAGGCACCTCCAGTGTCTGCCCCTGCAGTCCTGAGGGTCTGACCAGGGATTTCCACTGGGGAGACCTCCCTCAGGGCCTGGGGGGGTGGGCCCAGCCCCGGAGGCACCAGTCCAGCCTGATTCAGCTGCCTCCACAGTTCCATCGTCTCTGAGCTATGGCTGCAAGGAGCAGGAAGTAGCAAGGTCCAGGGTGGCCTGGTCCCCTGGGGAGCTGTGTGCGTGGTGGAGAGTAAAGGGCAGAGGGAGTGGGATGGGGGTTCCTGGGAAAGGTATCCCAAAGTCCACTCTTCAGAGAGAATCAGCTGGCCTTGTGCTTTTCTTTTTCCTTCTGAAGTCTAACCTCAACTCTGCTCACAGGGTTCAAACATAGCCTCTTGCAGAGGTCTAACTCCACCCTTCCCTGCCTGTCTCAGGCCTGACCCCTCAGGGGCGCTCAGTGTCTGTAGATGCCTGGCACCCTCTGTCCTTCCACCTGCCCCCCACCACCACTTCTCCAGCCTCTCCTCAGCCTCCATTTGACCTCTGGCTTGCCCATAGCTTGGTCCTTGCTTGTCCTCTTGGCACGGGTCATCCTAGGGCTTTCCCACCAGTGTGCCTTTGGGGGCAGGAATGGCTCCCAGGGGCACCAAGACAGCAATCCCTTAGCTGGAGTGCCTGTGTCCAGGCTGCTGGCCTAGGGCCAAGCAGCCAATTCTGCTGACCCTGGACTTGCCTATGGGTATATTATCCCTGTTGAGGGTGAGGGCTTCTGCTGTGGAAAAGTCTGGGAAGCACTGCAGGCCTCTCTCGGCCTTGGACCCTTCCTTCAGACCCAAGGTGCATATATATACATATATATAATGGTAGATCACGAGGTCAGGAGATCAAGACCATCCTGGCCACATGGTGAAACCCCGTCTCTAGTAAAACACAAAAAATTAGCCGGGCATGCTGCCGCGTGCCTGTAGTCCCAGCTACTCGGGAGGCTGAGGCAGGAGAATGGTGTGAACCCAGGAGGTGGAGGTTGCAGTAAGCCAAGATCACGCCACTGCATTCCAGCCTGGCGACAGAGCAAGACTCCATCTTAAAATAAACAAATGAACAATATATATATATATGTATTTTGTTTTTTGAGACAGAGTCTCGCTCTGTCATCCAGGCTGGACTGCAGTGGTGCAATCTTGGCTCACTGCAACCTCCGCCTCCCGGGTTCAAGCGATTCCCCTGCCTCAGCCTCCTGAACAGCTGGGGTTACAGGTGCACGCCACCACACCTGGCGAATTTTTGTATGTTTAGTGGAGACGGGGTTTCACCATGTTAGCCAGGCTGGTCTCAAACCCCTGACCTCAGGTGATCTGCCCACCTCGGCCTCCCAAAGTGCTGGGATTACAGGCGTGAGCCAACGCGCCCAGCCCCAAGTCCCTTTTACCATAGAAAGTAACATAGTCACAGTGCCCAGGGATTCACAGGTATGGGGAGAGGGTTCGTTATTCAGCTGCCACACCCACCTTCCTAAACCTGCTGCCCTTCCAGTTTCCTCACGTGCACAGCCACGCCCGTCTGCTTTTAGTTTCTCAATCTGTTGGCTTAACCTTCAAAACAGGCCCAGGATTTGAGCACTTCTCACCATTCCCTCTGCCCCATCCCCATTCATCTCTTGCCTAGACTGCTACAGCAGCCTCTTTTACTGGTCCCCTGCATCCACCCTTGCCCTCTAAGGCAAGGGTCCCCAGTCCCTGGGCCAAGGACCAGTACCAGCCCCTCGCCTGCTAGGAACTGGGCCGCACAGCAAGAGATGAGCAGCGGGTAAGTGAGCATTACCGCCTGAGCTCCGCCTCCTGTCACATCAGCAGTGGCATTAGATTCTCATAGGAGGCAAACCCTATTGTGAACTGTGCGTGCGGGGGATCTAGGTTGCCTGCTCCTTATGAGAATCTAATGCCTGATGATCTCAGGTGGAACAGTTTCATCCCAAAACCATCCCCACCCCACCCCCGACCCCCAGTCTATGGAAAAATTGTCCTCCACGAAACCAGTCCCTGGTAACAAAACGGTTAGGGACCGCTGCTCTAAGGTACATTCTCCACCTGGCAGAAATAATCTTTACAAAATGTAAATCCGATTTTGACACTCCCTTCTTCCCACTGTGAATAGAATAAAACCCTACCAGGCCTGCACCGTCAGCCCCTGCCCACCTCTCAACCCAGTCTCCTATCTCTGTCTGCAAGCTGGTTCCCACCTCAAGGCCTCTCTGCTCTAGAGGCTACCTCTCCCTGCAGCGCTTTTCCCCTAGATCTTTGAATGGCTCTTTCCTTATCATTCACTTCTACTTCAATGTCACCTCTTCAGAGAGGCCTTTGCTGATGGCCCTACACCCAGTCACTTTTTTTTATCTGCTTCTCATCAAAATTGCCTTGCTGATTCCTTTGTTTCTTATTCATCCTCTCCCACATCCATCCTCTCCCAGCCCAGAATGTTGACTTCCTGAGAGAGGGACTGGGTCTGTCCTGCTCACCATGGTAACCTCGGCATCTAGAACAGTGCCTGCCATCACGTGGTAGGTGCTCAGTAAATATTCTTGGAACTAATGAATGAATAATTCTATCCACAAGACTTCACAATGGCTCTTCATGCTGCGATCTAGCTTTCAACTCCAAACTGGTCTTGAGATCTCACCTCAGTCTCTAACCTTGACATCTAACCTCTTCACCCACTCTCTTACCTGACCCTAATTTTTAAAAATGACGTGGTCAGCTTTTCAGCCCCCTCATTCCCTGTTTTTAGGAGGTAGTGAGTGGAAGCTGGAAGAATAAGAAAGCTTGGGGAGACTGCAATTGCAGTCAGGAAAGAAAGGTACTCTGCCGGGAAGAACACCCCATCTTCTCCTAGGGAAAGATTGTGGAGTCCTGGGGTTTGTTTTGTTTTTCAATTTTTTGTTTTAAGAGACAGCGTCTCGCTCTGTCACCCAGGCTGGAGTGCAGTGGCGCAATCACAGCTCACTGCAACTTCGACCTCCCCGGCTCAAGTGATCCCCCCGCCTCAGCCTCGTGAGTAGCTGGGACCACAGGCGTGCACCACCACGCCCGGCTAACATTTTATTTTTTGTGGATATAAGGTTGCCCTATTTCTTTGTGGAGATAAAGGCTCCCCTATGTTGCCCAGGCTGGTCTCGAACTCCTGGCTTCAAGCGATGCTTTCGCCTCGGCCTCCACAAAGTGCTGGGTTCACAGGTGCGTGAGCCCGACCTGTGTCTCGTTTTGAAGCTCAGGGAGAGGGCGCTGTGAGCAATCCCTAAACCCTTTAAGAGTAAAAAGTGCGTGCACCTTTAAGAGGACGGTTAGAAAACGCGGGGCGTGGCCACAGGAGAATAAGTTCGCGCTGAACCAGGAGCGTGGGATAAGACCGGCCCCTTCCGGTTACGAAACCTTAGCAAGATGGCGGCTCCCTGGGCGGTAAGTGACCGGAGTTCCTAGAGCCCCAAATTTGAAGTCCGCTCTACAGCCTCCGCATTCAGGGCCTCTGTTGGCGGCCACGAGAGCAGAAAGCCGTGAGGCAGCAGGCTAAGCCTGGCAAGCCCCGTACTGGGAGTGCAAACCTGTGGCTAGTGGGGGCCAGGAAGGATCTGTGAGGGTCGCAGGCGGAGGAGACGCTTTAGCGAGCGAGAGGAGGCAGGGACTTGGCTGAGAGTATCCAATGGGGATGAGGGAGTGGCTGCCGAAGAGCGACGCGACTAACCAATCAGAGGGAGGGATGACACAAGGAGCTAATGGACAGGCAAGGGTGGGGCCTGTAGGATAAGAGAGCTTGGAAGGGATTGTTCGAGGATGTGGGATTTGGTCTTAGAAGACCGAAGGATGAATGTAAGGAAAGTTAGTGGGAGATTGACGAATTTTTACAGAAAACTCAAAAGCATGATGGGTGGGGGAACCAAGAGGTCAATTTGGAGGTTCTAAGGGCATGATCTGGGTGAAATTAAGAGGAGAATTTGAGATATTCTTTCAGAGGATTTAAAATCAAGGAATGAATTTAGGGAAAATTAAAGAGGTTGGCAGCTTTAAACTTTTGAGGAAAATAAGGGTTTGGGTAAAATTATCGAGATAATTTGAAAAAAAAAAAGAATTTGGTTAAAGCAAAGAGAAATTGGGGTAGATTAAGAGGAGACCTTGAAAGCAAAATTGAAGAGTTTGGGGGCTTCTTCCCATTGGCCACACCCCTCGACTTTCTTACTCTCCTCTTCAAAGCTCATGCTTTTTATACCCTTCTCGGTTCAGGGGTGTCCAATCTTTTGGCTTCCCTGGGCCACGCTGTTCGAAGAAGAAGAATTGTCTTGGGCCACACATAAAATACACTAACCATAACTGATGAGCCAAAAAAAAAAAAAAAAAAATCACAAAAATATCCTCCTAATGTTTTAAGAAAGTTTGCATGTTTGTGTTGGGCTGCATGCAGGCGGCGGGTTGGACAAGCTTGGTTGGTTTTAGGGATTGCTCAGAGCACCCTCTCCTTGAGGTTTGGAGATAAGTTTTTAAGATTATATTCTGGGGAAAGAAAGAAGTCATTTGGGAAGACCCCAGCAGAAGAATTGGGTAATTAAGGGGCAAATCTGTGGAAAATTAAGAGGTCAAATAATGCAGGTTTTGAGTGATAAGGGTTTGGGGGAAAGTTAGAGGAAGAATTTAGGAAAATCAACAATATATGGCTAGTCGAGAAAATTTAGGGTTCACTAAGGGGAGGAGGAACTTGGAAAAAACATGGGGAAATTTTTGGAATCTCAAAGACAGTTTTGAAGTTTTGAAGGAAGAACTTAGGGTGAGTTGGGAAGCAGAGGGATTGAGGTTCATGGAGCAAGAACTGGGGGATCCAGCTCTGTGTCTCCCAGGAGGCTCCAGGCTCAGCTCCTTTCCTCTCCCCCTCCCCAGTCCCTGCGCCTGGTCGCCCCCATGTGGAATGGGCGTATCAGGGGCATCCATCGCCTGGGTGCGGCAGTGGCCCCAGAGGGCAATCAGAAGAAGAAAAGGACAATACTCCAGTTCCTGACCAACTATTTCTACGATGTGGAGGCTCTGAGGGATTACTTGCTCCAAAGGGAGATGTACAAGGTGCATGAGAAAAATCGGTGAGAATCCCTGGTCTGCAAGACCCTGTGGAGACCCTGGCCCACCAGAGCCCAGGTCCTGTCCTTGCCATTCCCAGGCAGCACTGTGGCTTCCAGTGCCAGCCTTGATGTCTCTTGCAGCTCCATCTCCAGGCTGTACCCTTCTCAAGGACTCCAGCTCACATAGGCAGTTTGCCACCCACCAGCTCCACTCAGAGTCTAACTGGCATCTCAAACCTAACATGGCTAAAGCCAAACCCTGATTTCTCCCCTAAAAACATCTGCTCACTCCCAAGCCTTCCCATCCCAGTAAACACTGGTGCTGCCCACCCAGTTGTTCAGGCCAAATTCTAAGGAGTCATCCCTAATTCCTCTCTTTGCTTCCCTGCCCTCCACATCCAGACCATCAATAAAATACTAGAATATCTCAGATTTGACCAGTTCTCACTGCCTTCACCATTCGTAGCCTGATCCCTTATAGTTGAATCACTCAATAAGCTAACTGGGTTTTTGTTCCCATACTCTTTTTTTTTTTTTTCTGAGATGGAGTCTTGCTCTGTCTCCCAGCCTGGAGTGTAGTGGCGCAATCTAAGCTCACTGCAACCTCCACCTCCCAGGTTCAAGCAATTCTCCTGCCTCCGCCTCCCAAGTAGCTGGGATTACAGGCGCCCGCCACCAGGCCCAGCTAATTTTTGTATTTTTAGTAGAGATGGGTTTTCACCATGTTAGCGAGGCTGCTCTCGAACTCCTGACCTCAGGTGATCCGCCTGCCTCGGTCTCCCAGAGTGCTGGGATTACAGGCATGAGCCACCACACCCCGCCAAAATTTGTTTTGTTTTGTTTGAGACAGAGTCTCACTCTGTCGCACATGCTGGAGTACAGTGGTGTGATCATGGCTCATTGCAATCTCCACCTCCTGGGTTCAAGCGATTCTCCCGCCTCAGCCTCCCAAGTAGGTGAGATTACAGGCAGGCGCCACCACACCTAATTTTTCTATTTTTAGTAGAGATGGGGTTTCACCATGTTGGCCAGGCTGGTCTCGAAATCCTGACCTCAGATGATCCACCTGCCTCGGCCTTCCAAAGTGCTGGGATTACAGGCGTGAGCCACCACACCTGGCCTGTCCCATAGTTTTTTATAATCTACAAAGCAGCTGAAGGAATCTTATCATCACCAGCTCAAAACCTTCAAATAAGAGCCAATCTCCAAGGCCTAAAACATAGCTCCTACTGAGCTTTGAGACCCCCTATCAGGACTCCACTGGCCCCTTCAGCATGACATCCCTATTTCTTATTTATTCAACCATCCTAATTCAAGTCTCTGAGCCTTTATACTCTGTTCCTTCTCACCACTCAAATCCCTGCTCAAATGTCACCTCCTCCAATTAACACCCAAACTCAGTTAGCCTCCACCATCCCCACTCCTCTGCTCCCTAGCCCTCACAGTCAGCCTCTCTGCTTTGTTTGGTCATGGAATTGACATTCTCTGCAGTTTGCTGTTATTTCCTGGGTTGTTATCTGTTTCTCCCTGTATAATAGCTTGGATTACTGCAGTAATCTCCAGACTGGGCAGGGATGTTATCTGCCTTGGTCACCACTTTGCCCCCAGTGCCCAGCACTTAGGAGGTGGGCAATAAATATTTTCAGCCTGACTGAATCTGTCTGTGTGCCTGGTTCTCTGGACTCTGCCCCTCTTAACAGCACTGGGGCATCGTGAGGGCTGTGGTGCTCCCCAGGCCTCACCCTTAGCTACCATTTTCTCTGCAGATCTTACACCTGGCTGGAGAAGCAACATGGTCCATACGGCGCAGGTGCCTTTTTCATCCTGAAGCAGGGAGGCGCAGTCAAGTATGACCGCTAAGGTGTTAGAACGGGCTGGGGCAGGTGGTGGGGTATCTCTCTAACATCCAGGTTCTGCAGTCACACAGGCTTCAGAGTCCCCTGGTCTCTGCCGCCTCCTGGCTGTGTGGCTTGGGACTTGTTCCTGAGCTTCAGTTTTGTCACGTGTAAAATGGGATGGTGGTCATTTCTAACCCACAAGGTTTGCTATAAAGAGTGAACAGGGGCCGGGCACGGTGGCTCACGCCTGTAATCCCAATGCTTTGGGAGGCCAAGGCGGGCGGATCACCTGAGGTCAGGAGTTCGAGAGCAGCTTGGCCAAAATGGCGAAACCCTGTCTCTACTAAAAATACAAAACTTAGCTGGGCGTGGTGGCAGGCGCCTGTAATCCCAGCTACTGGGGAGGCTGAGGCAGGAGAATCGCATGAACCCGGGAGGTGGAGGTTGCAGTGAGCTGAGATTGCACCACTGCACTCCAGCCTGGGGGACAGGGCAAGACTCCATCTCAAAAGTGTCAAAAAAAAAAAAAAAGACTGAACGGAGCTGGGCACACTGGCTCATTCTGTAATCCCAGCACTTTGGGAGGCCGAGACAGGAAGGTCACTGGAGGCCAGGAGTTTGAGAACAGCCTCAGCAGCTTTGTGAGACCCTGTCTCTACAAAAAATGTTTTAAATTAGCCAGGTATGGTGGCACATGCCTGTGGTCCCAGCCACTCAGGAGGCTAAGGCGGGAGAATCGCTTCAGTCCAGGAGGCTACAGTGAGCTGTAGTCACACCACTGAACTCTAGCCTGGGCAACACAGGGAGACCTCATCACAAAAAATAATAATAGGCCGGGCGCGGTGGCTCACACCTGTAATCGCAGCACTTTGGGAGGCCGAGGCTGGTGGATCATCTGAGGTCAGGAGTTCGAGACCAGCCTAGCCAACGTGGTGAAACCCTGTCTCCACTAAAAATACAAAATTAGCTTGGCATGGTGGCGCACGCCTGTAATGCCAGCTACTTAGGAGGCTGAGGCAGGAGAATCCCTTAGAAGCCGGGATGCAGAGGTTGCAATGAGCCAAGATCACGCCACTGCACTCCAGCCTGGGTGACAGAGCAAGACTCTGTCTCAAAATAATAATAATAATGGCTGGGCGTGGTAGCTCATGCCTTTGCACTTTGAGAGGCCAAGGCAGGTACAGCACTTGAGCCCAGGAGTTCAAGACCAGCCTCGGCAACATAGTGAAACCTCGTCTCTACCAAAATACAAAATTACCCAGGCATGGTGGTGCATGCCTGTAATCCCAGCTACCCAGTGGGACCCTGTCAGGGGGAGTGAGAGATTAACTGTGATTTTGCAATGTAAGAAGCCTAGCAATGCATATGTGCTCAATAATTTTTTTTTTTTTTTGAGACAAGAGTCTTGCTCTTGTCGCCCAGGCTAGAGTGCAGTGGCACAATCTCGGCTCACTGCAACCTCCATCTCCTGGGTTCAAGCAATTCTCCTGCCTCAGCCTCCCAAGTACCTGGGATTATAGGTGCACACTACCACGCCCGGCTAATTTTTTTTATTTTTGGTAGAGACAGGGTTTTACCATGTTGGCCAGGCTGGTCTCCAACCCCTGACCTCAAGTGATCCACCCACCTCGGCCTCCCAAAGTGCTGGGGATTACAGGCGTGAGCCACTGGTGGCGCCTGGCCTGTGCTCAATAATGTTTTTCTTTCTTTCCTTCTTCCCCGCCTCCTTTCTCCTTCCCTTTCTCTTTCCTTTGCTTTTTTTCTTTTTTTGGAAAAGACAGTTCACATAGACTTCATCTACCCCTCCATCTGGTTTGAGCACTTCCTCTGGCAACTTCCTTAGAAACAGTATACATGTTTGAAAATGTCCCTTAACTTCTGCCCATCTACAAGGATTCTTGCATTTTACCTCTTTGCTCTTATGTTATCTGTAATCTCGCTGACCCTCAGTTTCTAGGTATGTAAAATTGGCAAAACATTCCTTTTTTTTTTTTTTTTTTTTTGAGATAGGGTCTCCCAGGCTGGAGCACAGTGGCATGATCACAACTCACTACAGCCTCGACCTCCTGGGTTCAAGCTATCCTCCCACCTCAGCCTCCCAAGTAGCTGAGACCACAGGTGCAAGCCACCAAGCCCAGCTAATTTTTGTTTTTTTGTTTTTTTTTTGAGATGGAGTCTCGCTCTGTCACCCAGGCTGGAGTGCAGTGGCACGATCTCGGCTCACTGCAAGCTCCGCCTCCCAGGTTCAAACAATTCTCCTGCCTCAGCCTCCCAAGAAGCTGGGAGTACAGGCGCCTGCCACCATGCTCAGCTAATTTTTTTGTATTTTTAGTAGAGATGGGGTTTCACCGTGTATTAGCCAGGATGGTTTCGATCTCCTGACCTCGTAGTCCGCCCACCTCGGCTCCCAAAGTGCTGGGATTACAGGCGTGAGCCACCGCACCTGGCCAATTTTTGTATTTTTTCATAGGGACGAGGTCTCACTATGTTGCCCAGGCTGGTCTCAAACTCCTGAACTCAAGTGATTCTCCTGCCTCAGCCTCCCAAAGTGCTGGGATTACAGGCGTGAGCCACTGCGCACAGCCAGATGGAGTCTTTTTCTAAGATGGAATTAGTTATGTCAAGGGTGACCTATACATATTATATAGGGCTGGGGAAGGTTCTGAAGAGGCTGGAGGCCTGGGGCAGGTTCAGGTGCCCTGCTGACACTCCCTTTCCCGTTTCCAGGTTTCGAGACAAGGAGTGGATCAGGCCAGATAAGTATGGCCATTTCTCTCAGGAGTTCTGGAATTTCTGTGAAGTGCCTGTCGAAGCTGTGGATGCCGGTGACTGTGACATCAACTACGAGGGCCTGGATAACCTCCGTGAGTGCGGTGGGGTGGAGATGGGACAGGCCTCTATGTTTTCCCTTTGGTGATGGGCTCCAGAAAGGCTCCTGGTGCCATCCCACCCTCTCCCCACCGCAGTCCGCCTGAAGGAGCTCCAGTCCTTGTCGCTGCAGCGCTGCTGCCACGTGGACGACTGGTGTCTCAGCCGCCTCTACCCACTGGCCGACTCGTTGCAGGAGCTCTCGCTGGCCGGTTGCCCCCGCATCTCCGAACGGGGCCTCGCCTGCCTCCACCACCTCCAGTGAGACCTCAGCTCAGGCTGGGCCACATGCCCAGGCACCTCTCCCACCTAACCCAGATGCAGGAGAGGAAGTGGGGAGGGGCAATGTTAGGCAGTTCTCATATCCCCCTGCATCCATCACAAACCTAGAGTATTTATGGTAGATGAGCAGTCACAGTGAGTCTCTGGAAGAATTAAATGACTCCTGGTTTTCTTCCTTTTTGTTTTAGTCAAAACTGTGTGATATCGACGCTGTTGCAGAACAGCAGGAGCTGGAGTTGCATATTTGCAATTAACACAGTGGGCTTCATGTGCCTGGACAGCTATAAAGATTTTATTTTAGGAAGCTAAGGTTGAAATTTGGGGCCAGTACCTCCCTATACACACACACATGCACGCATGCACGCACGCACACACACACACGCACGCACACACACTGTCCTGTAAGGTTGAAATTTGGGGCCAGTACCTCCCTACACACACACACACACACACACACACACACACACGCACGCTGTCCTGTACCTCCCTACACACACGCACACGCTGTCTGTACCTCCCTACACACACACACACACACACACACGCTGTCCTTATACTGGCTTATCTCCCTATACACACACACACACACACACACACGCTGTCCTGTACCTCCCTACACACACACACACACATGCTGTCCTTACACTGGCTTACCTCCCTATACACACACACACACACACACGCACACACTGTCCTGTACCTCCCTATACACACACACGCTGTCCTTACACTGGCTTACCTGCCTATACACACACACACACGCACACGCTGTCCTGTACCTCCCTACACACACACACATGCTGTCCTTACACTGGCTTCCTGTCCTTCTCACCCCTTTTCAGGAACCTCCGCAGGCTGGACATCTCGGACCTCCCTGCCGTGTCCAACCCTGGCCTCACTCAGATATTGGTGGAGGAGATGCTGCCCAATTGCGAGGTTGTGGGAGTCGACTGGGCTGAGGGCCTGAAGTCAGGGCCGGAGGAGCAGCCTCGGGACACAGCCAGCCCTGTCCCTGCCTAGCCTTTAGCCCTGTCCCCACTCACGTGGCTTCTCAGCGGGCTGCATGGAATGTCTGGTAGCTCACCACACTTCTGGCTTCCATTTGTCTTCACTCAACGTCAGGGTGGGGGAGTGGTGCTGGCCAATCACAGGAGAGAGCGTGAGTTCCCAGTATTTATTCCTGGCTGCCCTTGGCTAAAGGTCACAGCTCCTGTCACCCTGTCAGGCAGCCCTTTCCATGCCCCTGTTCAGGCCTGGGGAGGTAAAGGCTCAGGCTGTTAGTAGCCGCAGAGAGCCACACTCACCTTGTCAGGAGACTCTTCTCAAACTGTCCTTATGTGAGTGCACTGCCATTTCTTGCAGGGACCCTGACTGACACAGGGGCTACTACTGACACTTTACAGGGATGGTTCTCCCCCGTGCAGGGCCGCTGTGCCCACTGCAGGACATGCAGCATCCTTCGCCCCACTCCACTCACTAAAGGCCAGCGCACCCCAGGCCCCATAGTATTGCTGGTTATGGATTTATTGACTTTATGTTCCAAATTCAGCTTTTTCAGTTGGCTGTTTTTTGAAAGGGGATAAGCTTTGTCAGTAGAGGGCACCAAACAGGCATTATAGGAGGAAAGGCGCCTCCTTCGTGGTTCTTGTTGGTTGTGCTTCTGCCTCTGGACGCCGCAGTGCATGTGGCTTCCCCAGCACCCAGCTCCTGAAGCACCAGGCGGTCAGCAGCTGCCCTTGGCACCCTCCAGCCCTCAGAAGTTGCGTAGGAGACACAGCGCCTCCACTGAGGCACCTCTCTGGGAATAACGTTCCCCAGCACCCCAAATGGATTTCCAGTCAATTCAGAAGCATTTTACCAGTGAAGCCCTCATTATTCCAGTTCACTGTTAAAGCCAGTAATTCTCTATATTAAACTTTCCCTGTTCAAGTTACTCTGTGGTTTTTCTCTCCTGACTGCATCCTGATGGATATAGAGTTGATACCTGGAGTGTCCCAGGAGATGACTCTTAAGATAGGATTCCAGGATTGGTTTGGTTGTGCCTTTGGGCTTGGGCGCCGCGCTGAGCTCTTGCTGATGGGAAACAGGATGCCAGAGGCCCATGGCATGCAATGGCATCATAATCCCACAAGTGCCTGTGGTTGACGGAGATGAGGGACCAACTGAAGCACGTGCCTTGGGACCCCCTGTGGCTGCTGTGCTCAACAGCTGTGCTAGTTGTGCCAATTCTGAAGACCAGGGTATTGGATGGATTCTCCAGAGTGCCCTTGAGTGCCCACAGACAGTGACAAGCTTGGGTCCGCTAACTCAGCTCAAGTCACAGTCTGAGAACTAGACAGCTTTCATGACAGCCCCCAGATTTTTTGTTTGTTTGTTTTTGAGACAGTCTTGCTATGTCACCCAGGCTGGAGTGCAGTAGTGTGATCTCTCGGCTCACTGCAACCTCCACCTCCCGGGTTCAAGCGATTTTCCTGCCTTAGCTTACCGAGTAGCTGGGATTACAGGCGTGTACCACCACGCCAGGCGAATTTTTGTGTTTTTAGTAGAGACAGGGTTTTGCCATGTTGGCCATGCTGGTCTCAAACTCCTGGCCTCAGGTGATCCACCCACCTCAGCCTCCCAAAGTGCTGGGATTACAGGTGTGAGCCACCATGCCCGGCCCAAAAGTTTTTACTTCTTTGGAATGGGGTCATCTAATTGGACCCAGAGTAAACAGGCGATCTTGAACCCCCAAGTCACTCCAAGCGAGTGACTTATCAGCATCTGAGGAACCTACCAGCCTTCCTGTGCTTAGAAACCTTGTGATGTGGCCAGGCACGGTGGCTCACGCCTGTAATCCCAGCACTTTGGGAGGCCAAGGCAGGCGGATCATGAGGTCAGGAGTTCAAAACCAGCCTGGCCAACATAGTAAAACCCCATCTCTACTAAAAATGCAAAAAATTAGCCAGGCGTGGTGGCGAGCACCTGTAATCCTAGTTACTCGGAAGGCTGAACCCTCCCGAGTAGGAGGATCTCTTGAACCCAGGAGGCGGAGAGGTTGCAGTGAGCCGAGATTGCACCACTGCACACCAGCCTTGGCGACAGTGCAAGACTCCATCTCAAAAAAAAAAACAGAGGCCGGGTGCAGTGCCTCATGCCTGTAATCCCAGCACTTTGGGAGGCCGAGGCGGGTGGATCACAAGGTCAGGAGATGAAGACCATCCTGCCTAAGTACTCTACTTTAGTAGAAATAGTGAAACCCTGTCTCTACTAAAAATACAAAAACATTAGCCGGGCATGGTGGCGGGCGTCTGTAGTCCCAGCTACTTGAGAGGCTGAGGCAGGAGAATGGCGTGAACCTGGGAGGTGAGGCTTGCAGTGAGCGGAGATCATGCCACTGCACTCCAACCTGGGTGACAGAGTGAGACTCCGTCTCAAAAAAAAAACCTTGTGATGACCTCACCAGGGGCAGACACCTTGAAAGTGGTCGTCCTTTTTTTTTTTTTTTTTTTTTTGATTAGCGGTAAGATCTCACTATGTTGCCCAGGCTGGTCTTGAACTCCTGGAAAGTGATCCTTCCCTCTTGGCCTCCCAGAGTATTGGGATTACAGGGGTGAGCCACTGTCCCACCACAGTTTTTTTTTTCTTATGGCCAGCTCTTATACAGAAATAACAGATACACCCCATTCTTCTTAAGACTCACCACAGCGCCCCTTGCTGCCTCTAGACCCATAAATACCTAGGGTGAAATCAGCTTGCTCCAGGTGAACAGGTGCCAGCTAGGACCTAGGCGGGAGCAGCTTTTACACTATAAGAATGACAAGGCTTCGCAAATATACAGAGTCAGAAACTTGGGGAATGTGTGCAGAAGGGGATTTTAAGGATGTTACACCAATGAGGGTGGATGTAACACTAGCTCAGGCCAAATTTACTGGCATGAGTGCGCTTTCTAGAGCTTCTGGATTTCATGGGTTACCTTGTGCAGCTGGACGTAGTTCTAATAGCTTGCTTGGGTGCCTAACCGGAACTTGGATCCAACAGTGGCCTAAAGTTAATGAGGCAGAGAGACCAGAACTGCCCTAGCATAAGATGGGTGAGGGGAGTCCCAAGGCTTGGGGAGACAGAAGTGTTGGATTGGAATGATCGTGTTCCACCAGCATGTCCACCCTCCAACCATGTTCCCCAAGAAGGCACCCCTTAGTGGCCAATCCCATGAGAGTTAATCATTCTGTATATTGAACTTTCCCTATTCCCATTCCTGTGTGGTTTCTCTCTCCTGATTGGACCCGGACTGAGGCACATGGCAAAGGCAAAAAGAAAGGCACCTTGTGAAGCTTCCTAATGCTTCCAGGAGGAGCAGCACCCCCTGCCCCCAGAAGCTAGATGAGCTCAGGGGGCCTGGAGTCCCTCTCCCCCAGCCCCAGAGTGGAGTGGGCTTGCAGACTCCCTCAGGAGGTGCTCGGGCCCCTGCCCCCAGCCCCTAGCTGTCATTTCCCACTCCAACTATTATTCCATTAATATTCACCACTTCCTCCCCACTCTCTTCCTCCAGCTGTTCCCACAGGCTCCATTATTCAAACTTTGGGGGAGGAAATCAGGGCTGGACAGATCATCAACTGCTGCTGCTGACAGACTGTGTTCCTGCCATGATGGGGACAGGCCTGCCCCAAACCAGGGTGGAGTGAAGGGGTCAGCCCAGGCTTAGTGGGAGCCCCTTAGTCTTACCCCATGTCTTGGGAGGTCTTCAGAGAGCTGATGCAGTCCCAACAGCAGGGGCCCCTGGAGGGCAGGGATGCAAACACAGGCAGACACCCCCTCCTGCCCCAAGGGGCTGGATGTGAGTGTTCCTGGAGTCACAGTGCCGCTGGGGGAGGGGAGGGGCCCGGGGTGAGGCTGGCTCCAGGCCGGAGGTTGGGGGTAAGGTAGGAACAGATTCCCACGCTGCTGGGCAGGCAGCCCGGGTGCCGAGAGGGATGGAGGAGGTACAGGGGATCAGCTTAGCTCCCGGGGTTCCCCGTGGGCCCCACCCCGTCACCCTCTATTGCCCTTGAAGCTCCAGTCTTTTCCTCTCCTGTTCTTCCCCTTGGCTCCCTCTCCGCCTCTGCCTGGGTCTGGCTCGGAAGCCTGAGTCCCTCCCCTCTGCCCTCCACCTGCCTCTCTCAACCTCTCTTTCCCCATGAGCACCCCACAGGGCTTCCGCAACCCCTTATCTTTCTCGCCATCTCCATTTCCCTCCCCCTCTCCCTCCTGGCCACCTTCCCACTTGCCCGTCTTCTCTCTCTCTCCCCCTCAGCTCTCTCCATCGCCTGTCTCACCCCAGTTCTCCTCTCTCTGCTCCCTGGCCGTCTCTTCCCTCTCCACAATGTCTCTGTCTCTCCTTCTCCTCACCAGCCCCGTTCCCCCCACCTCACCCTGACTGGGCAGCAACAACAAACATCCCTCTGGCAGGCCCGCCGATCCCTTCCCACTCAGCACATTCACTGCCGCCTCCTGGCCATGGGTGCAGCCGGGCGCCAGCCTCTCAGCCTCCCCATCTCTGCCTCAGTGGGACCCTGCCTCGCCCTGGTCACTCTAACACTCCCCAGCCCAGGCCCAGCCTTCAGCCCCACCCTCCCTGGCACCCCCTGGCCCTGGTTCTCCCCTCCCAGGCCTCACAAAGCCCCCGTCTTGTTTCTGTGGCTGCCCCCTGCACCCTTCCCAGCTGTCTCACCAGAAACCAGCCCTAACACGCCAGAGCCCCATCTCTCAGGTCGGCCTCCTGCCCTCCTCCCTCCCTCCCTCCCTCCCTCTCTCCTGCCTCAGCCCCGCCCCGGCCCCTGGGGCCCTCCCTGCTCCCGCTCCACTCCCCTCCCCGCCCCTCTGGACTGGCTGGGCAGGGCTGGGCCCCGCCGGTCGACAACACAGGGGCTGGGGCAGGCAGATCAGAGGGAGCTGAGGGAGGCCTGACCTGAGGCCGGCACCCGGAGCTGGCGGGAGCCAGACCCAGAGGTAAAAAAGCATGGGATCCCTGGTTCCCCAGTCCCTGGGGTTGGGGTGTTGCGGGAGGCAGGCTGGGTTTCTAACCCCAGGGAGCTAGGAATCCCGCTCCTGATTTCCTGGTGAGGGCAATAAATGGAGGGAGAGGGAGGAGATAGACGGCAAGGTCCCTTGTCCTGGATGGAGACAGGGAAGAGGTAGACCCTTGGGCTTTTAGGAAGGTGGAAGCATTTGGACGGAGTGGGAAGAACAGGGTGCTGGTACGGGATTGGAATGGGGGACTCCTAGGTCTAGGAATAAGGACCAACGAGGTCCCTGGGTCAGGGGAGCTGTTTAGGATCTGGGACCGAGAGAATCTGTTATGGGGGTTGGCGGGGACTATGGGAGATTGTGAAGCTGTCTGCCTGGGGCCTGGCTGGGCCCTCTCTGGAGGCCCATCCCCACACCCCAATGGCCTCCGTGGCTCCCCTGTGGCTCCCTTGTAGCTCCCGCGGCCGCCCCTTCCCTGGGCCGGGTCATGCGCTGCCCCAAGTGCCTTCTCTGCCTGTCAGCACTGCTCACACTCCTGGGCCTCAAAGTGTACATCGAGTGGACATCCGAGTCCCGGCTCAGCAAGGCCTACCCCAGCCCTCGGGGCACCCCGCCAAGCCCCACGCCAGCCAACCCTGAGCCCACCCTACCTGCCAACCTCTCCACCCGCCTGGGCCAGACTATCCCGCTGCCCTTTGCTTACTGGAACCAGCAGCAGTGGCGGCTGGGGTCCCTGCCCAGTGGGGACAGCACTGAAACGGGGGGCTGCCAGGCTTGGGGGGCCGCCGCCGCCACCGAGATCCCTGACTTCGCCTCCTACCCCAAGGACCTCCGCCGCTTCTTGCTGTCAGCAGCCTGCCGGAGCTTCCCACAGTGGCTGCCTGGAGGTGGTGGCAGCCAAGTCTCCAGCTGCTCAGATACTGATGTCCCCTACCTGCTGTTGGCCGTCAAGTCAGAACCAGGGCGCTTTGCAGAACGACAGGCCGTGAGAGAGACGTGGGGCAGTCCAGCTCCAGGGATCCGGCTGCTCTTCCTGCTAGGGTCTCCGGTGGGTGAGGCGGGGCCTGACCTAGACTCACTAGTGGCCTGGGAGAGCCGTCGCTACAGTGACCTGCTGCTCTGGGACTTCCTCGACGTCCCATTCAACCAGACGCTCAAAGACCTGCTGCTGCTGGCCTGGCTGGGCCGCCACTGCCCCACCGTGAGTTTTGTCTTGCGAGCTCAGGACGATGCCTTTGTACACACCCCTGCCCTGCTGGCTCACCTGCGGGCCCTGCCACCTGCCTCGGCCCGAAGCCTCTACCTGGGTGAGGTCTTTACCCAGGCCATGCCTCTCCGGAAGCCAGGAGGACCCTTCTATGTGCCCGAGTCCTTCTTCGAAGGTGGCTACCCAGCCTATGCAAGCGGGGGTGGCTACGTCATTGCCGGGCGCCTGGCACCCTGGCTGCTGCGGGCGGCAGCCCGTGTGGCACCCTTCCCCTTTGAGGACGTCTACACTGGCCTTTGCATCCGAGCCCTGGGCCTGGTGCCCCAGGCCCACCCAGGCTTCCTCACAGCCTGGCCAGCAGACCGCACTGCGGACCACTGTGCTTTCCGCAACCTGCTGCTGGTACGGCCCCTGGGCCCCCAGGCCAGCATTCGGCTCTGGAAACAACTGCAAGACCCAAGGCTCCAGTGCTGACTCTCATTGGGGAGGGCGGAGGTGCTGACCTGGCCTGGGCCTCTGGGGCCGGCCCCTGGCTCAGCCCCTCCTTCCAGGTCTTGATGGGAGGGAGGAGGGCCCAGAAGCTGGACAACTTAAGCCACTCCTTGGCCTCCCCCAGCCAGGGGCCTGGGCAGGAAAGATGGGGTGGTGGACTGTTTTTGCCTACTTTTTGTTTTTGAAAAACATGCACTCCCCACTCTGAGGCCTGGGGTTGTTTTTGCATCTGTGGGGCCCTGGAGTGGTGGGGAGCAGGGCTTGGCCACACCCTGACCTTCATCCTGGACGCTCCCCTGCACCCCTGCTGGGCAGGGCTAGCTCCACTGGGCTCCCCATCACTCTGCTGGACAGCAGGCTTCTCCCATTCTGTGAGAGAGCAGGAGACCATCTCTGGAGGACCCCCCCACCCCCATCCTGTCTGCTGAAGTTAACCTTCCAGCTTGCGCAAGCTTCCGGGGGAAGTAGGTATCTCAAGAGCCTTGACCTTATTTATCTAAGGTGGAGAAGCTGGGGGTGGCCTCAAATCACCCCCAAACTCCAGGAAACAAAGACCAGAGGTGGTAGAGAGCCAGGCGCAGAGATGCAGTTTATTCGTGACCTCTGCTGGCCACTCGCACCTGCGCAAGTTCCACAGGCTGACCTGCCATGTCCACCCCATGCCCAGAGGGGCTTCTAGTCCTGAATGTGCCCTCACCCAGCCCCTGGGAGAAGGCACTGTAACAACAGGTGAAGAGGGGGCTGACGGAGCCTCAGCAACTGCTGCAGATGCTGTCCCCTGACAATGTAACAGCCGGGAGGAGCAGGGGTGAAGAGTGGCAGCCGCCCTGGCCGCTGAGTATTTTAGAGGGAGCTGACTGGGGAAGACAGTGGTGTGCTGTCAGGTCCCCCTGCTCCCCTTAGAGTGGGGCTACCTCTCGGGGTAGCTGAGGATGGGTGGGGGTGGGCTGAGCAGGTCTCACTTATCGAAGTGATCCAGTGGGTAGTGCTCCCCGTAGGTCTGCAGGTGGCGGGCCAGAGACTCCTGCTGCTTGCGGAGCTGGGCGGGCATCTCCTGATACACGTCTGAGAAGAGTAGGTTGGGGTTGGGTTTGGGCTTCCGCTCGGCCTGCTCAAAGGCCTCCATCACCTGTGGGGACATGGGGCAGTGGGCAGGCTAGCCGGCCTCCCATGCAGGACCCTGCTTCCTCCTGCGGGGCCTTGGCAAGGAATTAACCACTCCAAGCCTTTGTGTTCCCACCTCGACAATGGAAATGATTATCCTAGCAGAAGTGTAATGAAAACCCTCAAATCCCAGCAGGGATCAGGTGCTATCCAAGTGTGTGGAATCATTTAAGGCTTTCAGCAGCCCTAAGAGGTAGACAGCTAAGCAATGAGGAAACTGAGGCACAGAGAAGGGCAGGGACAGGACACACGGTGCTGCCCTATGCCGGGTGCTGCCCTCACCACTGGGCTGCACGGGCCCTGGGTCCTAATGACCGGGCCAGGGAGGGTGGCACACTGACTCTGGGCAGGGCATGTACACTCCACCACGGTTTGCCACCTAATCCTCAAACCAGCTTTTTTTTTTTTTTAAGAGATAGTCTTGCTCTGTTGCCCAGGCTGGAGTGCAGTGGCGCCATCTCCAATCACTGCAAGTTCCACCTCCCGGGTTCAAGCGATTCTTCTGCCTCACCTTCCTGAGTAGCTGGGACTACAGGCACGCACCACCACGCCTGGCTAATTTTTTTTTTTGAGATGGAGTCTTGCTCTCGTTGCCCAGGCTGGAGTGCAATGGTACGATCTCAGCTCACTGCAACCTCTACCTCCCAGGTTCAAGCAATTCTCCTGCCTCGGCCTCCCAAGTAGCTGGGATTACAGGCACCCGGCACCATGCCCGGCTAATTTTTGTATTTTTATTAGAGACGAGGTTTCACCATGTTGGCCAGGCTGGTCTCAAACTCCCGACCTCAGGTGATCTGTCCGCCTTGGCCTCCCAAAGTGCTGGGATTACAGGCGTGAGCCACTGCGCCCAGCCCTAATTTTTGTATTTTTAGTAGAGACAGGGCTTGACCATGTTTGGCCAGGCTGTTCTCAAGCTCCTGACCTCAAGTGATCTGCCACCTCGGCCTCCCAAAGTGCTGGGATTACAGGTGTGAGCCACCATGCCCAGTCTCAAACCAGTTTCTGAAATGGGCACCACCAGCATCCCCTTTCAAAGACAAGGAAGTGGAGGGCAACATGCCAAGGACACAGAGCCAGGACACACATGGCCCCAGCAGCCTGGCTCCACAGGCCACATCTGAGACATCACTGGGGTTATCCCTGAGCCTCCCAGTTCGGTGTTCCACAAATCCTTCCCAAGCTCTGCAGGCCGCAGCAGCCCCCAGCACACCCTCCCGGGCGGGGCACCCTCACCTTCCTGCGGGACTGCTTCCTCCAGGCCTTCTCCTGCTCCTCATCCCACCAGCCTTGGCTCAGCAGATAGTGCCGCAGCCGGGAGATGGGGTGGTCCTGTTTATCCCAGTAATTGACCTCATCCACCGAGCGGTACGCTGAACTGTCGTCACTGGTGCTGTGGTGCCCGATCCTGCACAGGGGCAAGGGGCCCCAGGTCAGTGTGGGCTCCCTGGAGTGGGGGTCAGGAGGGAGGATGGGGGATGAACTAGGGAAGGAGGAGTGGAAACGGAATAAAGGCAAGGGGGAGATGCAACATCAGGTGATAAGGCCATGTTTTGGAGACAGTGATCGATATGAGGAAGATGCTACGGTGGCTGTCAGTGCTGTGGGGGTGCTGACGGGGGGAGCGGCAGGCACCTGTAGGTCATGGCCTCGATGAGGAAGGGCTGGTTCTCTGCCACAGCCCGCCGTCGGGCCTCCTTTGTGGCGTTGTATACGGCAAACACATCATTACCATCCACGCGGATTGACATGATGCCATACCCGGGGCCTCGTGCTGCTGTGGGGACACAGAGAAGGCAGGTCAGGCCAGGGCTGAGATAAGGAACATGCACGAGGCCAAGGGGACGAGCAGGGAGAGGACAGAGAGCAAGGCTGAGTGCTCAGGACCTCAACTCCTGTGGCTGACCAAGTGCCAGACGCCACAGGACACAGGACGAGAACCAGGAAGGAGGGTAGGGGTGGCAGGAAGGTGGCAGGATTGGGGAGGGAAGGAGATGATCCCAGCGGGGTGGGGAGCAGCCAGCAGAGCCCATACCAATGCCATCGCCGCGATACTGCTCAGAGGTGGGCGTGGAGATGGCGTAGCCATTGTTCCGGCAGAAGAAGATGATGGGGCACTCAAGTGTGGCAGCGAAGTTGAAGCCGGCATGGGCGTCCCCCTCACTGGCTGCCCCCTCGCCGAAGTAACAGATGACGACCCTGTTGGCATTGGCCCGCTTGGCTGCGTACGCCGCCCCCACCGCTGCAGGGGATGAGAGGGTGGTGAGCAGGGGCGGAGACTCACATGCACTCACACTCATTCACACTCACATGACCCACGGCTCAAGCGTGGCTCAGGCCAGCAGTCACCAGGCTTCAAGGGGAAAGGAAACACCTCAGCTCCTGATGCCCCCCAGCATCTGCCCACCCAGGTCTCCTCTTGCTCAGCTGAAAGCAACTCCACCCTTCCAACTGCTCAGGCTGAAGAGTCCAGTATCATCTCCAAGCCAAACTTCCCGCCATTCTCCACATCTACTCCACCTTCAGAACCTAACCCCTCTTACCTCCTCCTCTGCACCACCCTGGTCAAGCCCAAGTTACTGAGCAGCCTCCTTACTAGCCCTTCACACACTGCCCAATCCCTTATCCACAGGGCAGCCCGCGGATTCCATGAAGAGGTGAGCCAGGCCAAGGAAGAGCAGACTCCTCCCCACCCACGGCTCCTGTCCCACTTTGAGTAAAAGTCGACATCCCTGCAACAGGCAAAGGCCTTGAGGCCCCACCCAACCTGCACCATCTGCACCCCCACCCACCACCTCCTGGACTTTACCTCCAACCACCCCACACCTGCTCACCCTACACCCGCTCACTCCACACCTGCTCACTCCACACCTGCCCCTCTGGGCTCCTCCCAGCTCCTCAAACACGCCAGGCTCACACCTGCCTCAAGACACCACACAGCTCCCCCCTCACATCCTCTGGTCCATACTTCAGTGTCACTCCAGTGACGGACCCCAGCCACCCCTACAGTGCACCACACCCGGCTGGCTTGGCTGCTCCCTACAGGACCCCCACCCTCATATACTCCAGGAGTTCCCTCTCCATCTCTGTTACTGTCCGTCTCCCCCACCACAATGGCAGCACCAGGAGGGCTGAGGTTTGCGTTGCTTTTGTTCCCTGCACTTGGAGTGGCACCGGCACATGGCAGGAACTTCGTGTATTTGAAGTGACTTAGCAGGGACCCAGAGGGAAGGTTAGGGCCACGCCCCAGCCTTGTGGAAACCCTATTACCTTTAGCTCAAATGCCCCCTAAATGCCCCCTCCTCTGAGAAAGCTTCCCTGCCCACCTCCCACCTAAGAGGCTCAAACTGCTTCTTGTTCCTCAACAAAAGAACACTATGAGCTAAGGGGTGTGGAGCCTCCTGCTGTGCTGGGCACAGTGCTGAGGCCTGGAGAGACACAAACTCATGCATCTCAGCTGCCCTAGGGCAAAGAAGCCAGGGCCCAGACCAACCCTAGATCAGGCTACAGGCCCCGGAGGACAGGAAGGGGCTCCGATTCCTTGTTCTCCACACTATGAGGGTGCAGGCCTGGCACCCAGTGGGTTTGCTTCCCAAAAAAGCTCTTATAAGGGAAGGGACTTCAGGGCACCTACGGTAAGCTTTGGGGAAGCTTACTTGACTCTGAGGACTGAGGCAGACAAAGGTCAGGGCCAAGAACCCAGGCTCTGGAGGTACACAGTCAATGACTTGAGTCCCTGCTCCTCTCCCTCTGTGCCACATGACCGTTAGCGAGTGACTTCCCTCTTTGACTTCAATTTCCTTTTTTTTTTTTTTGAGACAGGATCTCACTTTGGCTAGAGTGCAATGGCACGATCTCAGCTCACTGCAAACTCTGCCTCCCAGGTTCAAGCAATCCTCCTGCTTCAGCCTCCTGAGTAGCTAGGATTACAGGTGTGCACCACCATGCCAAGCTAATTTTTGTATGTTTAGTAGGGACAGGGCTTTGCCATGTTGGCCAGGCTCCTGCACTTTTTTTTTTCCCATTCACTTGCTGTCTCTCACACACACACAAAACACGGGCATCCTGCTCTTGAAAACAGGAACAAGAGCAAATAATAACCTCTGTCCCCATGGCCACAATGAGGGTCCTTATTAGATGATGAACGTGAAGCATTGGCACAGTGGAACCTGGTGCACACGTTGGCTATGTTTGTGAGCAGACAAATGCAGTAGGCATGTGGTTGGGAAATCCAGAGTGTGGTCACACAGGCTTCAGGCCCCTGAATGGGGTGGGGACAGCAACAGAGCCCTCTTCTGAAGGGTCCCAGACAAGAGGTGCATTCAAAGTCTGGAACACAGGCCAGGTGCAGTGGCTCACATCTGTAATCCCAGCACTTTGAGAGGCCAAGGTGGGCAGATCACTTGAACTCAGGTTCAAGACCAGCCTGGCCAAAATGGTGAAACCTTATCTCTACAAAAAATACAAAAATTTAGCCAAGCACAATGGCATATGCCCATAATCCCAGCTACTCAGGAGGCTAAGGCAGGAGAATCACTTGAGCCTGGGAGGTGGAGGTTACAGTGAGCCGAGATTGCACCATTGCACTCCAACCTGGCTGACGAGAGTGAAACCCCGTCTCAGACCAAAAAAAAAAAAAAAAAAAAAAAAAAAAAAAAAGTGGGCTGGGCACAATGGCTTAAACGCCTGTAATCCCAGCACTTTGAGAGGCTGAGGCGGGTGGATCACCTGAGGCCGGGAGTTTGAGACCAGCCTGGCCAACACGGTGAAACCCTGTCTCTATTAAAAATACAAAAATTAGCTGGGCGTGGTGGTGCACACCTGTAGTCTCAGCTAATCGGGAGGCTGAGGCAGGAGAATTGCTTGAAGCTGGGAGAAGGAGGCTGCAGTGAGCTGCGATAGCACCACTGCACTCTAGCCTGGGCAACAGTGCAAGACTCCGTCTCAAAAAAGAAAAAAATAAGAAGAAGAAGTCTGGAGCACAGACCAGGGCTCTAGTGGTGTCACCAACCCAGAATTCCACCCAGAAGGCAGGCAAAAGAGCTGAGGCCTGGACAGGGGTGTGACATTGGTCTGCACATGTGCAAGGTACAGGGCATGCATCCTCACCCTGAGGGATCTGCGTGGCCAGTGGAGAGGAGATAGTGACGAAGTGGCGTTCCTTGCAGCCGTAGTGGACAGGCATCTGGCGCCCCTTGCCCAAGTCACTGATGTTGCCATAGCACTGGGCCATGAATAGTTCCAGGGGGTAGTCCCGATACATCAGCACACCTAGGAGGGGAGGAGGCAATGGTTAGCCGAGTGGGCAGTACAGGGGGACAGTTCAGCCCTGTGGGTGACCTGCAGCATGCTGGCAGGCAGACAGGAAAGCTCAGGCTTGTTTTAAGAGGAAGACTGATGTTCAGACTGACTGACTCTGCCCAGCAAGGCCAATCTGATTTTTCAAAAGAAAGCAGAAATCTAGCCTTTTTCTTTCTTTCTCTTAGTGAGATATTGTCTGGTATTTAAGTGCTTTCAACTAATTCAATTACCTTTAAGAAATATTCTAACCATAAATCATTACTATGGCCAGGCATGGTGGTTCATGCCTGTAATCCCAGCACTTTGAGAGGCTGACGTTGGAGGATCGCTTGAGCCCAGGAGTTGGAGACCAGCCTGAGCAACATGGTGAGGCCTCGCTTCTACAAAAAAAAAAAAAAATCAAAACATTAGCCAGGCATGGTGATGTGTGCCTGTGGTTCCAGCTACTTGGGAGGCTGAGGCAGAGGATTGCTTCAGCCCAGAAGTTCAAGGCTGCAGGCAGCTGAGATCGTGCCACTGCACTCCAATCTGGGCTACAAAGCAAGACCCTGTCTCGAAAAAAAAAAAAAATCATCATTATGAACCAAATAACAGCATAGACCACTAATTTACAACTTCTGGACTACAGAAGTACTCTAACCCATGTATGGCAGTAAAACCTTTTCTTCAAACAAAACCTCTGGTGAACACCCACCTCCCCATCAAAGGGAACCGCTCCAGGTTAAGGGGGCCCTTCCTCCGAAGTTAGAAGACAGAAGGGGGTTTGTGATTGCCCTCAGACAAGCTCTTTGCCCCGCCTGAAGAGTGGGACAACCTTCACACCAACACTTTAGGGGCAGCGCTGTGGATCAATGCTGCAAGCACTCAGACCGGGAACATTATTCAGAGGGAGCTCTCTAGTACAGTGCTTTCCAAATCCTTTCTTTACCGCAGAACCCGCTCTTTAGATACAAATTTAATGGAGATCACATTACACACAGCAGTTACCTTTTTTTTTTTTTTTTTTTTTTTTTGAGACAGAGTCTGGCTTGGCCACCCAGGCTGGAGTGCAGTGGCGCAATCTGAGCTCACTGCAACCTCCACCTTCCAGGTTCAAGCAATTCTTATGCCTCAGCCTCCCAGATAGCTGGGATTCCAGGTGTGCACCACTAGATCTACCTAATTTTCTTTCTTTTTTTTTTTTTGAGACGGAGTTTTGCTCTTGTTGCCCAGAATGCAATGGCGCAATCTTGGCTCACTGCAACCTCTGCCTCCTGGGTTCAAGCGATTCTCCTGCCTCAGCCTCCTGAGTAGCTGGGATTACAGGCATGTGCCACCACATCCAGCTAATTTTTGCATTTTCAGGAGAGACGGGGTTTCTCCATGTTGGTCAGGCTGGTCTCAAACTCCCGACCTCAGGTGATCCACCCACCTCAGCCTCCCAAAGTGCTGCAATTACAGGTGTGAGCCACCACGCCCAGCCCACTTGTTGATATTTTAGTTAGAGTTGAGGGTGGTTAGCACTACTTCAACATCCAACTTTAATACAGGTTTACTGGTATTTTCTGACACATGCTTTTGAATGGACATAATACAAATCCACACAAGATGTGGCTGTGCTGCATATGTAACAGATAGAAACAGGAGTTGCTCTGGTTAAGGAGGGAAAGAAAGGTCTTGTAGAGGGTCAAAGAAGGTCCAAGGGACTGATACAGGACCTTGGAATCAGGCTTTCTCAGAATGTGGTACTAGGTCCACCCATGTGAGAAGGACTGGGCAGGGGCAGGGGAACGTGCTAAAAGTACAAACTTGTCAGGCTCAGTGGCTCGTGCCTGTAATCCCAGCACTTTGGAAGGGTGAGGCAGGTGGACTGCTTGAGCTCAGGAGTTTGAGACCAGCCTGGGCAACACAGCGAAACCCCGTCTCTACCAAAAATCAAAAAAAAAATTAGCCAGGTGTGGTGGCGTGCACCTGTGGTCCCAGCTATTCAGGGGGCTGAGGTGGGAGGATCACTTGATCCTAAGAGGCAGAGGTTGCAGTGAGCCGAGATCATGCCACTGCACTTCAACCTGGGTGACAGAGTAAGACCCCGTCTTGAAGAAAAAAGAAAATACAGACTCACAGGCTGATTTGCACCAGGAAACTCCAGGTCCAGTGGGAACTGCTGCTCTTGCTTGACACATGCTACCTCTTTTCTTGTTGGTCTCAGAGACAGGATCTTACTCTGTCACCCAAACTGGAGTTCGGTGGTGGAATCATAGCTCACTGCAGTCTTGAACCTCTGGGCTCAAGCAATCCTCCCACTCAGCTTCCTGAGTAGCTGGGACTACAGGTGTGCACCACCACGCCTGGCTAATTTTTTAATTTTTTAGAGATGGGGGTCTCGCCATGTTGCCCAGGCTGGTATCAAACTCCTGGGCTCAAGCAATCCTCCCGCCTCAGCCTCCCGAAGTGCTGGGATTACAGGCGTGAGCCACCACACCTGGCACGTGCTTCCTCTTAACACTCCTTTTCACCGGGCGCCACTCCCTGCCAGTGCCACCACTGATACTCCACATATAGCCCTGGGAAGACAGCCAAGGGTGGGAAACAGCGAGAGCTGTCTCTGGGTCAGACTGCCATAAAAAGACTCGGCTCCACTCCTTAGGAGAATGTGGCCTGGGCCCATGACCTCACCTTTGTTGACTCAGGTTCTTACCTGGCTTTTAGAGTTGATGGTAATGCTTGCCTCTCCTGCCTCACATGGATGGGGGAGGTGCCTCAATGAGGCAACACCACTGGGGCCTGCCCTAACCTCACCCGGTGTGCCCTCGCTCTGCAGTGCAGTGAGGGGAAATGACAGTCTCCGAGGCTAAAGAGCACATATAACAGCACCTTGGCTGGCCCGGCGCGGTGGCTCATGCCTGTAATCCCCAGCACTTTGGGAGGCCAAGGCAAACGAATCACTTGAGGTCAGGAGTTTGAAACCAGCCTGACCAACGTGGTGAAACCCCATCTCTACTAAAAATACAAAAATTAGCCAGGCATGGTGGTGCATGCCTTTAATTCCAGCTACTCCGGAGTCTGAGGCAGGAGAATCACCTGAACCTGGAAGGCAGAAGTTGCAATGAGCCAAGACTGCGCCACCGTACTCCAGCCTGGGCGACAGAGTGAGACTCCACCTCAAAAAAAAAAAAAAAGGCCAGGCATGGTGGCTCACGCCTGTAATCCCAGCACTTTAGGAGGTGGAGGAGGGCGGATCGCAAGGTCAGGAGATCAAGACCATCCTGGCTAACATGGTGAAACCCGCCTCTACTAAAAATACAAAAAATTAGCCAGGCATGGTGGTGGGCGCCTGTAGTCCCAGCTACTCGGGAGGCTGAAGCAGGAGAATGGCGTGAACCCAGGAGGTGGAGCTTGCAGTGAGCCGAGATCGCGCCACTGCACTCCAGCCTGGGCAACAGAGCGAGATTCCATCTCAAAAAAAAAAAAGGAGAAGAAAAAAAGAACAGCACTCTGGTGTCAAGAGCCCAGGGAGGCACTACCTATCATGATGAACACCACTCTTCTCACTTCACAGACGACAGACAGCGTCACCAAGGTGAGTGGCCTGCCAAGTGAAGTCTAGAGTGGATGTGACTCAACTCCTTACCCTGCACCATGCTGCCTCTGCATGAGTCCCATTTGCAGCTGCCCAGACACTTCTGCTGACCCTCAGTGCTGGACAGTCATTCTTGCAGAGGCGGCCAGCTCTCCCATGTGGAGAGCTCAGCGGCTCCCATGATTCCCATGAGGCTTGCTCGGTCCTGCCTGGTGCCCTCACAAGAGAACCCTTCAGCAAAAACAGGTGCAGTGCTCAGCACAGCTGGCGGGGGCCCAGCTTGCTGCCTGGTGTCTGGAAATCTTTTTCCGCACGGATGACACTAGACCTTAGACAAACACCACAGGGCGTTTGCCCTCCTAGAGCATGTGGGGCCAAGGGCCTGGTCCAGCTGTGAGCAGTAGACAGTCCAGGAGCAGGCTGCAAGCCATGCTGGTCCATGGGGGCTCTGGACAGCCACGTGGTCTGGCCCTGCTGAAGGGCTGTCCCAGGGCGAGTCCCCGATCATGACACCAACCCCTGGCCCTGAGCGCTTACTCTGTGCTGAGGGCACTTTGCCAACTGCCCCAAGACTGCCCTCAACAGCTGTCTTGGGAAGGGCTACCATCCCCCTTACGAATGAGGAAACAGAGGCACAGGGCAGTTAAGCAACTTGCCCCAAGCATCTAAGACAAAGGGTTAAGATATGCCTTCCTGGCCCTATCAGTGCTCGCTGACACTCTGAGGGTAGTCCCCATGCAGGGCCCCACACCAACAAGCTCCCTGGAAGACCCCACTCACTGCTCCCTGGGCTCACTCCTTCGCTCCCAGGCACTCATTCCTGCTCAATGATTTTCTTCATTCCTGGTCTTTGACCCTTCCTTCCTTTCACTCATCTGGGCTTGCCGGGCCCCTCTAATCTTGCACCGCACTCAGGTCTGTCAAGGTTCTTCCACCTGCTCCTGCTCCCCGAAGGATACAGCACCTGAGGAGGGGCCAGGGGATCACTGCACCAGGCAGACAGGGTCTCCTGCACAGGCCACACCCACAGCGAACGTTGACTTCACTGCATCCTCCCAGCGACCCTTGGATGCAGGTACCGTCATAATCCCTCTTCTGGAGATTAGAAAACTGAGGCTCAGAGAAGGGAAGTGACTTGCCCAAAACCTGACAACTGGTAACAAAGGGTTAAGAGCACAGACCCTGAGCCACTACACTTTCTGGCCTTCAGAGTGGGAAGACTGCCCCCTCCAGAGTCCTAACCCTGGCTTGTCTCTTTCTTGCTTGGAAAGCTCTTCTTCCAGCTCCTTAGACCTTCCTGGCACTATGCTGCTCCTGGAAGAACACTCAGAAAAACTAAAGTGTACACTTCAATGGGGACCACAGGGCCAAACCACGGACAGACGTACCTGCCTCCCGGTACTGGCCAAACACCAGGTCCGTGTTGTCCAGGGCGGCGGCACTCCCCACGTGCGTGCCCTCCTCACCATAGTTGGTCATGTAGAAGGAGATCCGGCCCTGGGGGTGTAGAGGGGACCGGGGTCCCACAATTGGTTATGCTGGGCAATGACAGAGAGCCATCCAAATCCTGCCCAGCTTCCAACACCTCCATGAATTCACAGTCCTCCTGAAGGCCAGTCCTGGGCCAGGCCATGCTGGGGTTCCTGCCTTTAAGAAGACGCTGCCAGACTGCTTAGAACTGCCAGAGGGATCGAGTTGCTGTGATAGAAGCCCAAAGGAAGCACCTGTTCCACCACGGAAGGGCATCGGTGAGGACCAGTGCGCAAAGATGGGGTGGGTGGAGGGTTCCAGGCAGAGGGAATGATAGACCATGAGGCCAGAAGGGCTGGGACATACAGTGGTAGGGGTGGGGAAAGATGAGGAGGGAGAGGAGATGGCACCCAGATAACAAAGGGAACGATACATTGATTTTACTCTGAGAATAGTGGTAACCTGCCGACAGTCTTCTCAAGGGAGCAATGTGGTCAGACCTGTGTTTTAGAATTGCTCTCAGGCTGCAGTGAGGTAAATGGATGGAGTCATCAAGGCTGATTGCAGCAAGCCAGGAGAGAGGGGGCAGAGGCCCAGCTTGGTAGCAGAGGGAGGCGGGAGAGGAGCAGGTGGATGTGTCTGAGGAAGCTGAGTCGGCTGTGCTAGGGGGCAGCAGACCCTGTCAGCTGGCCACACCAGTGCCCAGTTCCCTTCTCCCAAATCCCCTAACCTGAGCCTCAAAAAGACACGCACTCAGGTCCCTGGCCTCCCTTGCAGCCAGAGGTGGCCATGGGACACAGTTTTAGCCAGATATTTTGGTGGAAGTCTGCTTTTGCTTTCTGGATAGAAGAGACCACTGCTGCTGGTGCCAGCCCTACCCACTCCCTACTTCTTCCTGCCTTGCAGACAGCCATGAAGCTTGGACATGCAGCAGCCATGCTGTGAACACGAGGCCACAAGCAGAGCACGAAGGTCAACTCACCAACAACAGTGAAGCAGAGAAAGGATGGGGCTGGGTCTCAGAGTGTGCTGCTGAGCAGCTGAGCACTTCCTAAAGATGTATCTACAGACAGGCTAGGCACGGTGGCTCACACCTGTAATCCCGGTACTTTGGGAGGCCAAGGCAGGCGGATCACTTGAGGTCAGGAGTTCCAGACTAGCCTGGCCAATGTGGTGAAACCCCATCTCTACTAAAAATACAAAAATTAGCCGAGTGTGGTGGTGGGCGCCTGTAATCCCAGCTACTTGGGGGGCTAAGGCAGGAGAATCACTTGAACCTGGGAGGCGGAGGTTGCAGTGAGCCGAGATTGCGCCACTGCACTCCAGCCTGGGCGACAGAGGTGGACTCCGTCTCTAAATAAATAAATAAAAATAACATAAAAGAAAAGAAGTAGCTACAGCTGGGTGCAGTGGCTCACACCTATAATCCTACCATTTTGGGAGGCCAAGGCAGGCAGATCACCTGAGGTAGGGAGTTCGAGACCAGACTGACCAACATGGAGAAACCCCATCTCTACTAAAAATACAAAATTAGCCAGGTGTGGTGGCGCATGCCTGTAATCCCAGCTACTCGGGAGGCTGAGGCAGGAGAATCGCTTGAACCAGGGAGGCGGTGAGCCAAGATCGTGCCATTGCACTCCAGCCTGGGCAACAAGAGCAAAACTCCATCTCAAAAGTAAAAAAAAAAAAAAAAAAGAAATATCTACAGACAGAGGGAATGAGAGGGGAGAAAGGGATAGCAAGGGGGAGGGAGGAGACAGGGATGAGATGAGGTTTCTGGTGTGGGCAAGCAGGTGGATGGTGGTGCTCTTCACTGAGAAACGGACTAGGTGAGGCAAAGGAGCACGCCTGGGAGGAAGATGTCGAGGTCAAGTTCAGACAGGATTAGTTTGCTGTGGGACATCCAGGGCGAGAAGCCAAGCAGGGCTCTGACAAGCAGTCTGGCTGGGGCTCTGGGCAGCCCTGGCATACGGATGGACATGAGATCACACAGGGCCATGTGTAAAGCGGAACAAAGGCAGCCTGGCCAGCACCCTGAGGGACACCCCGGGGCCAGAGCTCCTCGCGGCTCGGCGGTGCCCTCCTCCATGTGTTCCCAGGCCTGGCTTTCCCGTTGCTGTGGGGGAAACTGATGAATGTGTGCTTTCTTCTAAGTGGGGAGCCAATTAAAAGTTAATGCACATTCCAGTGCCAAGTGAGTGGGCGGTGCTGAGTACTGAGGGCCTGGCAGGACTGTCCAGGTTAGCGTGGGTAAGAGCCTGCAACCAGCCCCCTGAGGATCAGGACTCGGGGCTACTGGCAGAGGCTCCTGGTTGCCTTCCCAGTATACTATTCCCCTCCTCTGTTAACAGAGGTCTCAATCTCCCGCAGGCAGCAACTGCCGGGACTAAAGTATTATTAATACATTTCTCAGTCTCCCCTGCAGCTAGGAGTGGCCCAGGAAATGTATGCAGATGTCACTAGGTGGGACTACCCAGAAAGCTCTATAAAGGTGGGGGTGTGGGATAGCTGGGATGTGCCATGTCTGGCCTTCCGCCTTCCCTCTACTTCCTGCCTGGAAGACCCCCTGGATCTAGCTGTGCCCCAAAACAGGACCCTCTGGATGTATGGTCATTGGAGTCAATAACTTCCCTCTTTGTTGACACTGGCTTGACTGGATCCTTGTCCCTGATACTAGGATTTATCAGGGGATCACAGCCCATTTCACATGGGCCTAGGGCGGTCCCCTGGAGCACTCCAGGAAGCACTGGGGACCCACCCTGTTTCTCAGGACTGTGCATTTCCAAGAGGAAGGGCTGTCAGGCCTTCTCCCTGCCCTCTCCCCACACAGGCGAGCCCCCAGCCAGGCACACAGTAGGTGTTTTTTAGTGATCAGGTCCATCCTTCTGCCCTAAGGCAGGACTGCTCTCACACTTCTCCTCCAGAGTCCCAAGAGAACCCTCAGAACTCTATGGAACCCCCCCAAAAAAGAATCTGTCCTCCTTGGGAGCCATTCCTTTGGCCCAAACACAGGTAGGGGACCTCAGGTAATTCCAGCCCCCCGCCCCTAGTCCTGTCCCCACGCACCTGCCGCTGAGACTCATAGAGGATGCGGTCCATGGTGTTAAGCAGTGTCATGCTCTTGTAGAGCTTCAGCACCTTCTCCTTCGGCAGCTGCGGGTGGAGGCACAGATAGACGTGGGGCAGTTGGGACCAGAGAGGAGACAGGCAAGGGGCCTGGGCGTGGGGGGCACGGGAAGTGGGGGAGGCCGCCTCTCACGTGGGGGTCCTCGCTGGGGTTGATGATCTGGCCTTGCCGGTCCATGACGCGGTAGATGGGGATTCCAGAGATGACGTTGGGCTGGATGAATTCCAACTTATCTATAAACTCCGCCGAGGCCCCTGGGAACTGGGGCTTGTCATCCAGAGATGAAAACTGCTGCTGCTGCCTGGGGGGGTGCTGGGGAAGAGAGCAGAGGAGACCACCTGCATCAGAAGCAGCACCCAGGTTTCCGCTGGCTCAGCCCCGGCGGCAGGCAGGCGGCATGGTGGTTGAGCATGTGGCCCCAGTGAACTCTGGGGCCTGACTCACAGGGTCTGAGCCCCAACTCCAGCACTTTCTCACTGCGACACTTTGGATAACTGACTACAACTTCTGTGTCTCAGTTTCCCCATCTGAAAAACTGGGATGAAAACAGTTAACACCTATCCCATAGGACTGTTGTGAGGTTAAATGACTCAATCAAGTGGCTGGCAAGTCAATAACTGGTAGCTATTACTATTCTCATTACCATAGGCCCAAACTCTTCATCCTGGCATTCGAGGCCTCCCCATTCTGGCCACAGATGCCCCCTCCTCTCTCTCTCCCACTGTGACCACAGACACACATGCCCACTGCAGGATGCCCTCTAGGCATACAGACCAGCTCTCTTCTGATCCCTATACCATACACCAGCGAAGCTACTCAGGACAGAGCTTAAGTCTTTGAGCTCTTAAGAGTCAGACTGCCTAGGTTCAATTCCCTTACTGCCTTTAGGAGGCAGAGGCAGGCGAATCTCACTTGAGGTCAGGAGTTCGAGATCAATGTGGCCAACATGGCGAAACCCTGTACCCACTAAAAATAGAAAAATTAGCCGGATGTGGTGGCACATGCCTGTAGTCCCAGCTACTCAGGAGGCTGAGGCAAGAGAATCACTTGAACCCGGGAGGTGGGGGTTGCAGTGAGCCGAGATTGCGCCATAGCACTCTAGCCTGGTGACAGTGAGACTCCATCTCAAAAAAAAAAAAAAAAAAAAAAATCCCTTAGAGGGTGATATGGCAAAGTAACTTCCCCTCTCCACGTGTCCCCTTCCTTGTCTATAAAAATGGAGAACCCCTCATGGAAATGAGAGGCTTAAACAAGATCACATGAATAAAATGTTCAGCAAAGCATCTGTAAGCCACCTAACAAATGCTCAAAACAATCTTAGCAATTCTCATTTCTCCCTCTCATCTCTGCTTGCTTTACAAGAAGGTCTCTTTCCCTATCGCCTGGCAAACTGCTACATACGCTTCAGTGTCCACTCTACTCTGGTCCCAGCTCCCTCTGCGAGCCCAGACTGACTCATTCAACAAATATTTGAGCACCTGACATGTTCCAAGCCCTGTGCTGGGTTCTGGGGACCTAAGACAGGCAAGATATCTGTCCTTGCTGCCTAGCAGGGAGGGCAGACACTAAACAAGTAACAATGATGGTGGTTCATATTATCCTATAGCAGAAGAAAGCGAGGGTAAGGCTTCCCTGGGGAAGTGATGTTAGAGCTGAAACCTGAGGGATAACCAGGAGGCAGGGAAAGCACATTCTCGGCAAGGTGTATAGAACATGCAAAAGACAAAAAGTGGCCAGGCACAGTGGCTTATGCCTGTAATCCCAACACTTCGGGAGGCTGAGACCAGCCTGGCCAACATGGTGAAACCCCATGTCTACCAAAAATACAAAAATTAGCTGGGCGTGGTTGCGCACACCTGTAATCCCAGCTACTCAAGAGGCTGAGGCAGGAGAATCACTTGAATCCGGGAAGCGGAGGTTGCAATAAGCCCAGATTGCACCAACACATCCCAGCCTGGGCAACAGAGACCCTGCCACACACACAAAAAAAGACAAAAGGCAAGGAATAGTGTGTCCTTCATGGAAGACAGAAGGAGCTCAGGGCCTGGCAAGGTGGCTCATATCTGTAATCCCAACACTTTGGGCTCAAGGATTACTTGAGCCCAGGTGAGCCCAGGAGTTCAAGACCAGCCTGAGATCACATCTCTACAAAAAATTTTAAAAATTACTCAAGCATGGTAACATACACCTATAGTCCCAGCTACTTGGAAGGCTGAGGTGGGAGAATCGCTTGACCCCAGGAGGTGGAGGCTGCAGTAAGCCATGATCACACCACTGCACTCCAGCCTGGGCAACAGAGCAACATGCTGTCTCAAACAAAAAAAAAAGCTCAGAGGGGCTGGAGGAGTCCTGCAAGGACATCACACCTCCTCAGGTCAGATGAGGAATGGCTGAGAAAGCCCAGGAGACCTGTGAGAAGCCTATAAATGCTCAAAGGGATATGAACCCACTGGGACTCTTAGCTCTGGAGCTAGGCAGCCTAGAACCAGCCGAGGCGTTGCAATAGCTCCCCCTTATGAAGCACCTGCTGTAAGCCAGCTGAGCCTGGCAGGCACAAGCCTACTAACTCCTCGGGGAATTTGTGAGGTTGATTATCTGCCATTGCCCTTGAGTAGATGAGGAAACCGAGGCCTGGGGAGGTAAAATAACCTGCACCAAACCACAAATTTAAAAAAAAAAAAAAAAAGGTGGGGATGCTGGGCAGTGGCTTACGCCTGTAATCCTAGCACTTTGGAAGGCCAAGGCAGGAGGATCACATGAGCTCAGGAGTTTGAGACCAGCCTGGGCAACAGTGAGAAACCCTGTCTCCACAAAAAAATACAAACATTAGAAAGGCATGGTGACACATGCCTGTGGTCCCAGCTACTTGGGAGGCTGAGGCAGGAGGACTGCTTGAACCTGGAAGGATGAGGCTGTAGTGAGCTGAGACTGTGCCACTGCACTCCAGCCTGGGGGACAAAGTGAGACCCTGTCTCAAAAAAAAAAAAAAAAAAAAAAATTACATCAGAACTGGGCTTCCAACGCTGAGATTCAGGCTCCTAGACATCCATGCTCCTCACCCCAACTGCCCCTGCAGCCTGATTTTCAAACATCTGCAACTTTTCTTCCCACTACTCCCGGGATTCCTCCGAGGTCAGTAATGGTGGCTTCACTTCCCACAGATGTTAAAGAATGGCAGGGTTTGCCACAAGCTGGATCTCACACATGCGTGCTCAAATGTGTCCCTCCGTCTTCCTTTAACTGCAGTGAACAAGCTGTCCACAGTTCTAGCGGGGTAGCATGTTCAGTGTGTGTATTTATTTGCATTTGTAGTCGTGAGGAAATTACACTCCCAATGGCAGGGCAGATTCAGGCCTGGCAATGTCACTGCAGGCCTCCCCTTGTGAGGAGGAAACAGCCGGCCTCTTGCAGCACAGTGCTTCCCCCTTCTGAGTACCCAGCATAGCCAGACACTGACCTAGAAGATTGCTTTGTTTCGTGTCTGTCTCCCACACACACCACAATCCCAGGAAGGCAGAGACAGCGTCCAGGTTGCCTTCACAGCAGGCACTCAAGAGGGAATTCCTGAGTGAATGCATGAATGGGCTGTTAAGTTCCCTGGCTCTGGAGTTCAACTGCCCTGGGTTCTAATTTCTTAGCTCATTGTGTGGCTCTCTGCAAAAACACTTCACCTCTCTGAATTTCCTTATCTGTAAGAAGGCTGCAGAACACCACGTGAAAAGTTGCTAAGTTAACTCACACCAGGGGTTCAGCACCGATCTGGGACGTATTACATACTCAAAACTTGGTAAGAGAGAGAAAAACAAAATCTAGGAAGGTGAGAAGTGGGAGAAAGGGAAGTGACTACACTGTATGAGATAGGGAAAAGAGGAGCTGGGAAGAACTAACTGCACCTTAAAGTGGATACTAAAATCAAACTGTGGCGATGTGCAGCGGCTCATGCCTGTAATCCCAGTACTTTGGGAGGCTGAGGTGGGAGGATCACTTAAGGCCAGTGGTTCGAGATCAGCCTAGGCAACATAGTGAGTCCAGCCTAGGCAAAACCCTCGTCTCTGAAAAATTTTTAAATTAGCCAGGAAGGCTGGGCGTGGTGGCTCACGCCTGTAATCCCAGCACTTTGGGAGTCCGAGGCAGGCAGATCACCTGAGGTCAGGAGTTCAAGACCAGCCTGGCCAACATAGTGAAACCCTGTCTCTACTAAAAATACAAAAAACAGCCGTGCATGATGGTAGGTGCCTGTAATCCCAGCTACTTGGGAGGCTGAGGCAGGAGAATGGCTTGAACCTGGGAGGCGGATGTTGCAGTGAGCCAAGATGGCACCATTGCACTCCAGCCTGGGTGACAAGAGTGAGACTCTATCTAAAAAAAAAAAAAAAAATTAGCTGGGAATGGTGGCATTTACATGTAGTCCAGATACTGGAGTTGCGGGAGGCTGAGGTGAGAGGATGGCTTGAGCCCAGGAGGTCAAGGCTGCAGTGAGCCATGACTGCACCATTGCACTCCAGCCTGGGCAACAAAGTGATACCCTGTCTCAAAGAACAATAAAACCAAACTGTGGCCCCAGCAGATACTCCAGAGAGGGAGACTGAGGCACAGGGGAGACGGCATGCTGATGGAAGAGGACCGAAGGCTGAAGTCTTCAGACGGGCACTAAGAGGGGAGGCCAGAGTCTGAGAACAAACCACTGTGTCAGGGCAGGACTGTCAGCCTCTAGAGGCTGGACAGCTATCTTCACGGCACCCCAGTGTGCTCCACATACTGCAGCTGGGTCTCGGCTGTACCCTCCTCCCCTCTTTGCTGGGCTGGTGGAGATAATGGTAGTCCCCAGCCCCAGGGTTGCTGCCCCAATTCAGTGAGCTATGCAAAGGGCTCCACGCTGTGCCTGGTCCTGAGGAAATGCTCCATAATGGGAGTGGGTGGCCAAATGCCTGCAGAGGAAGGATGCGACTCCACCCATCTGTTCCTCTAGTTTTTGGAAGGGGGTGGGGGAGTCTGTCCCGGTGGCCAGTGATTTACAATGGCAGAGGCTGCACAGATTTACACAAAGCTTCATGCCACGTCCTCTCCCACCATGCAGGAAAGCACAACCTGCCCGCTCTGGATGGTCTGGTCTGCCCAGGAAGTACTGGGGTGACCCTGGTGGAGTCACTTGAAGGCACCATGGCTAAGCGCATGGACTCTAACTGAGCAGACCGCTGCCTGATTATGTGACTTAAACTCCCTGAGCCAAGTGCAGTGGCAGACGCCTGTAATTCTAGCTACTCTGGAGGCTGAGGCAAGAGGATCACTTGAGTCCAGGAGTTCGAGGCCAGCCTGGGAAACATAGTGAGACCTCGTCTCTACAAAAATAAATATATAAATAAAATTTAAGGCCAGGTGTGGTGGTTCACACTTGTAATACCAGCACTTTGGGAGGCCAAGGAGGGAGGATCGCTTGAGCCCAGGAGTTCAAGACCAGCCTGGATAACATGGCAAGACCCCATCCCTACAAAAAATTAGCTGGGCATGGTGGTGCACACCTGTACTCCCCAACTACTTGAGGGGCTGAGGTGGGAGGATCGCTGGAGCCCAAGAGGCTGCAGTGAGCCAAGATCACACCACTGCACTCCAGCCTGGGTGACAAAGTAAGACCTGTCTCAAGGAAAAAAAAAAGAAAAAATTTTTAAAGAAAAACTCCCTGAGCCTCAGTTTCCTCCTGTGTACACCGAGGGTGGTATAAGTACTTATCTCAGGGGTTGTCATGAGGATTAACCGAGTTGACCTGTGTGGATTGCTCAGCCCAGTGCCTGGCACATAATGTTTCATAAACACAAGTAGTGAGTAAGTATTTCTCATGATTGTTCTTGTTAAACAGATACTGAACATTTGCTCCAAATCATGCCCTGAACTGAAGGCTAGAGACAGGGAGGGATGAATGACAAACACTGAACACACAAGTTATAATCAAGACAGGTGATCTTACTCACATTGCTTCACCTGACTAGCCTAAAAAAACAAAAAAGTGTCAAGTTGACAGGTAAGCCAAATGAAAATACAGAAATAATATGGCTGGGTGCGGTGGCTCATGCCTGTAATCCCAGCAGATTTGGGAGGCTGAGGCAGGTGAATCACTTAAGGTCAGGAGTTCATGACCAGCCTGTCAGGCTGATCACGATGGTGAAACCCCATCTCTACTAAAAATACAAAAATTAGCCAGGCGTGGTGGCACGCACCTATAGTCCCAGCTACTCAGGAGGCTGAGGCAGGAGAATCGCTTGAACCTGGGAGGTGGAGGTTGCAGTGAGCCAAGATCGCACCACTGCACTCCAGCCTGGGTGACAGAGTGAGACTCCATCTCAAATAAATTAATAAATAAAATTAGGCTGGGCGTGGTGGCTCACGCCTGTAATCCCAGCACTTTGGGAGACCGAGGCGGGCGGATCATGAGGTCGGGAGATCGAGACCATCCTGGCTAATAAGGTGAAACCCTATCTCTACTAAAAATACAAAAAATTAGCCGGGCGTGGTGGCGGGCGCCTGTAGTCCCAGCTACTCGGGAGGCTGAGGCAGGAGAATGGCGTCAACCTGGGAGGCAGAGCTTGCAGTGAGCCGAGATTGTGCCACTGCACTCCAGCCTGGGTGACAGAGCAAGACTACATCTCAAAAAAATAAATAAATAAATAAAATTTTGGCCGGGCACAGTGGCTTATGCTTATAATCTCAATACTTTGGGAGGCCAGGGCAGGCAGTTCACTCGAAGCCAGGAGTTCAAGACCAGCCTGGCCAATATGGCGAAACCCCATCTCTACTAAAGACACAAAAATTAGCCAGGCATGGTGGTGCATGTCTGTAGTCCCAGCTACTCGGGAGACTGAGGCACGAGAATCGCTTGAGCCGAGGAGGCAGAGGTTGCAGTGAGCCAAGATCGCACCACTGCACTCCAGCCTGGGTGAAAACAGAGCAAGACTCTGTCTCAAAACAATAACAACAGCAGCAAATAAATAAGTAAATACTCACATAAAATTTTAAAATAAAAAAAAACGGGAGATTTCAGAGGAGGCAGGATGTATAGTGGTTACCCACATAGGAGGTAGGATGAGGGTCTCTAGGGTTAAACTGCTGGTGTTTGAATCTGGTTCTGTCTCTTTCCAGCCACGCGGCCTTGGACAGGAGCCAGTCTCTGTGAACCTGCGTGCCCTCGTGGGGATGGCATCCACCTCACAGGCTGGTGGAGAGGCGGGGAAAGCACCTGCCGCAGCTCTGGCAGGAATGCCTCACCAGCTAGGATCAGATAGTACCCCTCCAGGAAGCACCAGCATCAGATGGCACACCAGGGAAAGCTTCCTAAAGAAGGGGGAGTTCAGCCAAGGGGTCAGAACACTTCAGTCCTAGGGAAAAACCAAGGCTCCAAGGCAAGAGAAGAAAGCCTGGCGCCCTGGGACCCTGAAGACTGGCATGGCTGCTATAGGTCAATCAGAGAATAACTACATGCTGAGGTGCCACTCAAAGCACTTTATTTACACCTATGTGCTCACTGAACCCATAAGGCATCCAGACGGGGCAGGCACTGTTATCATAACTCCATCAAAGACAGGTGGTAGCTGAGGCGCCGCCTCAAGGGCTAAGCAACTTGTTCAGGTCCAGTGCATGCAAGGCTTTGTGGATGGTGCCAGTTAACTCCAAGTCCTCCGTATCTAGGGTAGCTAAGGCCACCCAAACCCACTCTCTCCTGAGCTCAAAGGCACTCTGCCCTCAAACAGAGCAAAGAGTTGAGTCCCCCTTCCCAGAATATCTCGTGAGAAGGGAAAGGCGTGCAGATTAGGCAGGTATCACTGTCCCTGTTTCACAGACAGAGACCTGGTGTTTGGGGTCTGGAACGCTTCTCTGAGGAAGTGTCATGTCAGCCATCATCTGAAGGACCTCATACCTACAAAGGCCACCAGGTGGGAGGAGGCACATTCAAGGAAGGGAAAGATGGCCAGGGGGACTGAAGTGGAAAGAGGCGAAAGACAAGAAAAATCACCTGCCCGGCCACACATGGTGGCTCACGCCTGTAACCCCAGCACTTTGGGAGGCTGAGGTGGGTGGATCAGTTGAGGCCAGGAGTTCGAGACCAGCCTGGCCAACATGGCAAAACCCTGTCTCTATTAAAAATATAAAAATTAGCCGGACACGGTGGCACACACCTGTAGTCCCAGCTACTCGAGAGGGGGAGGCAGGACAATCGCTTAACCCAGGAGGCAGAGGTTGCAGTGAGCAGAAATCACGCCACTGCACTCCAGCCTGGGTAACAGAGCAAGACTCCGTCTCAAAAAAATATAAAACAAAATAAGCCAATACTGGACTAAGAAGAATGTTGCAAGACTTGAATCTAAGCTCCATCCTTTCTCCTCCTGGCAGCCTGGTACCATGAAAAGAAACTGGGTTTTGGAGTCCAGAGCTCCAAGTTCAGACCTCACCTCTCTGAGCCTCAGTCTCTCCATCTGTAATAGGAGAGTACTACCAATAAAGGCCTTGCACTATTGGTGTATTAAATATAATAAAAAATTAGAGTTGGATTTGTAAACCATTCAGTGCCTCAAGATGTGAAAAAGGAGGCCAGGTTTCTTAACACACTAGCAAGTAAGAGATGGACCCATACACTTAGAAGACTGTAATGACCATCTCCATTCATCCCACAATACACACTGACATGGTTTGTCTCTGTCCCCACTCAAATCTCATCTTGAATTATAGCTCCCATAATTCCCACATGTTGTGGGAAGGAGCCAGTGGGAGGTAATTGAATTATGGGGGTGGATCTTTCACGTGCTGTTCTCATTATACTGAATAAGTCTCACGAGATCTGATGGTTTTATAAAGGGGAGTTCCCCTGCAAGCACTCTGTCTGCCTGCCACCATGTAAGATGTGACTTTGCTCCTCATTTGCCTTCCGCCATGTTTGTGAGGCTTCCCCAGCCATGTGGAACTGTGAGTCCATTAAGCCTCTTTTTCTTTATAAATTACCCAGTCTTGGGTGTGTTTTTATTAGCAGCCTGAAAACGGACTAATACATACACTGAGTACCTACCACTTGGAGATACTGCACAGGGCACTGGAACCCCCAGACAGGCTGCCCCTGAAGAGCTGGGTCACAGAAATAGTCACCGATAATTAGCACAGAGCGAGCTCCAGGGGCTTCCTGACTTCCAACAGGGTAGGGACTCTATTCACCCCACTAGCTAGGGTCAGAGAGGTGAAATGACTTAGCCAAGCCCAGGCCTGGGGTAGTGGCTGAGAAACTGACTCACAATTCCTTGACAATCTGAGTTTCCTTCCTCCTCCTTTCCCTGAGCACTAAAACGTCTGCTATGATAACAGAGACAGGAAGGGAGGTGAAAATCAGGCAAACACATCTGCAGGGCAGCAGGGTATTCAATGAAGGAGTGGGCAGAGCAGGGGCAAGAAGTCGGGGACAAGTAAAGCAGCCCCACTCCTCCTTCTAATCCAATCTTCCCCAGTGAACCCAGTAATCCAATCTGTCTACAATATGCAGCCTCTCAACCTTTCCCTGACTATTTCTTCATCTCCACCTGGATAAAACTGCATCATCTTAGCCAGGCATGGTGGCTCACACCTGTAATCCCAGCACTCTGGGAGGCCGAGGTGGGTGGGTCGCCTGAGGTCGGGAGTTCAAGACCAGCCTGATCAACATGGAGAAACCCTGTCTCTACTAAAAATACAAAATTAGCCAGGCATGGTGGTGCATGCCTGTAATCCCAGCTACTCGGGAGGCTGAGGCAGGAGAATCGCTTGAACCCAGGAAGAGGAGGTTGTGGTGAGCCAAGATCATGCCATTGCACTCCAGCCTAGGCAATGAGAGCAAAACTCCACCTCGAAAAAACAAAAAACAAAACAAAACAAAAACCCTGCACCATCTAATGTGGCAGCCACCAACCACTTGTGGCTATCTTATTTTGAGACAGAGGGCTGCTCTGTCACCTAGGCTGGGGTATAGTGGTGCGATCTCGGCTCACTGCAATCTCCGCCTCCCAGGTTCAAGCGATTCTTCTGCCTCAGCCTCCCAAGTAGCTGGGACTACAGGCACACGCCATTACGCCCAGCTAATTTTTTTGTATTTTTAGTAGAGATGGGGTTTCACCATGTTGGCCAGGCTGGTCTTGAACTCCTGGCCTCAGGCAACCCGCCCACCTTGGCCTCTCAAAATGCTGGGATTACAGGCATGAGCCACCGCACCCAGCCCACTTGTGGCTACTTAAACTTAAACTCATGATAATTTAATAATATGGCCAGGCAAGGTGGCTCACGCTTGTCATCCTGCACTTTGGGAGGCTGAGGCAGGAAGATCGCTTGAGTCCAGGAGTTCAAGACCAGCCTGGAAAACATGGCAAAACCCCATCTCTACAAAGATTTAAAAATTAGCCAGGCGCAGCCAGGCACAGTGGCTTATGCCTGTAATCCCAGCACTTTGGGAGGCCGAGGCGGGCAGATCACCTTAGATCAGGAGTTCAAGACCAGCCTGGTCAACATGGTGAAACCCCATCTCTACTAAAAATACAAAAATTAACTGGGTATGGTGGCGCACGCCAGTAGTCCCAGCTATTTGGGAGGCTGAGGCAGGAGAATCACTTGAACCTGGGAAGTGGAGGTTGCAGTGAGCCGAGATCGTGCCACTGCACTCCAGCTTGGGTGACAGAGCAAGACTCCGTCTCAAAAAAAAAAAAAAAAATTAAAAATTAGCCAGGCGTAGTAGCACGTGCCTGTGGTCCCAGCTACTTAGGAGGTGGAGGTGGGGGGATTGCTTGAGCCCAGGAGGTTGAGGCTGCAGTGAGCCATGATCACACCACTGCACTCACTCCAGCCTGGGTGACAGAGTGAGACCTTGTCTCAAAAAAAGAAAAGGCTAGGCGCAGTGGCTCATGCTTTTGGAGGCCAAGACAGGCGGAACTTGAGGCCAGAAGTTCGAGACCAGCCTGGACAACATGGTGAAACCTCGTCCCTACCAAAAATACAAAAATTAGCCAGGCGTGATAGTGCATGCCTGTAATCCCAGCTACTAGGGAGGCTGAGGCAGGAGAATTGCTTGAACTCGGCAGGCAGAGATTGCAGTAAGTCAAGATCATGCTGCTGCACTCCAGCCTAGGCGAGAGAGTGAAACTCTGTCTCAAAAAAGAAAAAAAAAGAAAAAGGAAAGAGAGGTACAGAAAGAAAGAGAGAGAGAAAAGAGAAGAGAAAAGGAAAGGAAAGGAAAGGGAAAAAGAAAAGAAAAGAAAAAGGAGAGGGGAGGAGAGGAGAGGAGAAGGAGAGGAAAGAAAGAAGAAGAGAGAAAGAACAGGTGGGAGAAATAAAGGGGAAAAAACAATAACTCTTAAGATAATACAAATTTAAATATATATAAATAAAAAGTAGGGACTTCTTCCCTCCCCACTCCCCACCAAAAATGAAGTAGGGGAAGCAAGAGGAAAGGTAATCAAGAGATTGAGACAGGAGAGAAAGATTTAATCAGCCATAAATGACCTTTCCCTAGCCTGCCCCAGTCCTGCCCACCTCCTGCCCCACTTGCCCAGCCAATGGGCCCCTGGGACTGAGATCAGCTGTGGAGGATATGAACTGCTCAAAAAAAAAAAAAAAAAAAAAAGTGAAAAGGTCTCCAGCCCAAAGGCAAGAGACTGCCCTACCCACACCTTGCTCCTGCAGCCCTTCTGTATTTACCTGTTTCAAGTGACTCCGTTCCTAGATACCTACTACGTCCTACTCCTGGCCCATCTTCTTCACCCTCCTCCCGTTTGTTCCCCTACCCAGAGCTTCTTTCTACAGATTCCATCTTCCCCTCCTTATGGATTGGGGATCAGAGGATCAGACTCAACCTCACAATATCTTTTCAGATTTTTTTCCCCAGGGCCTCACCAATCCAGGCCTTCCCAAGGTCACCCCTTTCTTCTCCCCATCTCCAAGGTTAGTTTCTGTCCCTTCCCTCCACCCTCACTATCAACATTCCTATTGCCCTTAGGATGTGCCAGGTCCAGTCCTTAGCATTTTACATATTGATTTTTCACAGCCCTATGAGGTGGCCACTGTTAATATTTTAGAGAGGAAAATTAGCTCCATAGATCCAGAGAAGTGCAGTCCGTTGGCCAAGGCTACACAAGTGGAAAGCGGCAGAGCAAGGACATGCATCCACCCATGTAACCACTACTCTCCTATCTGTCAACTGTAGTTCAAAGCTCTTCTGCAACCCATTGCCTCTCCCCGTCTAAAGATAGGCTTCCACCTAGGTTTTTTGCAGTGTAATCTTGCCCTTAGCAGCATCCACCTGAAGGGATTGTGACCCTTTTGACAAGAAACAAAGCCTTCTCAAGTGTTTCTAAGAAATGTGGGCAAAGTGCCCTGTCTGTACCTCTCTCCCTCCTTTTTTCCCCTCATTAATTCAACAAATATTAATCGTCTCCTCTGTACAGTGTCCAGAACACACGAATTCTCTGTCTTGATATTCGATCAAGAGACACAGGAATCAAACAAATTTTTTACACAATTCATTTTAAAATCAGAATTGTGGCAAAGGAGCAAAGAAATACAAGGCCCTATGCAGCCTGTGACAGGGACCTGTTCTCTTCTTTCTTCTTCTTGAAGAGGGATCTTTGCCCAGAAGAAAGTCCCTCCCTTACAAAGTCAGTTTCATTCTCCAAACCCTGAGGGAGAAGGTCTTGCGGTCTTCCCCTGTTCCTCCAAGGAGCCTCCCCTGAATACCAGTGGCAGCTAATAAGGAACCCCCATCTCTCTCTTCAAGTCGTCTCCCTCAGGGCCCACAAAGAAGTTGCAAACGGGTTTTTTCCTCTCCTAAAGAAGTGGAAGTTCTTTTCGTCTCCTAAGGAAGTGGCAGATCTTCCCTTCGGTGTCTTCTCCAAGGAGTCTCCCACTCTTTTTCCCTTTTGTGACAGCCCTTCCTTCATATCCTTCAGGGACCCCACACTCTGAAGATAGCCTTTACATCCCTAATCCCCTTTGGGAAAACCGCCTGGGGCCCAGGTACTCACAGATCTAGCCAGTCCCCGAGCCCCAGGCTGCCGCAGCAGCAGGAGGGCAGCCTGGCTCAAACCACGGTTTAGCCGCCAGACCCTCGCTGCAGCGATCGCTACCGCCATCTTGGCTAACAACCACTCAGCGGTCCGGCACTCACGTAGGCTAGATTCGGGGCTGCCTCTTTATGTGCCTGACGCAAACTCCAGCACCATCTGACAAGAAAACCATCTTCTTCCCGTTCTGTGGTAGATAGAATGCACAGAGATTTGGAGAAAAAAAAATCTATCTACCCAAAATTTTCTCCAATCGCCTCATTGTAGTTACTCCTGTAACAGGCAAAGAAGAGGGCAACCTGACCAGGGCCTCAGGGATTTAGGGCCCGGGGGCCCAGAGTAAAGCGGATCAATGCCAAGGCCTGCCTTCTGTTCCCAAATGTCCAATGGCGTTGCCAGAGTTAGGAGGTGGGACTGGGCGGAGCCAGATTGTTGGTAAACGCTAAGCCACGTGCGGACGCCCAGGAGGATGGCCCAGCCCGGCGCGTGCGCACTGGTTACGCAGCCTGTTTGCGGCGCGCGCTGCCAGGCGGAAGTGACAACTGCAGCCGCACGTGGGCTCGGCGCGATGGAGGAGGAGACGCATACTGACGCCAAAATCCGTGCTGAAAATGGAACAGGGTCCAGCCCTCGGGGTCCTGGCTGCAGCCTCCGGCACTTTGCCTGCGAACAGAACCTGCTGTCGCGGCCAGATGGCTCTGCTTCCTTCCTGCAAGGTAAGAACTTCACCCAGGTCTTTCTTTTGGAGAGGGACTACCGTGTACTGTGCAACCGAGTGCCCACCTCCTCACGATACCAGCTGGTAAATGTCACTCCTGCGTTGATGCATGATTTCTTGTCCGATTGAATACTACTAAATACGCAGGGATACACACATCTCTCCCTCACGACTAGAAAGGAGAAGATAGTTCCATCTTTGTAACTATCTCTGAGAATGAGAGGAGGGGCAGACTGTCCGCCCAAGAATTGATATTTCAGAATAGGGAAAATCACCTCGCCAGGGTAAATATCCCCCTTAACTCGATTCCTCCTCCACCCTCCCACCCCCACCCCCCACACACACACCCTCTAGGTCCTTGCATCCCGGACTGAAGCAAACCTGTCTATTTGCATACTGTGGACTGTGGCGGATCTTTCACCCACGTAAATACTCCTCAAATTGAAGATAATGTCATTGCGCTGGGTTGAGAAATACATCCCCACCGCTACCTCACTGCATCTCTCCACACAAGTAAATATCCCTAAGATTAGGGCAAGTCAAAAAAAAAAAAAAAAAAAAGATTAGGGCAAGTCTTACCTATAGAGCAAATATCCCCTTTTCCTAGCTAAATAACTCTCAGAAGTAGATTAACTCCAAGAATATTTCTCTTTAACGTTTGAGACGGGAGGCCGGGGGCGGTGGCTCACGCCTGTAATCCCCACACTTTGGGAGGCCAAGACCTGTGGCTCACCTGAGGTCAGGAGTTCGAGACCAGCCTGGCCAACATGGCGAAACCCTGTCTCTACTAAAAATACAAAAACTAGCCAGGCATGGTGGCGGGCGCCTGTAATCCCAGCTACTCGGGAGGCTGAGGCAGGACAATCACTTGAACCTGGGAGGCAGAAGTTGCAGTGGGCCGAGATCGTGCCATTGTACTCCAGCGTGAGCGACAAAGCAAGACTCTGTCTCAAAAAAAAAAAAAATTGAGACAGCGTCTCACGATGTCACCCAGGTTGGTCTTGAACTCCTGGGCTCAAGCAATCCTCCTCCCAAAGTGCTCATACAGGTATGAGCCACCACGCCCAGCCCCAATACATTTTAACAAAATTTGGCTGCTGTGTTGATTGTGGGGAGTATGGGGGAAAACAGGGAGGTGATGGTGGCTCCAGCCAGAGCAGGAGTAGTGGAGGTGATGAGATTCTGGATGTAGTTTGAAAGTAATACGGACAAAACTTACGTATAGTTTGGTTTGAGTGCGAGGAAAAAGATTCAGGCATAACTAAGGTTTCTGCCCAGATCTGTACAAGTCTGGAAATCAGAAGAGAGACCCAAGCTGGACATAGGCAATTTGGAACTCTCTGGCTATATAGATGGTATTTCAGGCTATTGCCTGAACGAAGTGAGTGTAGATGGAAAAGAGAAGAGGTCCCAGGACCAAGCCCTAGGCCTTCCAACTTGAGCAGTCAGAGACATGTGACAAGCTAGCAAAGGAGACTCAGAAGGAACGCCCAGAGAGTTAGGGGGAAACCAGGAGATGGTGGTGACCTGGGGCCAAGAAAAGAGCATGTCTGAGATGTGAGGGCTGACCAGCTGTTTCAGCCTTACTGACAGCCGGGTCATGGGAGGGTTGATCATTTGGAGGTCAGTGGTGACGATGTTGAGCTGCCGCAATGGAGTGGTGGGGTCACAGAAAAGGAAGAAGAGGCAGCTGTTCAGGAGTTCTGCTGTAAGAGGATCAGATAAGTGGGGCAGGAGTTGTAGATTGTTGTGGGGTCAACAGGGGAGAGAATTGCTGGAGCCACGTCTTCAAGAAGGTGAGAGGGGAGAGACTCTTGTGCTCGGGCAAAACACAGGCAGTTCATCTGGAGCCAGAGGCAAGTTCTGTTTTGGTAACTTCTCCAGTCCTCAGGGCAGTTTCTCCTGGAACTAAGCATACCTTCCGTGTAAGGGCAAATTGGGCTTCCCAGGAAATACGGCCTTAACCAAGGACCTTCCCAGGCCCTCCCTCAGGCTTAGCGCTTATGCTGAATTGAGATACCTAAAGTTTCTTCGAACGTAAGAATTAAGAAGAGGCCGGGTGCAGTTGCTCACAGCGGTAATCCCAGCACTTTGGGAGGCCTCTGAGGTCAGGAGTTCTTTTTTTTTTTTTCTTTTTTTTTTTTTGAGATGGAGTCTCGCCCTGTCGCCCAGGCTGGAGTGCAGTGAAGTGATCGTGGCTCACTGCACCCTCCACCTCCCGGGTTCAAGCAATTCTTCTGCCTCAGCCTCCTGAGTAGCTGGGACCACAGGTGCGTGCCACCGCGCCCGGCTAATTTTTGTGGTTTTTAGTAGAGACGGGGTTTCACCATGTTGGCCAGGCTGATCTTGAACTCCTGACCCTGTGATCCACCTGCCTCAGCCTCCCACAGTGCTGGGATTACAGGCGTGAGCCACCTCGCTTGGTTGAGGTCAGGAGTTCTGAGACCAGATTGGCCAACATGGTGAAAACCCATCTCTACTAAAAATACAAAAATTAGTCGGATGTGGTAGCACGCACCTGTAATCTCAGCTACTCTGGAGGTTGAGGTACAAGAATCACTTGAGCCTGGGAGGCGGAGGTTGCAGTGAACTGAGATTGCGCCACTGCACTCCAGCCTCCTGGGTGACAGAGGGAAACTCTGTCCCAAAAAAGAAAATAGAGACAGGAGTCTTCCTATGCTGCTCAGGCTGGTCTCAAACTCCTGGCCTCAAGCAGTCCTCCCACCTGGGCCTCCATAGTGCTGGGATTACAGGTGTGAGCCACCATGCCTGGCCTAAAATGTATTTTTTTTTTTTTATTGAGACTAAGCCTTGCTGTTATTGTCCAGGCTGGAGTGCAATGGTGTGATCTCGGCTCACTGCAACCTCCGCCTCCCCGGTTCCAGCAATTCTCCTGCGTCGGCCTCCCAAGTAGCTGAGATTACAGGCACCCACCACTATGCCCAGCTAATTTTTGTATCTTTAGTAGAGATAGGGTTTCACCATGTTGACTAGGATGGTCTCAAACTCCTGACCTCAGGTGATCCACCCACCTCAGCCTCCCAAAGTGCTGGGATTACAGCAGACAGTACTAGAAGCCAGGCTGTTTATTTCTTAGGTTTTACCTCCTGTACCCCGTTCATAGCTTCTGGGGAAATAAGGAATCAGGATTCATTCCAGATATTATCCCTTTCTCAGGTGTCCAGACTGATGCAAAATTTGGGGGCCAGTGCCTAAGGGAAGAGCTGGGCTGGGGAAGCTTTGGAAAGAGAAGTTGAGAGCAGCTGCAGTAAGAGGGAGGATGGTTAGCTTTCAGGAAGAACTTCCTGTTAAAAGTTACTAATACCAGCCGGGCACAGTGGCTCACGCCTGTAATCCCAGCGCTTTGGGAGGCGGGCAGATCATGAGGTCAGGAAGTTCGAGACCAGCCTGACCAACATGGTGAAACCCAGTCTCTACTAAAAATAAAAAAATTAGCCAGGTGTGGTGGCGCGCGCCTGTAATCCCAGCTACTCAGTAGGCTGAGGCAGGAGAACTGCTTGAACCCGGGAGGCAGAGGTTGCGGTGAGCCGAGATTACGCCACTGCACTCCAGCCTGGGCGACAGAGCAAGACTCCATCTCATTAAAAAAAAAAAAATTACTAATATCAGGGCCAGGCGTGGTAGCTCACGCCTGTAATCCTAGCACCTTGGGATTACAGTTGCCCAGGAGTTCGAAACCCGCCTGAGCAACATGGCAAAATCCCCTCTCTACTAAAAATATAAAAATTAGTCAGGCATGGTGGCACATGCCTGTAGTTCCAGCTACTTGGGAGGCTGAGGCGGGAGGATCACTTGAGCCCAGAAGGTCAAGGCTGCAATGAGCCGTGATGGCACCACTGCACTCCAGCCTGGGCAATGAGAGTGAGACCCTGCCTGAATGCCTGAATGGACGAATGTTACTAATACAGCTAAAGTCTGTTGCACATTCAGCGTGAGCCCCGCAGTGTTCTAAGTGTTTTCTGTGAATTGTGTCCTTTGATCCTCACAAGACGCTAGCGGGGAGGGACTGCTATTTTCCCCATTTTACAAATGAGAGAAATGAAGTGAGTGCTCAAAGAATCAGTACCAACAAATGGCGGGGGTGACGTGGGGAGCCCTGGCCGTCAGGCTCAGTGCCACAAATGGGGCCCCAGGAGCAGGGAAGCTGTGAGTGAGGCCCTCCCTGCTGTCTCCTCAGGTGACACCTCTGTCCTGGCGGGTGTGTACGGGCCGGCCGAGGTGAAGGTCAGCAAAGAGATTTTCAACAAGGCCACACTCGAAGTGATCCTGAGGCCGAAGATTGGGCTGCCTGGTAATTGGGCCCTGCTGAACCTCTGAGTGGTGCCCAGTTTGTCAAAATCACCCCCCCAGCTCCTCCCTACCAGCTGCCCCGAGTCTCCACTCCCCGCTTGGGTCTCCACTCAGCTGTTTCTGTCTTTAACTCTCCGCCTCTAATTAATAACTCATCTTCTGTTGCTTCTCTCTCTGCCTCTAATTTCTCCCTCCCTCTTTTCTCCCTCTCTCTGCCTCCACTCTCATTCATTCCATTAACCTGTTTTTCTTTTATTTATTTTTATTTATTTATTTTTTTTTTGGAGACAGTGTCTCGCTCTGTCACCCCGGCTGGAGTGCAGTGGCACGATCTCAGCTCACTGCAACCTCTGCCTCCCAGATTCAAGCAATTCCCCTGGCTCAGCCTCCCGAGTCGCTGGGATTACAGGCACGTGCCACCATGCCCACTAATTTTTTGTATTTTTTTAGTAGAGATGGGGTTTCACCATGTTGGCCAGGATGGTCTTGATCTCCTGACCTCAAGTGATCCGCCCGCCTCAGCCCCCCAAAGTGTTGGGATTACAGGCGCGAGCCACTGTGCCTGGACCATTAACCTGTTTTTCCACCCTTTTACCCTCATATCCCTCAGTCCCCACTGACTGGACCTGCTAGGGTGGGAGTGGGCGTGGGTAGCAGCACAGACATGGAACTCCCAGGTCTTCTTCCCTTGGATGGTTCCCTTGGTGGATGCTGGAGGTAGCAGGGGTCAGTGGATGGCAGTCAGGCCTTGCCTTCTTCCCACTGGAATCTTCCATCATCCCTGCAGGTAACTGCACCATCCCAGGCTGAGACCGTGAGCCCTTTCTGGGAATTTGGGTGAGGCGTATGGAGGAAGGTGAGTCAAATGAAGGGGAAGACCCTGAACCTCTCTTCAATTTCCCCAGGTGTTGCAGAGAAGAGCCGGGAGCGGCTGATCAGGAACACGTGCGAGGCGGTGGTGCTGGGCACGTTGCACCCCCGCACCTCCATCACCGTGGTGCTGCAGGTTGTCAGCGATGCCGGCTCTGTATCCTTTCTGCCAGGCCTCCTCCTCCAGGAAGTCTCCTGATTGCTTCCCTCCTGGCGGATACATATACCCTCACTGCTAGCCAGAAAGCCTTCAAACACTTGACAGGTACCAGCTCACTGAAGAAGGAGAGCAAACAGCCTGGGTGCTTACTTATGTGCCAGGCACTGTTCTGTGTGCCTTATGCACATTAACTCATGTAATATAGCACATGCCCTTATGATCCCCGTGGAAGTGGCAGAGCCAAGACTTAGACCCAGACCGTCTAGTTCTAGAGCCCACGGACCCTGGCAGATGAGTGTTCTTATGTTCGCATGTTTCAGGTGACAAAACTGAGGCCCAGAGAGGGGAAGGGGCTTGCCCAAGGTCACACAGCTGGAAGGCAGCACAGGCAGGACTCAAGCCCAGGCCAGTCTGACTCCAGAGCCTGTGCCAATCACTTCTTTTGTTTTTTGGGTTTTTTTGTTTGTTTTTGAGACAGGCTCTCACTCTGTCACCCAGGCTGGATGCAGTGGTGCAATGTCAGCTTACTGCAACCTCTACCTCCCGGGCTCAAGCGATTCCCATGCTTTAGCCTCCTGAATTACAGGTGGAATTACAGGTGCCTGCCACCACGCCAGGCTAATTTTTGTATTTTTAGTAGAGACGGGGTTTTGCTGTGTTGGCCAGGCTGGTCTCGAACTCCTGACCTCGAGTGATCAGTCCACCTTGGCCTCCCAAAGTGCTGGGGTTACAGGCATGAGCTACTGTGCCCGGCTGGCAATCACTTCTACTCGGCACCTCAGTGGATTTCAGGCCCTCAGTGCTGGGGGCGCCCTGAGCAGACAGCAGCTGAGTCAGGAGCGTGGCCTTGTAAGATCTCCATGTCTGAGGTGCGAGAGGTTGAGGTTGAGGACTAGAATTAGACACTGTAGAAGGCTTTACTGGAACGTGGCCCTGAACTGGACAGACATTTTATGGATGGGCAGAGAGAGAAGGTATTGTGACCCCATTTTACAGAAGTGGAAAGTGAAGCCCAGAGGAAGGCGTGGAGGATCAGCAGCAGAGCTGGAACCGGTTGACTAAAGCTGTGGTCTTTGTCTGGCTGCTAGGCCTGGAGAAGAAACACATTAGGAAACTGAGGCAGAGCCAGCTGACTCCCAACCTGTGCTCTCTTTCCACTGTGAGCTTCCTGCAGGCAGCAGCGAGGTGGCTCTTCCTCCATTGCCCTGCCAGCTCTGTCACCGGGGAGTGGCTGCTACCCAAGTTTCGGGCCTGGCTTTGCCAGTGCCTCCCCCTCGTGTCTTTGGAAGGTTTCTTCCCCTCTCTGACCCTATTTGCCAACAAATGTGTGGTACGTACTTCAGTACATACCTATTGAATATTATTATATTCCCCATCTAACAGATGAGGAGATTGAGACTCAAGGAGTAAGTCACTTGTTCAAGGTCACACAGCTGAGCAAAACTAGGTCTGGAACCCAGGGCTACTTGATCCCCGGACCACTTTTAACCACTCTGCCATACTGCCCTTCTGTGACCGATTAGTGATGTCTGCCATAGGCATCAGCCTGGTGGAGGGAGGCATGGATCTGCTCTGCTGGCCAGGCCTACAGTAGAAACTTCTTAGGCTGGGCGTGGTGGCTCATGCCTGTAATCCCAGCACTTTGGGAGGCCGAGGCAGGTGGATCACCTGAGGTCAGGAGTTTTCAGACCAGCCTGGCCAACATAGTGAAACCCCATCTCTACTAAAAATACAAAGATTAGCCGGGTGTGGTGGTGGGTGCCTGTAATCCCAGCTACTCAGGAGGCTGAGGCAGGAGAATTGCTTGAACCCAGGAGGTGGAGGTTGCAGTGAGCCGAGATCACACCATTGCACTCCAGCCTGGGCAACAAGAGCGAAACTCCATCTCCAAAAAAAAAAAAAAGAAACTTAACCATTTCCTGTGGTGCTCAGCTCCTGGCCTGTTGTCTGAATGCCGCCTGCATGGCATTGGTGGATGCAGGTGTGCCCATGCGGGCTCTCTTCTGTGGGGTCGCCTGCGCCCTGGACTCTGATGGGACCCTCGTGCTGGATCCTACATCCAAGCAAGAAAAGGTAGGTGTGAAGACCAGGGTGGCTGAAGGGCAGAGGCCAGACAGCTGCCCGTCCCTTCCTCCAGGCCTCGCTTCTCTACAGACAGTCGGCTCATGCCACCTCAATCCCACTTAGCAAGGGCTGCTCTAATCATCATGGTTCATTTAGCAGCAAGTGCTGGAAACCCAGCTCAGACTTGCTTAATTAGGAAGGAAATGTGGGGCCGGGAGCGGTGGCTCACGCCTGTAATCCCAGCACTTTGGGAGGCTGAGGTGGGTGGATCACCTGAGGTCGGGAGTTCGAGATCAGTCTGACCAACATGGAGAAACCCCATCTCTACTAAAAATACAAAATTAGCCAGGTGTGGTGGCGCACGCCTGTAATCCCAGCTACTCAGGAGGCTGAGGCAGGAGAATCGCTTGAACCCAGGACGCGGAGGTTGTGGTGAGCCGAGATCGCGCCATTGCACTCCAGCCTGGGCAATAAGAGTGAAACTCCATCTCAAAAAATATAAATAAATAAACTAGAAAGGAAATGTATGGCCAGGTGTGGTGGCTCACACCTGTAATGCCAGCACTTTGGGAGTCTGAGGCAGGCAGATCACCTGAGGCTGGGAGTTGAAGACCAGCCTGGCCAACATTGCAAAACCCTGTCTCTACTAAAAATACAAAGGTTAGCTAGGCATGGTGGCACACATCTGTAATCTCAGCTACTCAGGAGGCTGAGGCAGGAGAATCACTTAAACCTGGAGGGTGGAGGTTACAGTGAGCTGAGATCGCACCACTTCACTCCAGCCTGGATGAAAGAGTGAAACTCTCAAAAATAAAATAAAATAAAACCAGGACTTTAAACACCATCAGGATGTCCTTGCTTCACTTCTCGTCCCTGCCTTTCTCTGCACATCAGCTTCATTCTTTCTGGCCAGCACCTTTCCTGAGGCTGGGACTGACCCCTTAAGCTCCATTTCCATCCTAGGAGGCTCAAAAGCAAACGAGAAGAGAGTTTTCCTCATCGGCTCAGGTGCAGTGTCCTAAGCTCAAGTTATTCTGAGTTTTCTGCCCAGTGCTATAATGGTCCCCTCTAGTCAAGAAGACGGAAACCACTTGGAGGGTTTCAGATGGAGGGAGTTAAATGCAGGGACTTTGTAACAACAGTGTTGAGGAACTAGAGGAGGAAAAAGGAAGCAGGAGTGACACCCAGAGATGAGAAACCCCTCCCAGACCTGGACTGAACCTGCGAGCCACCTCCTGTTCTGTCGTGTTGGAGACATCATCTCAATTGGTTCTGGATGCACATAGCATGTCCTGCTTCTGCCCTGGCCACTGAGGTCCAGAACCCACCCCACCTCCATGGCTGTCACACAGCCACAGCCATCAGCACCTGCCATTGTCCATGAGGACCAGGGTGCTGCTTTTCTTCCATTCTCCCACCTCATTACTGATGGAAACTAGCTGGTAAGGGAGTCTGGGAAATACAGCTTGCTGGCTTCCAGCCCCTGTGGGACAGAGCATGGAAGGGGGACTGGGAGGCCGAGAGGTACCAGATAAGTGAGTGGCACTATGGCTAGCCCCTTGGGGCAGGAATACTGAGCTTGGAAGCCCCTGTCAGAACCACGTGGTTGGAATAAGGGGCATGGAGTACAGTTCTACAAAGGAAAGGCAGAGGGCTATACCCAGGGAAGTAGGGAAGGGGTAGCGTAGACAAAAAATGGCTGCGCTTGATGCTTGATAGGTGAGCGCCTGGCTATGGAAAGGGAGAGGCCTGGAGGCCAAGGGTCCGGAGTCCCCTCAGTGGGACTGGCTGCAAGTGTGTGGTGGGAAGGGGAGCGTTGAGACAGGGTCTCACTGTCGCCCATGCTGGAGTGTAGTACGATCACAGCTCACTGCAGCTTCAAACTCCTGGGCTCAAGCAGTCCTCCCACCTCTGCCTCCTGAGTAGCTGGGAACTCAGACATGCACCCCCACACCCAGCTACCTTTTTTTTTTTTTTTTTTCTGAGATGGGGTCTCCCTCTGTTGCCCAGATTGGTCTTGAGTTTCTGGCCTCAAGCAGTGCCCTGCCTTGGCCTCCCAAAGTGGTGAGATTATGGTCATGAGCCACTGTGCCTGGCCAAAGGACTGGCTGAGATTTTATCTGAGGGGAAGGTCCTAGGTCCCCCACCGCCTTCTACCCCTTGTCCCTAGGAGGCCCGGGCAGTCCTGACCTTTGCCCTGGACAGCGTGGAACGGAAGCTGCTGATGTCCAGCACCAAGGGGCTCTACTCAGACACTGAGGTACCAGCATGGGGATGAGGGGAAAAGCCAGAACCTTCCTTCCCACTGACATACGGTCTTGTCCCAACTCTGCCCTGGATTCTGAGAGGCTTCAGGAGAGCCTCTTAAATTTCTTCTTGTAAAAAGGGAGTTTTCAAACTTTGTGGACCCAGAAACCTTTGCGGAAATGTTTAAGGGAAGCCCAATTTATAACACAGGCAAAAAGAGGATGAGCTCAGTTTGAAGTCAGAAGAGGGCATGTGATGGTCCCCCAGCTCCCAGCTCAGAGTGGTGAGCCATGGGAATTCCAGGTCTCAGGCTAAGGGGCAGAGCCTGGAAACTCTTGGACATGACTGTCTGCAAAAGCATGTCCAACCTGGACCTCATGAATCTAGGAATACATGGCAGTGAAGACTGGGAGTCTCTTGATTCCATGGCTCTTAGATTATTTGGGCTGAAGGGGACTGTGGCTGTAAAATCCCAAGACCACTCCAATTCTGTGCACTCTCCAGTTCCATAGCTCTGCACAGCTGGGGCCTCCTCCAAGGTGTGAGGATGCCTGATAGGTCTGAGTCCTGTTGCTGTCAGAATCTGATCCTGAAGTCCTTCTCCCTCTTTTTATTTCTCCTGATCTCTAAGAAACAGTTCATGAAATGGGAAATAATCCCTTACCACTTGCCTCACTTGGGGGCAGGGGAGTGATGGGAGGTTAAGGGAGTCAGGTGGGGTCAGCAGAACCTCCTGGGTCAGCCAAGTCGTGTGTGCATGAAGGGCTCGGCCCCCAGCACCGACCAGTCTCTCCCCCGCAGCTCCAGCAGTGCCTGGCTGCGGCCCAGGCCGCTTCGCAACACGTCTTCCGTTTCTACCGGGAATCGCTGCAGAGGCGTTACTCCAAGAGCTGAGGCAAGCTGGGGCAAGGGGCCGCTCCCATTGCCTCCACCCACTCACCCCCTACAGCCTGAAGCAAACCAGCAGCCCAGCCTTGCCTCTCTGACCCATGGGCTCCTTGAGCCTGCAGCTCTGTAACCACAGGGCTCCTGTGGGGAGGCCTTGGCCTGTGACAGCCCCCAGGCCTGGGGGCACAGATCCCCCCAGCAAGGATAACATTCAAAGGAGCTCACATTTATGGAATGGATGAATCAATAAATTAATTCACTTTAACAAATGTCTGTTGAGCACCCATCGTGTGCAGGCCCTGCTAGTGAGATCCCAGAGGAGCAGGGAGGTAAACTGGAATTTGTCAGATGGTAGTAAATCTATGAAAAAGTAAAAAGCAGGGAACAGGAGTTTGGGAGAGTCCCTTTATGGAGGGCAAATTGAGTACATCAGGCATCAGTGCCTTCACAGAGCAGGGTACCTCAGAGGGGACCCTGAAAGAGGAAAGGGAGTGAGCTCTTGGATAATGTGGGGAAGGAGCCCCCAGGGGCTGGGGACCAGCTTGGTGAACAGGGTGGCCAAAGCCAGCGAGCTAGAGCAGGAGAGCAGATGGGGCTGGGGGAAACGGGCAAGCATGCAGGTGGGGCCTTGTAGGCCATGGGGAGGAAACTCTAAATACCCACCCACCAACCCTGTGAGATGGGGCTGTTGTTATAGTCCCTGTCTTGTTTTGTTTTGTTTTGTTTTGTTTTCTTTTGTTTTGAGACGGAATCTCGCTCTGTTGCCCAGGCTGGAGTGCAATGGGGTGATGCAACCTCCGCCTCCTGGGTTCCAATGATTCTCCTGCCTCAGCCTCCTGAGTAGCTGGGACTACAGGCACATGCCACCACACCCAGCTAATTTTTGTATTTTTAGTAGAGACGGGATTTCTCCATGTTGGTCAGGCTGGTCTCTTAACTCCTGACCTCAGGTGATCCGCCCACCTCTGCCTCCCAAAGTGCTGGGATTACAGGCGTGAGCCACCGCACCTGGCCTAATTGTTGTATTTTTAGTAGAGATGCGGTTTCACCATGTTGGCCAGGCTGGTCTGGAAATCCTGACCTCAGGTGATTCGCCTGCCTTGGCCACCCAAAGTGCTGGAATTACAGACTTGAGCCACTGTGCCCAGCCTAATTTTTGTATTTTTAGTAGAGATGGGGCAAAACCCTACCTGCAGTTGGAGGCAGTCCCATCCAAACCAAATGGCCTGCAATAGGGAAAGGGATGCATCCTTAAGGAAACATGGAGGTGTTGGCACCTGGACAGGGAAAACACATCTGTCACAAGCACTTAGCAGAGGCACATAGGAAGTGCTCACTAAGCACACTAAGAGGGGCTAGACATTATCAAGCAATAAAGACCAGGCTTGGTGGCTCACGCCTGTAATCCCAGCACTTTGGGAGGCTGAGGTGGGTGGATCACCTGACGTCAGGAGTTCGAGACCAACCTGACCAACATGGTGAAAACCTGTCTCTACTAAAAATACAAAAATCAGCCAGGCGCAGTGCTGCGCACCTGAAATCCCAGCTACTCAGGAGGCTGAGGCAGGAGAATCTCTTGAACCTGGAAGGCAGAGGCTGCAGTGAGTTGAGATTGCACCATTGCACTCCAGCCTGGCAACAGAGCGAGACTCCATCTCAAAAAAAAAAAAAAAAATACAAAAAATTAGCCAGGCATTGTGGCACACGCCTGTGGTCCCAGCTCCTTGGGAGGCTGAGGTGGGAGGATCACTTGAGCCTGGAAGGTCGAGGCTGCAGTGAACCAAGATCGGGCCACTGCACTCCAGTCTGGGTTGACAGAGGGAGATCCTATCTCAAAAAAAAGAAAAGAAAAGAAAAAAAAGCTCAGAGGGAGACAGCAACAGCAGACAGTCATTTCCACATATGATGCATTTAATCCTCACTACAGCCTGAGGTGTGCAGAAAGTCCCATTTTGCAGAGGAGAAAAAGTGAGAAGTCACTTGGGCCAAGCTTACACAGCTAACAGGTAGAGGAGTAAGGACTTGAAACTCAGCTCTCTCCAGTTCTCTGCTAACCACCCATATTGGGATGAGAACATCCTGCTGTTTAGAAACCACCAGGCATGGTCGCTCATGCCTGTAATCTCAGCTCTTTGGGAGACCGAGGCGGGAAGATCAGTTGAGCCCAGGAGTTTCAGACCAGCCTGGGCAATATAGTGATACCTTGTCTTTACAAAAAAATTTTTTTAATTAGCTGGGTGTGGTGGCAGGTGCCCGTAGTCCCGGCTACTTGGGAGGCTCCTGGGCTCAATCAGGATGATTGCTTGAGCCCAGGAGTTCAAGGCTGCAGTGAGCCATGATTGTGCCACAGCACTCCAGCATGGGCAACAGGGAGACCATCTCTCAAAAAACAAAAAAAACCCGAAAATCCTCTTCCCCCTTTTCCAGCTCAGGTCTCAGGGAGCAAGCACCCTGGGGATGCCCACCACAGCCCGTCACCCTGACCAGTCAGTCCCCTGTTGGTCTCAAGCACCCCCACCCCCTTCCATCCTCCCACACACGCGAACAGACTCTGGTTTGGCTGCAAGGGTGTCTGGTGTTTAATCTCAGGTTGCTGCCGCCCGAAGAGCGGTGGCCAGGAAGGGGAAGGGTTCCAGTCCAGCTCGCTCCCGTTTCTAGATGCTCCTGCCGCCGCCGCAGCCTCATCCACCAAGATTCTCCACTCTCTGCCCACAGATTTGCTGGGCTGCCGGCCTCAGGGTTCACAGTGAGGGCTGTAGGGGCAACTAGGGCGGGTCTCGGGAGGCAAGGTAGGCAGCCAGGGTCACCAGGGCAGCCGCATACGTGCACACGCCCAGCCCGACGGCGAGGACCCCCAGCAGGAAGGCACGGCGGGAGGCGGCCCCTGCCCCCTGGATGTCCCCCTTGGCCCAAGCCTTGTTGGTCTGTAGAGGCAGTGGGCAGCAGTGACCCAGGCATCCCCTCAGTCCCAGACCCTTCCCCTGGTCCCTCCCCCACCCAACATACCCATTCATTCATTCATGCATGTATTCCAAAAGCAGATACGTAGCACCTACTATAGGTCAGGCACTGGGGATGCTGAGTGGTTAATAAAAACATTAAAATGGTAAAAAATAATAATAATAATAAATTTTAAAAAATAAATAAAAACATTAAAATGGTATATGCCACTATTCTAACTCATTTGATTCTCACATTGACCCAGAGGTAGCAATTATTCCCACTTTACAGATGAGGAAAGTGAGGCACAGGGAAGTTAAGTGACTTGCCCAAAATCTTGCAGAGAGCTGGGCACCGTGGCTCACGCCTGTAATCCCAGCACTTTGGGAGGCCAAGATGGGAGGATCACTTGAGGTCAGGAGTTCGAGACCAGCGTGGCCAACGTGGTGAAACCCCGTCTTTATTAAAAATTCAAAAATTAGCCAGGCATGGTAGCGCGCGCCTCTAATCCCAGCTACTCAGGAGGCTGGGGCAGGAGAATCACTTGAACCCAAGAGGCAGAGATTGCAGTGAGCCGAGATTGTACCACTGCACTCCAGCCTGGGCGACAAAGTGAGACTCAAAAAAAATCTTGCAGAGAGTGGCAGACTCAGGATTTGAGTTCAGGTTCTCTGGGCTACCTTCCACCTTCCCGCCTCAGGTATATGGCTCTTTGTTTTTGTGGTGCATTTTTCTCTTTTATGCCCAGTCCCCTCCAAGTCCCACACACAGACTGACCTTCTGGGCTAGACAGAAGGCAGCGATGCCAACGGGCCAGAAACAACACAGCATGGAGAAGACAGCCAAGCCGAGGTGGTCGTGGGGTAGAAATGGTGAAAGACGGCTGCCTCCATCCCAGTCCGAGTCACTGTCACTGGATGACATGTCCTACGGACAGGAAAGTGCCCAGGTGGGCATCTCCATCCACCTTTCCTGCCCCATTGCTCTGCTCTCCATAGCCCTCAAAGGCCAATACCTGCCCCTAGGGCTTCCCCAGAGATACAAAGAGAAAAAAGTGTTCAGAGATGGGCTTTCGGTGTTTGTTTGAGACGGAGTTTTGCTCTGTCACCCAGGCTGGGGTACAATGGCACAGTCTCGGCTCACTGCCTCCCGGGTTCAAATGATTCTCCTGCCTCAGCTTCCCGAGTAGCTGGGATTACAGGCACACGCCATCACACCTGGCTAATTTTGTATTTTTAGTAGAGATGGGGTTTCACCATGTTGGCCAGGATGGTCTTGAACTCCTGACCTCAGGTGATCCACCCGTCTTGGCCTCCCAAAGTGCCAGGATTACAGGCATGAGCCACCACACCTGGCCAGAGATGGGCTTTTGACATTTGTATCCTGGAGCCCTTTGAAGGGAAGTTGTGGATCAGGTCTCCAGAGAAGAGCCCCACCCACACCCAGAGTTTTCAGTTCATTTTCAAGGGGTTGACGGATCCAATCATGGACGCTACAATTGCTTACAATCTCTGAGTGAAAAGCCCCCGCATGGCCGGGCGTGGTAGCTTGCACCTGTAATCCCAGCACTTTGGGAGACCGAGGTGGGTGGATCACCTGAGGTCGAGAGTTGGGAGACCAGCCTGGCCAACATGGTGAAACCTCATCTCCACTAAAAATACAAAAATTAGCCAGGCGTGGTGGTATGCCCCTGTAATCCCAGCTACTTAGGAGGTTGAGGCAGGAGAATCACTTGAACCCAGGATGTGGAGGTTGCAGTGAGCTGAGATCGAGCCACAGCACTCCAGCCTGGGCAATAGAGTGAGACTCCATCTCAAAAAAAGAAAAGCCCCTGAGCAGGGACAAACACCACTGAAACAAGGAACCTGCAAAAAGATGGAGATTATTGGCCGGGCACAGTGGCTCACACCTGTCATCCCAACACTTAGGGAGGCCAAGGCGGGAGGATCATTTGAAGCCAGGAGTTTGAGACCAGCCTGGGCAATACAGCAAGACCCCATCTCTACAAAAAAAAATTTAAAATTAGCTAGGCATGGGCCAGGCTCAGTGGCTCACGCCTGTAAGCCCAGCACTTTGGGAGGCCAAGGCAGGCGGATCATGAGGTCAGGAGATCGAGACCGTCCTGGCTAACACAGTGAAACCTCGTCTCTACTAAAAATACAAAAACAAAATTAGCCGGGTGTGGTGGCACACACCTGTAGTCCCAGCTACTCTGGAGGCTGAGGCAGAAGAATGGCATGAACCCGGGAGGCAGAGCTTGCAGTGAGCCGAGATTGCGCTACTGCCCTCCAGCCTGGGCGACAGAGTGAGACTCCATCTCAAAAAAAAAAAAAAAAAAAATTAGCTAGGCATGGTGTCTTGTGCCTGTAGTCTCAGCTACTTTGGGAGGCTGAGGCAGGAGGATGGCTTGAGCCCAGCAGTTTGAGACTCCAGTGAGCTATGATCACATGTCTGCCCCCCAGCCTGAGCAACGGAGCAAGAAGACCCTGTCACTAATAAATAAATAAATAAAAGATGGAGATTATAAAATGCTCCAGTGGCCTAAATGATTAGGGCAAACCTGCCTGCTGAAAACTCTAGAGTTTAGATTTTTAAGCTTTTTTTTTTTTTTTTTTTTTTTTTGAGACAGAGTCTTGCCCAGGCTGGAGGGCAGTGGCTCAATCTCAGCTCACTGCAACCTCCATCTCCCAAGTTCAAGCAATTCTCCTGCCTCAGCCTCCCAAAAGCGGGGATTACAGGCACCCACCACCACGGCCAGCTAATTTTTTTTTTTTTTTTTTTTTTTGAGACAGAGTTTCACTCTGTTGCCCAGGCTGGAGTGCAATGGCGTGATCTCGGCTCACTGCAACCTCCGCCTCCCAGGTTTAAGTGATTCTCCTGCCTCAGCCTCCCGAATAGCTGGGATTACAGGTGTGCACCACTACACCTGGCTAATTTTTGTATTTTTTCTTTAGTAGAAACTGGGTTTCACCATGTTGGCCAGGCTGGTCTCGAACTCCTGACCTCGTGATCCGCCCGTCTCAGCCTCCCAAAGTGCTGGGATTACAGGCGTGAGCCACCGCGCCTGGCCTAATTTTTGTATTTTTAGTAGAGACGGGCTTTCCCTACATTGGTCAGGCTGGTCTTGAACTCCTGACCTCAAGCAATTAACTTGTCTTGGCCTCCCAAAGTGCTGGGATTACAGGCATGAGCCACAGCGCCCGGCCCCACATGCTTTTCTTACCATGTGACTTTGATATCCTTCCCATCAAGGGATGAGTTCTGTGTCCCCTCCCCTTGAATTTGAGCAGGCTCATGACTCACTTGTAATTAATAGAATGTGGTGGAAGTCATGTTACGTGACTTCCAAAGCGAAATCAGAAAAGGTGAGGCAGCTTCTGCTTTGCTGCAATATTCATGCTGTAGGCTGGAGGTACATAAGCTGCCTGACTGCCCTGAAGCCGTTATGCTGTAAGGAATCCCAAGGCAGCAAACATGGAGAGACCACATAGAAGCCCTAAGACTCGGCTGGGCACGGTGGCTCACGCCTGTAATCTGGCACTCTGGGAGGCTGAGGTGGGTGGATCACCTGAGGTCAGGAGTTTGAGACCAACCTGACCAACATAGTGAAACCCTGTCTCTACTAAAAATACAAAATTAGCTGGGCATGGTGACACATGCCTGTAAATCCAGCTACTCAGGAGGCTGAGGCAGGGGAATTTGCTTGAACCCAGGAGGCGGAGGTTGCAGTGAGCTGAGATTGCACCATTGTACTCCAGCCTGGGCAACAAGGGTGAAACTCCATCTCAAAAAAAAAAAAAAAAAAAAAAAGGAAGCCCTAAGACACCATGAAGAGAGAGAAAAGTGCCCAGCCAGCCCCTGACTGTTCTAGTTCCACCCACCAGCTGAATGCAACCTCAAGAAAGATCCAGAGGCAGAACCATGCAACTAAGTCCCAAATTCCTGACCAACAGAAACCGTAAGAGTTCATCATGATTGTTGCCTGCCTGCCTTCCTTTCTTTCTGCTTTCTCCTTCCTTCCTTCCCTCCTTCCTTTCCTTGTTTCCTTCATTCCTTCTTTCTTCCTTCCTTCTTTCTCTCTTTCTCTCTCTCTTTTCTTTCTTTCCTTCCTCCCTCCCTCCCTCTCTCTTTCTCTCTCTCTCTCTCTCCCCCCTCTCCCTCTCTTTTTCTTTCTTTCTGTCTGTCTTGCTCTGTTGTCCAGGCTGGAGTAAGGTGGTATGATCACAGCTCATTGCAGCCTGGGCTCAAGCGATCCTCCCACCTCAGCCTCCCAAGTAGCTGGTACTACAGGAACACGCCATCACACCTGGCTAATTTTTTTTTTTTTTTTTAAGATGGGGTCTTTCTAATTTTCGGAGGACAAAATGAAAAATTAAATAAAAATAAAGATGGAGTCTCACTAAGTTGCCCAGGCTAGCCTAGAACTCCTGGGCGAGGCAGTCCTCCTGCCTCGCCTTCTCAAAGTGCTGGGATTACCAGTGTGAGCCACTGTGCCTGGCCTGGAATGAGAAATTATAAAAAGTGACAACAGTAACTTAAAAAAAAAAAAAAAAAAAAAAAAGGAAGGCTGGGCATGGTGGCTCACACCTTTAATCCTAGCACTTTGGGAGGCCAAGACAGGCAGATTGCTTGAGCTCAGGAGTTTGAGACCAGCCTGGGCAACATGACAAAACCTCTTCTCTACAAAAAACACCAAAAAATTAGCCAGGCATGGTGGCACATGCCTGTGGTCCCAGCTACTCAGGAGGCTGAGGTGGGAGGATTGCTTAAGCCCGGGAGGTCAAGGTTGCAGTAAACTATGATCGCTCCACTGCACTCCAGCCTGGGCAACAGAGCGAGACCCTGTCTCTCTCTCTCTCTCTCTCTCTCTCTCTCACACACACACACAAAGAGGGAGACAGCAGGGTGGACAAAAGCCAGAGGTGCATGCACTCTGAAGACACCAACCAGCGGAGTCTGAGATCAGAGGGAAGACAGAGCCAAAAGCCAGGCAACAAAGATGAGAGACATAAAACAAGAAGAACCGTAACTGGAAATCTCAGAAGCCCACACACAGCTGGGAAGTGAGACTCCAGGCCTAAGGCAGATCGGCACAGCTGTCAACCTGCCAGATGCTGGCCTTAGTGGGGCTCACCCCAGCCCCCTCCCGTGCCTTCCACTAAGGCCTGCTGTTTCCTACCTCAACATCAGGGGGCCTTGGTTCCCCCAGGCCAGCGCTCACGGAGGGAAGAGGCGGTGACAGGAACTGCAAACCCCTCAGGGACTCGGCAAAGGCTATCTCTCTTAAGGGGGACCCCAGCTCATGCCTGCCAGGCTTCTGGGCAGGGGTCTCACATTCTGTGCCCTCCAGCAGAGGCTGTTGAAGCTCACGAAGACTAGGGCTGTCCATGGCTTTGGGGAAACTCCAGGAGGGGTTTCCTAGGGGTAGGGGGAAGAAAAAGACAAGTTGTAAAAGTCTCACTTCACTCAACCTCTGACCCCTTGCTTTAGAGAGACTCAGGCAGAGACTAGTTAGTGCAGTGGTCCTCAGACCCATTTTACAGATACAGAAGCTGAGGCCCAGAGAGAAAAAAAGATTGGCCTCAGGTTATGAAGAGAACTCAGGGGTCTGGACATTCAATTTTGGGCATTTCTCTCTCTCTCTCTTTTTTTTTTTTTTTTTTGAGACAAAGTCTCCATCTGTTGCCCAGGCAGATCCACCACTGCAGATCCGCTAGAGTGCAGTGGCATGATCTCAGCACACTGCAGCCTCCACCTCCCGGGTTCAAACCATTCTGCCTCAGCCTCCCGAGTAGCTGGGATTACAGGCGCCCACCACCATGCCCGGCTAATTTTTTTTTTTGTATTTTTAGTAAAGATAGGGTTTCACTGTGTTAACCAGGCTGGTCCCGAACTCCTGACCTTAGGGGATCCACCAGCCTTGGCCTCCCAAAGTGCTGGGATTACAGGCGTGAGCCACCGCACCCAGCCAAATTCTGGGCATTTCTCTCAGGCAAAAGCCACATACCCATCACACTTACCCCAATAAGTTGCAGCACCTGTTGCACCATGCCTTACACACTTACCTGCCCCACAAACACCCCCAATATCCATCCCAGGTTCATACCGCGTGACCACCTATCCAGGCCCAGGCACCCCTCCCAGTCACACACACACCCATCCCCTACCCCCAGTGCTGCCTGGAACTGCACTCTAGTCTACATTCCCCATCCTCTGTCCCCTAGACCTGCCCCCCGAAGTCCCCTGCCACACAGCCCCATCTAGGCAAGCCCAGCCTCCACCTCCACACATTCATCTCCCAAAGGACTCCTTGAATATTTGCCCCAAAACATCAGCTCCCAGAAAACACCCCTTTCAGGTCCCCAACCTTCTTACACATTTATCCCAATTGACTCCGTGCACAACCCTACTCCCCACTGCATCACAAACCACAGACACCTGTGCACACACGCACACATGCACCCCGGCACTCTCTCCTATTCTCATGACCTCTGGCATGCCTGCCCCACTCATCAGGCCCAGGCACCCCTGCCCTACTCCACCCACACACCTATGACTCCACACAACTCCCACACATGCACCAGCTCTCCAGAATCCTTTGCACACCTCGCCCCCATAAACACCCTCAACCCCAGCACACACATACACGTACACACGCAACACAACCAGAAAGAATATTCTTCTTCTCGTCCTACGATCCCCCTGGAAGGTCCCCAAGCCTCCTGCCTGCTCATTCCAAACCTTGACTGAGCCGATTTCCTCGCCAAAGCTTTGCCCTCTCATCCCCAACTCCAGGACCCAGGGAAGGGACTGTGACCCCCACCCACCTACGTCCCTCACTCACCGCTCACGATCACAGGCCGGGGCTTCCTGAACCCTCGCAATGACACTTGCCCGGACCCTGCCACCGAGGATCCAAGGGGCGCTGGGACCTTGCGCTTTGCTCTACGCGGGTCTCAGCGCCCCGGGCCCGCTGCGCGCGGGGGCGGGGACGGGGCGGGGCGACGGCTTCCCAGGCTCTGTCCCTCCGCGGCGTCCGGCGAGGGATCCCTGAAAGCCGACGTCAGCGTCCAGGAACGGGTTCCTACGACTCCCGGGGGTCTGGGAGCAGGCGGGAATCCTTGGAGAACTGCAGCCCCTTCCTCGTGAGCCCAGGCCCAAGCTCTGCCGGAGGAGGGGGCACCCCGGATTCTCCAGGGCCTTCCTGGCTTGGCCCCGCCTCCCTTCCCCTTTGCGCAATAATAGCCAATAATAATAACAGCAACAAGGACCGTGCGCCCTGTTCTAAGTGCTTTGCAAATAAACTTACATACACATGTATTCCTCAGCACAACCCTAAGAGGCATAATCGTTTATTGTCCTGTTTCACGCGGGAGGAAACTGGCAAGCCGAGGTTAGGTAAATTGCCTAGGGGTACATCATTGGTTCATTGAGGGCAGACTGTACCCAAGCCCTGTGTTAAACGCTTTACATTCATCATCGCATTCATTCTTCCTCTCAGCTCCGGGTTTTTCTTGTTGTTGTTGTTGTTGTCGCTGCTATTTTACTTTGGTTTTTTTGTTTGTTTTGTTTTGTTTTTGAGACGGAGTCTTGCTCTGTCGCCCAGGCTAGAGTGCAGTGGAGTGATCTCGGCTCACCGCAACCTCCGCTTCCCGGGTTCAAGCGATTCTCCTGCCTCAGCCTCCCGAGTAGCTGGGATTACAGGGGCAAGCCACCACGCCCAGCTAATTTTTGTATTTTTAGTAGATGAGATTTCGCTGTGTTGGTCAGGTTGGTCTTGAACTCCTGACCTCAGGTGATCTGCCCGCCTCAGCCTCCCAAAGTGTTAGGATTACAGGCGTGAGCCACCGCGCCCGGCAGATTTTTTTTTTATTATTATTTTTTAAAAGACGGGGTCTTGCTCTGATCGCCCAGGCTGGAAGGCAGTGGCGCAATCATTGCTCGCTTCAGCCTCAGACTCCTGGGTTCACTGCAGCCTCGGCCTCCCAAAGCGGTGGGATTACAGGTGTGAGTCACCGCGCCTGGCCTATTTTGTTTTGGGGTGTTTTTTTGCGGAGGAGTGCTGAAGGGGTGTTGGCTTGTTTTTAATCCCTGTTTTGCAGATAAAGAAACGGGCTCACGGGCCGGGCGCAGTGGCTCACGCCTGTAATCCCAACACTTTGGGAGGCCGAGGCGGGCGGATCACGAGGTCAGGAGATCCAGACCATCCTGGCTGACACGGTGAAACCCTGTCTCTACTAAAAATACAAAAAATTAGCCGGGCTTGGTGGCGGGCGCTTGTAGTCCCAGCTACTTGGGAGGCTGAGGCAGGAGAATGGCGTGGACCCGGGAGGCGGAGCTTGCAGTGAGCCGAGATCGCGCCACTGCACTCCAGCCTGGGAAACAGCAAGACTCCGTCTCAAAAAAAAAAAAAAAAAAAAAAAAAGAAAAGAAAATAAACGGGCTCACTTGCATGCTCACTTGGCCACAGTAAACAGCTGGTACCAAGCCCAGCATATTGTAACCCCGGGCTGTGTTCCTGTGGCCCTTGCTAAGCCAATGGGTGAGGAGGAAGCAGAGGCAGGTGGGTTAGGAGTTTCTAGGGAAAGAAGGCTGAGGAGTGGGGTCCAGTAGGGGGTGATGCTCTGATTGTCACGTGGTACAGTGATGTTCATGAGTCAGCATTTGGACCCACATAGACCTGGTTTCCTTTCCAGGCTCTTTGTTTGTTTGTTTGAGATGGAGTTTCACTCTTGTTGCCCAGGCTGGAGGGCAATGGCGTGATCTCGGCTCACCGCAACCTCCGCCTCCCAGGTTCAAGCGATTCTCCTGCCTCAGCCTCCCGAGTAGTTAGGATTACAGGAATGCGCCATCACACCTGGCTAATTTTGTATTTTTGGTAGAGATGGGGTTTCTCCATATGAGTCAGGCTGGTCTTGAACTCCCGACCTCAGGTGACCCACCCGCCTCAGCCTCCCAAAGTGCTGGGATTACAGGTGTGAGCCACCATTCCTGGCCCCTTTCCAGGCTCTTTAAGTCACTGAGTGTGTGGCCTCTAGACAATGCCTTCACCTCTCTGAACCCCTATTTCTTCACCTACAAAATGGGGATAATGCTCCTTGCCTCTTATGTGATAACATATGTAGAGTACTTAGAGTTGCTGCAACAACAAATGTCCAACATTGGGAGCCTCTCTGAACCTATTTTGGTTTAGGTGCTGCCTAGGAAATAGAAAAATAAAAAATAAAAAGAACAGATATCCAACATTTATCCAAAGCCTGGCAAAGAAAGCACTCTGAACACATTTGATGGTGTTTATTAATATTATTATTTACATCCATCTCCATCGGACTGATTACAAGACTATCATCGTCTTGCAAGCTTCCACCTCCTTCATGGAGCCTTGTATAGGCCTCCCTTCCCAGAAGCCCTCCGTCTCACCAGACTGGAGGATTCCCTGGCCTTTGTGGGGCCGGAGTTCCCTCGCTCCAGGGCTCCAGGGCTCCTTGCCAAGAGTCCAGATGCTGGCGCTGGCACCGGCCCCACTCCCAGGGAGAACAGATGGCGTCTGCAAGTGCACTTGGCTCAGCCAGTTTCTGGCAGACGACAGAAGCAGGGAGACCCACGGGAGGGTAGACGAGAGCGTGAGGGGGCAGGATTGTTTTACTCAGGAGGGATGCCCTGTTACTTTCTATCTCAACCTTGCTCTCATTCTTTTCATATTTCTATGAAGCATACTGTAGGCCAGGTGCGGTGGCCCACGCCTGTAATCCCAGCCCTTTGGGAGGCCGAGGAGGGAGGACTGCTTGAGCCTAGGAGTTCGAAACCAGCCTGGGCGACATAGCAAAACCCCAGTCAGCAAGGCTGGAGTGCAGTGGCACGATCTCAGGTCACTGCAACCTCCATCTCCTGGGTTCAAGCCATTCTCCCACCTCAGCCTCCCAAGTAGCTGGGATTATAGGAACCTGCCACCATGCCCAGCTAATTTTTGTACTTTTAGTAGAGACGGAGTTTCACCATGTTGCCCAGGCTGGTCTCAAACTCCTGACCTCAAGTGATCTGCCCGCCTTGGCCTCCCAAAGTGCTGGGATTATAGGCGTGAGCCACTGCACCCGGCCTTAAACATACCATGTATTTTTCTTGTTTGTAGTTTGAATCCTCCCACATCAGTGTCGGCACAACAAGGGCTGAGATTTGATCTCGTTTTTTCACTACTGTGCCTCACGGCCTAAAACAGTGCCTGGCACAAAGTGGGTCTTTATTACATATGTGTGGGATGGGGGCATAAATTCCCATCAGCCTCCAGCCTCAGTTTTTCACCAAATCATTGAGCTCTGTGGGTCCCCTCATCCCTCTAGGCCATCCTAGAGATTAATTCACTTCCAGTGAGAGCTCTCTGGCTGCCGTTAGCCTTGTACAGTCTAAGAGGCTACACCTCTTAGTGTTTGTGACAGGTCTGGAATATTAAACATGAGATTCCAGCTGGGTACGGTGGCTCAAGCCTGTAATCCCAGCACTTTGGGAGGCCAAGGTGGGAGGATTACTTAAACCCAAAAGTTCAAGACCAGCCAGGGCAACAAAGTGAAATTTTGTCTCTACAAAAAATAAACAAAATCAGCTGGGTGTGGTGATGCATGTCTGTGGTCCAAGCTACTCGGGAAACTGAGATAGGAGGATTGGTTTAGCCCAGGAGGTGGAGGTTGCAGTGAGCCATGATTGTGCCACTGCAGTCCAGCCTGGGCAACAAAGTGAAACCCAGTCTCAAAAACAAAAACAAAAACAAAAACAAAAGATCACGAGATTCCAGCAAGGATTGTCAACAGAGACTGAAACTATTAAGTTATTGGGTGAAAATCTGATTTGATAAAGAACAGGATATTTATTTAGTCTCAAAGTAGCTTCCCCTAGATTACTTATTATAACAAAAAAAAATTAATGGAGAAAATTGGCAAACATCACGTTAACCAGATGATACAAGTTAATATCACCATTAACAGGACAAATTGACCTTAGTTGCCTCTGGTCTGAAGCAAAGAGGGAGACACATACCATTTCTTTGGTTTTCCTGCCAAAATGCATAACTTAAATCTAATAATAAGAAACATGAGACAAAGCCAAAATGAGGGACACTCTACAAAGGAGGTCGCCTATAACCTTCAAAACATCAATGTTATGAAAAAACAAAGTAATAATAATAAATAACAATAAAATAAAGTGCTGGCCAGGTACAGTGGCTCATGCCTGTAATCCCAGCACTGTAATCCCATGCCTGTAATCCCAGAGGCTGAAGCAGGAGGATTGCCTGAGCCCAGGAGTTCCAGGCCAGCCTGGGCAACACAGTAAGACCCCCATCTCTCCCAAAACTTTTTTTTTTTAAAGGAAGTCTCACTCTGTTGCCCAGACTGGAGTGCAGTGGCGCAATGTCAGCTCACTGCAAATTCTGCCTCCCAGGTTCAAGTGATTCTCCTACCTCAGCCTCCGAGTAGCTGGGATTACAGGCACGCACAACCATGCCCAGCTAATTTTTATATTTTTAGTAGACACAGGTTTTCACCCTGTTGCCCAGGCTGGTCTCGAACTCCTACCCTCAAGTGATCCCCACCCCCGCCCCCTACTGCCTCAGCCTCCCAAAGTGCTGTGATTACAGGCGGGAGCCACTGAGACCACCCTCTCTCTCCAAAACTTAAAAAAAAATTAGCCGAGCACGGTGGCACACACCTGTAGTCCTAGCTACTTGGGAGGCTGAGGTGGGAGGATCACTTGAGTCCAGGAGTGGCTGTGATAGCCACTGCACTATAGTCTGAGTGACAGAGCAAGACTCCAAGTCAAAAAAAGGGGGGTCAGGAAGGAAAAAAATCCTGTTGCATGCTATGACCTGGATGACCCTTGAGGACACTATGCTAAGTGAAATAATCCTGTCATAAGAGGACAAATACTGTAGGATTCCACTTACATGACGTACTTAGAGTAGTCACATTCACAGAGACAGAAAATAAGATAGTGGCCGGGTGCAGTGGCTCATACGTGTGATCTCAGCACTTTGGGAGGCTGAGGCAGGCCGATCACGAGGTCAAGAGATCGAGATCATCCTGGCCAACATGGTGAAACCCCATCTCTACTAAAAATACAAAAACTAGCTGGACTTGGTGGTGTGCGCCTGTAGTCCCAGCTACTCGGGAGGCTGAGGCAGGAGAATCACTGGAACCCAGGAGGTGGAGGTTGCAGTGAGCCAAGATTGTGCCACTGCACTCCAGCCTGGAGACAGAGCAACAGAAAGAAAGAAAGAGAGAGAGAAAGAGAGAGAGAGAAAGGAGGGAGGGAGGGAGGAAGGAAAGAAGGAAGGAAGGAAAGAAGGAAGGAAGGAAGGAAGGAAGGAAGGAAGGAAGGAAGGAAGGAAGGAAGGAAGGAGAGGATAGTGGGCCAGGCATGGTGGTTCACACCTGTAATCCCAGTACTTTGGGAGGCCAAGGCGGGCAGATCACCTGAGGTCAGGAGTTCGAAATCAGCCTGGCCAACATGGCAAAACTCCGTCTCTACTAAAAATACAAAAGTCAGCCGGGCATGATGGTGCATGCCTGTAATCCCAGCTACTCGGGAGGCTGAGGCACAATAATTGCTTGAACCTGGGAGGCAGAGGTTGTGGTGAGCTGAGATCTCACCAGAACACTCCAGCCTGGGTGACAGAGCGAGACCCTGTCTCAAAAAAAATAAAAAACAGGCCAGACACGGTAGCTCACGCCTGTAATCCCAGCACTTTAGGAGGCCGAGGCGGGCTGATCACCTGAGGTCAGGAGTTCGAGTACATCCTGGCCAACATGGTGAAACCCTGTCTCTACTAAAAATACAAAAATTAGCCAGGCGTGGTGACACATGCCTGTAATCCCAGCTACTTGGGAGGCTGAGGCAGGAGAATCCCTTGAAGCCAGGAGGCAGAGGTTACAGTGAACAGAGATCACGTTGCTACACCACAGCCTAGGCAACACAATGAGACTTCCTCTCAAAAAAATAAATAGGTGGCCAGGCACGGTGGCTCACGCTTGTAATCCCAGCACTTTGGGAGGCCGAGGCGGGTGGATCACAAGGTCAGGAGTTCGAGACCAGCGTGGCCAATATGGTGAAACCCCGTCTCTACTAAAAATACAAAAATTAGCTGGACAAGGTGGCACACGCCTGTAGTCCCAGCTGCTCAGGAGGCTGAAGCAGGAGAATCGGTTAAACCCGGAAGGCGGAGGTTGCAGTGAGCTGACACGGTGCCACTGCACTCCAGCCTGGGCAACAGAGCAAGACTCTGTCTCAAATAAATAAATAAATAAATAAATAAATAAAATAAAAATAAATAAATAGGTGGGGCACAGTGGCTCACGCCTATAATCCTAGCACTTTGAGAGGCCGAAGCAGGCAGATCACCTGAGGTCAGGAGTTCGAGACCAGTCTGACCAACATGGAGAAACCCCGTCTCTACTAAAAATACAAAATTAGCCAGGCATGGTGGTGCATGCCTGTAATACCAGTTACTCGGGAGGCTGAGGTGGGAGAATCACTTGAACCTGGGAGGCAGAGGTTGCGTTGAGCTGAGATCATGCCATTGCACTCCAGCATGGGCAGCAAGAGTGAAACTCCATCTCAAAAAATAAATAAATAAATAAAGTAAAATAAATACATTGAAAGAAAATAGGATGGTGATTACCAGGAGCTGCAGAAGAGGGGGGAATAGGGGAGTTGTTTTGTTTCAAAAATGTGTTTACTTTGCAAAAATTTTAGTTTTGCAACATGAAAATGGTTGTGGAGATTGGTTGCACAATGTAAATGTACTTAACACTATTGAACAATACAGTTTTAAACAGTTAAGATGGTAAATGTGTATTTTACCACAATTAAAAGGCTTATTTATTTATTTTTATTTATTTATTTTGAGACAGAGTCTCGCTCTGTCACCCAGGCTGGAGTGCAATGGTGCAATCTCGGCTCACTGCAACCTCCACCTCCTGGGTTCAAGTGATTCTCGTGCCTCAGCCTCCCGAGTAGCTGGGACTACAGGCGCTCGCCACCACGTTCAGCTGATTTTTTTTGTAGTTTTAGGAGGGATGGGGTTTCACCATGTTGGCCAGGCTTGTCTCGAACTCCTGACCTCAAGTGATCTGCCTGCCTCGGCCTCCCAAAGTGCTGGGAATCCAGGCATGAGCCACTGCACCGGGCCTTTTTTTTTTTTTTTTAGAGGTGCAGTCTTACTTTGTTGCCCAGGCTGGAGTGCAGGGTGCCATCATAGCTCACTGCAGCCTGGACTTCCTGCACTCAAGGCATCCTCCGGCTTCAGCCTCCAAAGTAGCCGGGATGGCCAGGCGCGGCCATACATGGCAAAACCCCATCTCTACTAATTAGCTGGGCGTGGCGGCAGGTGCCTTCAATCCCAGCTACTTGGGAGGCTGAGGCAGGAGAATCACTTGAACCCAGGAGGCAGAGGTTGTGGTGAGGAGAGATCACACCATTGCACTCCAGCCTGGGCAACAAGAGTGAAACTCTGTCTCAAAACAACAACAACAACAAAAATGAAGTAGCCGGGACCGCCGGCTGTGTGCCATACTTGGCTTAAAAGCATTTTGTTTTTGAGACAGGGTCTCACTCAGTTGCCCAGGCTGGAGTGCAGTGGCACAATCACAGCTCACTGTAGCCTCCAACTCTCAACCTAAGCGATCCTCCCACCTCCGCCACCAGAGTAGCTGGGACTACAGGGGCATGCCACCACACCCAGCTAATTTTTTGTATTTTTTGTAGTGATGGGGTTTCATCATGTTGTCCAGGCTGCTCTCAAACTCCTGGATTCAAGCAATCTGCCCGCCTTGGCCTCACAAAGTGCTGGGATTACAGGTGTGAGCCACTGTGCCCAGCCCCATATTCTATTGGTTAGAAGCAAATTACAAAAACTAGCCATACTGAAGGGAAGGAGAATTAGGCTCCACTTACTGAAAGGGGGCTGCCCAAGCATTTGTGGATATATTTTAAAACAGCTTCAGGCCGGGCACAGTGGCTCACACCTGTAATCCCAGCACTTTGGGAGGCTGAGTCAGGTGGATCACTTGAGGTCAGGAGTTCAAGACCAGCCTGGCCAACATGGTGAAACCCCGTCTCTACTAAAAATACAAAAATTACCCGGGTGTGGTGGCACATGCCTGTAATCCCAGCTACTTGGGAGGCTGAGGCAGGAGAATTGCTTGAGCCTGGGAGGCAGAAGTTGCTGTGAGCCCTGGCCCACAGAACGAGACTCTGTCTCAAAAAAACCCAATAACCACCCCCCCCAAAAAAAAGGTGACAGGTTTTCACTCTGTCACCCAGGCTGAAGTACCTTGGCATGATCACAGCTCACTGCAGCCTCAAACTCCTGGGCTCAAGGGATCCTCCTGCCTCAGCCTCCTAAGTAGATGGGACTGCAGACATGTGTCACCATGCCCTGCTATTTTTTTTTTAAACGTTTTCGTAGAAATGAGGGTCTCACTACGTTGCCTAGTCTGGTCCAGAACTCCTGGCCTCAAGTGATCCTGTTGCTGTGGCCTCTCAATGTGCTGGGATTACAGACAGCCATGAACCACCAGGCCTGGCCAACTTTCGATAATGTGGTTAGATAATTCAAACTTAAAGCTGTTGGAACTTTAAATTATTCCAAGCCTTGAGAGGAATGTTGCTATGTAGCCTGAGTCACGTAGCATGCAGTTACAACTTCTGCTTTTTCCTGTAAATGATTAAGAATGACCAAGCAGTGCCAGAGATAAGATCACCTCAGAACATTACTCCTAGGCCGGGTGTTGTGGCCTCACATCTGTAACCCCAGCACTTTGGGAGGCAGAGGTGGATCACTTGAGCCCAGGAGTTTGAGACAAGCCTGGGCAACAGAGTGAGACCATGTCTCTACAGAAAAAATTATTGAAAAATTAGCTGGGCATGGTGGCACACGCCTGTAGTCCCAGCTACTGGGGAGGCTTAGGCAGGAGGCTTGAGCCTGGGCGTTCGAGGCTGCAGTGAGCTGTGATTGTGCCACTGCACTCCAGCCTGGGTAACAGAGCAAGATCTGTTTGTTGTTGTTTTGTTTTGTTTTTGAGACTTTGTCTCACTCTTGTCCCCCAGGATGGAGTGCAATGGCACGATCTCAGATCACTGCAACCTCCGCCTCCCAGGTTCAAGTGATTCTCCTGCCTCAGCCTCCCGAGTACTTGGGATTACAGGCGCCCGCCGCCATGCCCAGCTAATTTTTGTATTTTTAGTAGACACGAGGTTTCATCATGTTGGCCAGGCTGGTCTTGAACCCCTGACCTCGTGATTTGCCCGCCTCAACCTCCCAAAGTGCTGGGATTACAGGCGTGAGCCACCGCGCCCAGCCCCAGAGCAAGATCTTATCTCAAGAAAAAAGAAAGGAGAAAGAAAGAAAGAAAGAGTACTCCTCCTCCTATCAGAATGTTAACGCAATCTTCCCTGCAGCATAGCAAGATGTACTAATGAAACTGTTGTAACATATGTACTGGTCCTGTAGCCTGGAATAAACTCTATAGTTAATCATATTTTCCTTTCTTTTCTTTTTTTTCTTTTTTGAGAGTAGAAGTCTGGCTCTGTCGCCCAGGCTGAAGTGCGGTGGCGTGATCTCGGCTCACTGCAACTGCTGCCTCCCAGGTTCAAGTGATGCTCCTGCCTCAGCTTCCCAAATAGCTGACACCACAGGCATGTGCCACCACACCCATCTAGTTTTGGTATTTTTTAGTAGAGACAGGGTTTCGCTATATGTTGGCCAGGCTGGTCTCGAACTCCTGACCTCAGGGTATCCACTCTCCTTGGCCTCCCAAAGTGCTGGGATTACGGGCATGAACCACCGAATCCGGCCTCAATCATATTTTCTGAATCTCATTATTTATAGTTGACGATAATTTATTTTCTTTTATTTAACATGTATACATGGGAGCCTTCAGAATGAAGACCTCAGCCGGGAGCAGTGGCTCATGCCTGTAATCTCAGCACTTTGGGAGGCCAAGGTGGGCAGATCACCTGAGGTCAGGAGTTTGAGACCTGCCTGGCCAACATGGCGAAACCCCGTCTCTACTAAAAATACAAAAATGAGGCAGGAGGTGCCAGCCAGGTTGTGGAGAGCCTTGTCATGCATGATAAGACTTTGGCTTTTACCCTGAGTGAAATGGGGACCACTGGACGGGTCTGAGCAGATGGGACCTGACTTAGGTGTTCACAGGGTTCCAGCTGCATGTGGGGTGCAAACTAGAGGGGTTGGCAAAGGGGACCCCAGAGACAAGGTCCCTGTCATAGTCCAGGTGATAGATGAACTTGGACAGATCAAGGTGCAGGGCGACAAAGAGGTGAGAAGTGGGATTTAGGGTGTATTTCAAAAGTAGAGGCAGTAAGATTTCCTGATGGACAAAATGGGGGCTTGAGAAAAGAGAATGCAAGGCTGGTGCCACCACTAGGGGACCAGGGGCCCCAAGAGCTGAAAGGTTAGAGCTGTCTACCTCACCCACACAGCATCCAGAAATAAATAAATAAATAAATACATTTTCCCCAGCTCCAGCTTAAAGGACAGAAAGATCATTTAAAAGTGAAACCTCTGCCAGGTGCAGAGGCTCACTCCAGCCTGGGCAACAGAGCAAGATTCTGTCTCAAAAAAAAAAAAAAAAAAAAGTAAATAAATAAAATAAAAAAGAAAATACAAAAAGTAGCTGGGCCCAGGCGAGGTGGCTCATGCCTGTAATCCCAGCACTTTGGGAGGCTGAGGCAGAAGGATCACATGAGGCCAGGAGTTCGAGACCAGCCTGACCAACATGGTGGAACTCCATCTCTACTAAAAGCACAAACATTAGCTAGATATAGTGGTGGGTGCCTGCAATCCCAGCTACTAAGGAGGCTGAGACAGAAGAATTGCTTGAACCTGGGAGGCGGAGGTTGTGGTGAGCAGAGATCATGCCACTGCACTCCAGCCTGGGCGACAGAGGGAGACTCTGTCAAAAAAAAAAAAAAAAAAAAAAACCCGGCCGGTCACGGTGGCTAACGCCTGTAATCCCAGCACTTTGGGAGGCTGAGGCGGGTGGACCACCTGAGGTCAGGAGTTTGAGACCGGTCTGGCCAATATGGTGAAAACCCGTCTCTACTAAAAATACAAAAATTAGCTGGGTGTGGTGGTGCACGCCTGTAGTCCCAGCTACTCGGGAGGCTGAGGCAGGAGAATCTCTTGAACCCGGGAGGCAGAGATTGCAGTGAGCTGGGATCGCACCACTGCACTCCAGCCTGGATGACAGGGGGAGACGCCATCTCAAAAAGTAAAAAACCAAAATTATAACGAGGGTACAACATTTCAATAGGATAACATTTATATTAAACAATTCAATGGAATACTTCACTAGTTGATATATGCATTATTAATGGGGTCTCCCTATATTCGAACTTCTGGCCTCAAGAGCTCTTCCCGCCTCAGCCTTCCAAAGGGCTGGGATTACAGTTATGAGCCACCGCGCCTAGCCAATGGTAGCTTGTAAATACTTTGTATCTATTGGCCTGGCTGGGTGGCTCACGCCTGTAATCCCGGCAGTTTGGGAGGGAGAACTGGGAGGATAGCTAGAGCCCAGGAGGTCAAGACAAGACTGGGCAACATAGCAACATAGCAGGACTCCATCTCTTAAAAAAAAAAAAAAGAATTAGCCAGCCGTGGTGGTGCATGTCTGTGATACCAGCTACATGGGAGGCTGAGGTAGGAGGATCCCTTGAACCCAGGAGTTAAGAGGCTGCAATGAGCTGTGATCGAGCCACCGTACTCCAGCCTGGGTGACAGAGTGAGACCCTTTTAAGGAGCCTTGATGGGACCTGATGACTGGCTTGATGTGGGAAATGATGGCATCTAGGATGGCATCCAGGGACAACATCTCCATTTCTTGATTGATAAATCAATCAATAGGAAAGAGGATTTTCTGCAAATAAGGGAATCTTAGTTCCTCATTTCTCTTCGCTACCCCAACCGCTCCTTGCTCAGAATCAAGCAGTAACAGTGAACTTGGTAGTAGCTCCGAGAAGGAAGTTGGACTTATCCAACTTCCTTCCTTCCTTGTCCTTGAGAAACCTAGGGGAACTCTAAAACGGAAGCAGAACCCACTCCCCAACTTCTCCACTCTCTGAATGAGGAGTGATTTTTTTGCTTTGTTTTCCAGTTACAAGGCCGGGGATGTACACGAGGTCCTGGAAGGAATTCCCCCTTGGTCCTGGTTCAATCTCTGATTTGTGATCCCGGACCACAGAGAGCTCTTCGGTGGGGTAGGCGCAGCACGGAGCAGTTAGGGATTTGCTTTTTTGGTAAAGAAGGTATCTGGGAGAAACTGCACTCAAACTTCCTCAGCCACACTCAACATGGCAGCTTCCTAGCCACGCCCAAAATGGCGGAACCCTTTGCCGTAGCTGGAGAGACGCTATTTTCCCAAAATGGAGCGGAGGAGGAAAATGTCCATCACAGCTTCACCCCGCCCCCCGCAGACGGCTAGCACCAATTAGTAGCGCGCAGAGCGAGTACAAAGCTAGGGGAGGAGCCTGCTGTTGCCCCAGCAACAACCACGGAAACCAAGACGAGCGCGGTCGCGGAAGTATCGCGGCTTACATATCTCGCAGCCAGGCGGGTCCTGGGAGAGGCGCGAGCCAGGCCTGGTCGGCGCCCGCGGAGAAAAGAAGCAGTCAAGCCCATGAACTACAACCCCGGTTGCCGCTTTCTCCTCTCCTAACCGTTAAGTGCGCTAAGGTAGGAATGACGCATGCGCTGCGCTTAGAGGCGGGGTTAAGTCGGACCTGAACTCATAACGCATGCGCCTTATGGAGCTTGCTGGGGGAGGGAAGCGGGGTGGCTGGCGTGACGCGGAAGGCGGGTCTTTTGCGCTCGTGGGCGGAGCCATAGCCCCTTCGGGCGGGGCTTTCCGCCGACCTGAACCCGAAAAGGTTATTTTGGACTTCCCAGAGTTAAATGCTGGTTCCCCAGACAAGGGTCCCCCCATTTTTTCCAGGCTTTCATGGGTTGGCAATTAGGATCTGTGGTCAAGACCTCAGCCTCAGGGGTGTGACGAAGCTAGCTTGGAATCCTAGTACTACCCTTTACTTGCTGGGCCTCAGTTTCCCCCCCGTCAAATGGAGATAATACACTTACCTCACAGGGTTGTGATTATATTTTTCCCCTCCCAGGGCCATGGCTGAGGTGCACGTGATCGGGCAGATCATAGGGGCCAGCGGTTTCTCGGAAAGTAGCCTCTTCTGCAAGTGGGGCATTCACACAGGTATTCCCCCAAGCCTGGTTCATTTCCACACCAAGACCCCTAGCCTAGAGGCTACATGCTCCTTCCTCCACCCCTTAACGCAGACTCTTAACCTCATTTCCATCAGTTCTCAGTACTCCAGGCCCAGCCCACACCCTGTCCACATGAGTCTCAAGCTCCCATCTTTGTGTGTGTGAGGGGTGGGATACAGACAGGGTCTCTCTCTGCGCCCGGGCTGGAGTAAGGTGGTGTGATCATAGCTCAGTGCAGCCTCGAACTCTCGGGCTCTAGTGATCCTCCCGCCTCAGCCTCCTGAGAAGCTGGGACTACAGACACGCACCACCAAATCTGGCTAATTTTTTTTATTTTTTGTAGAGACAGGGTCTCGCTATGTTGCCCAGGCTGGTCTCGAACTCCTGCGCTCAAACAGGCCACCCACTTCAGCCTCTCAAAGTGCTAGGATTAAAAACGTGAGCCGCCACGTCCCAGGAAAGTAATTTTGTTCATGCTTCCCCAACTGAGGCCCTATAGAGTCATGGTATAGTGTAATGGTTAGGGTCATGGGCTGCCAGATCTGCATTTAAATATTAACTCCCCCACCTATTAATTGGAGACCTTTGGACTCGACCACTTTGAGCCTCAGTTTCCTTGTTTCAAAGTGAAGCTAATAGTAGCTAAGAAGCAGCACAGGTTTGAGGTTAAGAGCACAGACTGCCTGGGTTCAAAACCAGTTATTGCTTGTTAAGGCACCCTTGGGCTGATTATGTGAACTTGGGCACTTCTCTTCACCTCGACTTCCTTGTTTGTACAATGAGAGTCATAGAAATATTTACCTGTTGAAGTTGTCATGAGTACTAAACGAGTATCAACAGCACTTAGAATAGGAATAGGGCTGGAATAGGAAGTGCTCATTCAGTGTTTGCCTGGCTTATACAAGACTTTGATGGGGTCTTGTTTGTAAAGCCTGGGGTATGTTGTTGCGTGGCACAGATGAATGTCTATGAAACAGATGTGGCCATTTGGCATTATCATGTCTTCAGGCCTGAGTCCTAGTCCCTTTTTTTTTTTTTTTTTTTTTTTTGAGACTCGTTCTGTTTCCCAGGCTGTAGTGCAGTGGTGCAATCTAGCTCAGCCTTCCAGGTTCATGCCATTCTCCTGCCTCAGCCTCCTGCATAGCTGGGACTACAGGCGCTCGCCACCATGCCCGGCTATTTTTTTTTTTTTTGTATTTTTAGTAGAGATGGGGTTTCACTGTGTTAGCCAGGATGGTCTCGATCTCCTGACCTTGTGATCTGCCCATCTCGGCCTCCCAAAGTGCTGGGATTACAGGCGTGAGCCACTGCGCCTGGCCCTTTTTTTTTTTTTTTTTTTTTTGAGACAGAGTCTCACTCTGTAGCCAAGCTAGAGTGCAGTGGCACGATCTCGGCTCACTGCAATCTCTGCCTCCTGGGTTCAAGCGATTCTCCTATGTCAGCCTCCCGAGTGGCTGGGACTACAGGCACCCGCTACCATACCCAGCTAATTTTTGTATTTTTAGTAGAGATGGGGTTTCACCATGTCGGCCAGGCTGGTCTTGAACTCCTGGCCTTAAGTGATCCGCCTGCGTAGGCCTTCCAAAGTGCTGGGATTACAGGCGTGAGCCACTGCGCCTGGCCCTTTTTTTTTTGAGACAGAGTCTCACTCTGTAGCCAAGCTAGAGTGCAGTGGCACGATCTCGGCTCACTGCAATCTCTGCCTCCTGGGTTCAAGCGATTCTCCTATGTCAGCCTCCCGAGTGGCTGGGACTACAGGCACCCGCTACCATACCCAGCTAATTTTTGTATTTTTAGTAGAGATGGGGTTTCACCATGTCGGCCAGGCTGGTCTCGAACTCCTGGCCTTAAGTGATCCGCCTGCGTAGGCCTTCCAAAGTGCTGGGATTACAGGTGTGAGCCACTGCGCCTGGCCCCTGGGTCCTTTTTGATTCTACAGGTAAGTGAGGTGGAAGTTGAAATTCCCAGGAAATCGGAACCCTCCAGCTGATGGATGAGGGGCAGGCTCTGGAGTCAGACTTGGTTTCCAGGTTGGACCACTCACCTTCTCTGTGACCCTGGGCAGAGGCTGTCCCCTCTTGGAGCCTCAGTTTCCTCATTTGTTCTTCATAGGGCTGTTGGGAAATCTTGCTTTTAAGGAGCCTGACGCAGGGCCTGGTGCTTCCCTCAACTCAGCCCAGAAGGGAGTAATGACTAACCTGATTTTTATTATTTCAGGGAGTTGCTGGGGATGTTGATCCAGCCAAGAATACTGAGGCAGTTGGATGAAAGGCTTGGGCTCTGCAGTTAGAGCTGAGTCTGAATCCAGTCCCATGATGGGACCTTGGTCTGCTATAGTCACTGCTATGTCACCAGCATGGAAAACAGTGCTTGGCACATAGCAGGTGCTGAATAAATGTTCATGAACTCACCTTCTCAGAGCCTGTTTCTTTACCTGTTAAATGGGGATTATATTAGCTCCCACCTCCTAGGATCACTTATTTGTCCAAGAAACATTTATTGAGCACCTTCTGTATACCAAGAGCTGGGTTTGTGGTCTTGGGGATCCAGCAGTGTGCAAGGTCCCTGTTTTCCTGGGCCATACAGTAGGGGAGACAGAAAATAAATAAGCAGGCCAGGCGCGGTGGCTCATGCCTGTAATCCCAGCACTTTGGGAGTCCGAGGCGGGCAGATCACCTGAGGTCAGGAGTTTGAGACCAGCCTGGCTAACATGGTAAAACCCCATTTCTACTAAAAATACAAAAAAAATTAGCTGGGCATGGCGGCGTGTGCCTGTAATCCCAGCTACTCGAGAGGCTGAGGCAGGAGAATCGCTTGAACCCAGGAGGCGGAGGTTGCAGTGAGCCGAGATGGTGCCATTGCACTCCAGCTTGGGCAACAAGAGCAAAAGTCTGTCTCAAAAAAAAATAAATAAAATAAAATAAATAAACAGATAAACGAGTGCAGTTGGGTGTGGTGACTCACCCCTGTAATGCCAGCACTTTGGGAGACTGGAGCAGGAGGATCACTTGAGCCCAGGAGTTTGAGACCAGCCTGGGCAACATAGTGAGACCCCCGTCTCTACAAATAAATAAAAAATTAGCAAAGCATAGTGCTGTGTGCCTGTCGTCCCAACTACTTGGGAGGTTGAGGTGGGAGGATTGCTTGATCCTGGGAGGTCAAGGTTGTAGTGAGCTGTGATTGTGCCACTGCACTCCAGCCTGGGTGACAGAGGGAGATCTTGTCTCCCCCCACCCCCCCAAAAAAAGAAAGGAGCACCGTGATTCCAGACAGTGGTAAGTGCTAGGATGAAAAGAAATGATGTGGCAGGGACTAGTGTTTGGTGAAGAGGGTCAGGGAGAACCCCTCTGTGGAAGTGGCACTTGAGCTGGGCCCTGAAGGATGAAAACAAAAGCTAGGGATGGGGACACCCAGGAGCAGAGCTTTCTAGGCAGAGGGAACAGCCAGTGCAAAGGCCCTGAGGTGGGGAGTCAGAAGTGGGACAGTGAGGCCAGAGGGTGATGAGGGAGGGGGAGAGTGATGGGAGATGAACTCAGGGAGGGGAGCAAGAGCCAGGCCACGTGGGCCATGGTGGAGGGTCTGTAAACTGGGGGGTGAGGAGGGGATTAAGAGTCCTAGAGGGTGGATTAAATGAATGGATGCTTAAAGTACTTAGCATAGCATCTGGGATTTAGTTAGTACTCGGTGCATTTTCTTTTTTTCTTTTCTTTTTTTTTTTAGATGGAATTTCGCTCTTGTTGCCCAGGCTGGAGTGCAATGGGACCATCTTGGCTCACTGCAACCTCCGCCTCCTGGGTTCAAGTGATTCTCCTGCCTCAGCCTCCTGAGTAGCTGGGACTATGGGCGTGCGCCACCACACCCAGCTAATTTTTGTATTTTTTTAGTAGAGATAGGGTTTCAGAATGTTGGCCAGGATGGTCTCGATCTCTTGACCTTGTGATCTGCCTGCCTTAGTCTCCCAAAGTGCTGGGATTACAGACGTGGCTAATTTTGTGGGTGTGTGTGTGTGTGTTTTTAGTAGAGACAGAGTTTTACCATTTTGGCCAGGCTGGTCTCGAACCCCTGACCTCAAGTGATCCACCTGCCTTGGCTTCCCAAAGTGCTAGGATTACAGATGTGAGCCACTGCGCCCATCCTAATTTTTGTATTTTTAGTAGAGATGGGATTTCGCCATGTTGGCCGGGCTGGTCTCAAACTCCTGACCTCAGGTGATCAGCCCGCCTCAGCCTCCCAAAGTGCTGAGATTACAGGCGTGAGTCACTGCGCCTGGCTTGTTTGTTCATTTTTTGAGATGGAGTCTCACTGTGTCACACCAGCTGGAGTGCAGTGGTGCAATCTCGGCTCACTGCAGCTTTTCCAGCGATTCTCGTGCCTCAGCCTCCCGAGTACCTGGGATTACAGGCACCTGCCACCACTCCAGACTAATTTTTGTATTTTTAGTAGAGACGAGGTTTTGCCATGTTGGCCAGGCTGGTCTTGAACTCCTGACCTTAGATGATCCACCCCCCCCTAAGCCTCCTAAAGTGCTGGGATTAGAGGTGTGAGCCACTGCGCTCAGCCTTAATTTTTATATTATTTGTAGAGATGGGGTTTTGCCATGTTGGTCAGGCTGGTCTTGAACTCCTGGACTCAAGGGATCTACCTGCCTTGGCCTCCCAAAGTGCTGAGATTACAGGTGTGAGCCACTGTATCCTACCACTCAGTGCATTTTAGCTATCATTATCACCCCTCAGTAGGATCGAAATTGTTATGTGTGTTTCAGGATGCGCTCCTGGAGGGTACCCTTGGCCCCATCTTAATCCTTGGACTAGGCTTGAAAATATGGGGTGAGAATCGTAATAAAATGATATTGAAGACTTATCCCGTGCTCACTATGCTCATTACCCATTCATGGATTAATGGGTTAATGGATTAGTGGGTTATCATGGGAGAGGAAGTGGTGGCTTTATAAAATGAGAGAGAGAGACGTGAGTGGCATGTTAGCACACTAGCCTTGGGACTCTCTGAAGAGTTCCAGCAAGAAGGCTCTTACTAGATGGGGCTCCTCCACCTTGGTCAGTCTCCTATAACTGTGAGATAGAAATTCCTTTTCTTTATAAATTATCCAGTTTTGGATATTATGTTAAGAGTAACAGAAAACAAATGAAGACAATGAGGAATGCATTATTACTCAGCTCATTTTATAGATGGGGAGACCAAGGCAGAGAAAGCTAACTTGCCCAAGGTTGCAGAGGCAGGAAGAGGTAGTGCCAGGATTTGAACCCAGATACTTGGTTCCAGAGTCCATGCTTCGTAACCCCTACCAGTAGATGCCACAGAGAAACAGTCCTATAGCCACAGCGGCATCCCCTTCCCGATGGCTGCCTCCCACCCCTCTATGTCCCGGCTCTCACTGCAGGGGCGGCATGGAAGCTCCTGTCAGGCGTGCGGGAGGGCCAAACGCAAGTGGACACCCCGCAGATAGGGGACATGGCTTACTGGTCCCACCCCATCGACCTGCACTTCGCCACCAAAGGTCTTCAAGGTGGGTATCACACCTGGACCCGGGTCCAGGCTGAGGGGAGGGGGCCAGTAGCCTCTGAGGTCCCTGGGGCTGGGAACACCAAGACCTGTCCCTGCTCCCCATACCACGTAGGTCCCTTTTGCAGCCAAGTCTGGCCCTGGAGAGGCTGAGCTAAGGCCTTCCCAGGCCTGCTCAATAGGCGATCCCAAGTTTGTATGATTAGGGCAGAGGCCAGGGTGGAGCAGGAGGTGGGAAGGTGGGGGGTCAGGGTGGGAGGGGAGGTGGCATTCAAGTAAAGAGACAAAACGAGAGTCTCCAATAAAGAGGAAGCCGGGAGGCAGGGTCTGAGAGAGGCAAGGGCTGTTTCTCCAGGAAGGGCTCCTCGGCTTGAAAGTAGAGCTGCTGCTCAAAGGGGAAATCAGTACTGGGGGAGGAGCGGCATCAGAAAGCCTTTCTAGTAGAAAATGTGGGTTCCTGGAGATGAGTTGATTCTGAGAAATTGCCTAGGTAAATGTGCCATATATTTCACCAATATAAAGAACGTCTACCTGGTACCTGCCCTGTGTCCAGCCTGTGTTGGGTGATGCCAGGGAGACATTGAGGATCAAGGCAGTGTCCCTTAGCCTTGTCCTCACAGGGTTCACCGTCCTATGGGGGGACACACCTCTCTCCAGACAGTGGCACCTCAGAGTGGGCAGGACTAAGATAGGTGATTTGGAGAGGCTGTGGGAGCCCAGAGGAAGTGGCTGACTCTGTCAGGGAGGTCAGAGAGGGCTTCCTGGAGGAGGGGGCTTCTGAACTTTGCTGTGAAGGGCCAGCGGAGCTAATAAGGCAGAGGGATAGAAGAAGGTTCTAGGCAGAGGGAGCTACGTGGAAGACTCAAAGGGGAAAGTGAGCCAAGGGCATCTAGTGGATTGAGGGAGAGCGGGACGGCAGAGGGGAAAGGCAGAAGGGGACAGGCCATGCAGGGCCTTGAGTGCCAGGCTGAGGAGCTGAGGCCATCTCCTGAAGGCACTTGGGAGCCAGAGCAGGTAATGGACAAGTGAGATTTCACCTTTTTTTTTTTGGAGACAGAGTTTCACTCTGTTGCCCAGGCTGGAGTGTAGTGGCAAGATCTCAGCTCACTGCAACCTCTGCCTCCCAGGTTCAAGCAATTCTCCTGCCTCAGCCTCACGAGTAGCTGGGACTACAGCCACGTGCCACCACATCTGGCTAATTTTTGCCTTTTTTTTTTTTAATAGAGATGGCGTTTCACCAAGGTGGTCAGGCTGGTCTCGAACTCCTGACCTCAGGTGATCCACCTGCCTCGGCCTCCCAAAGTGCTGGGATTACAGGCATGAGCCACCGCGCCTGGCTGAGATTTCACTTTTAAATAATCTTTCTGTCTTTTAAGCTGGAGCTGGGGAAAAAAAAAATCTTTCCGGTGCTGTGTGGGTGAGGTGGGCAGCTCTAACCTTTCAGCTCTTGGGGCCTCCAGTCCCCCAGTGGTGGCACCAGCCTTGCTTTCTCTTTTCTCAAGCCCCCATTTTGTCCATCAGGAAATCTTAAACTGCCTCTACTTTTGAAATACATCCTAAATCCCACTTCTTACCCTTTTCTCGCCCAGCACCTTGATCTGTCCAAGTTCTTCTCTCACATGGACTATGACAAGAATCTTGTCTCTGGAGTCCCCTTCCCCAACCCCCCTGGTCTGCACCCCACATGCAGCTGGGACCCTGTGAACACCTAAGTCAGGTCCCATCTCTGCTCTGCTCAGAACCCTCCAATGGTCCCCATCTCACTCAGGGTGAAAGCCATAGTCTTAGCATGCATCACAAGGCTCTCCACAACCAGGCTGGCACCTCCTTCCCGTCTCCCCACCTCATTCTGCTCTAGCCATGCTGTCCCCACCAGGCACACTCCGTCTGGGCTCCAGCCATACTGTCCCCACCAGACAGTCCCCCCCCAGGGCCTTGGCACTTGCTGTTCCCTCTGGCTAGGAGCACTCTTCCTCTAGATGGCCACATGGCCTACTCCCTTCCTTCCTTTTAGCATTTGCTCAAATGTCACCTTCTTAATGAAGCTTCCTTGATCCCCTTCTTGCTAAAGCGGTATCCCCACCCTCACCCTACCCAGCTCTGTTTTCCCTCACAGCAATTACCACCATCTGATCTACCCTATAATTTGCTTATTTACTACATTCGTTGTCTAGGATATCAGCTTCACGGGGGCAGGAATTTTTGTCTGCCATCCATGTTCATGTCTGCCGTGTCCCCAGCTAGCTAGAACAGAGTCTAGCACAGGAGAAGGGATCAGCATGAGATGAGATGGGGCTGGATCTCCAAGGGCTTTGACTACCAGACTGAGGAGCTGAACTGTGTTCTGAGGACATGGGCAAAGCTATGGAAGGAGAGAAAGATGCTTCCAGATGCCAGGTGGAAGGTGGATTAGAGAGGGGCAAGAAAGAAGGCCCTGGGCCCAAAGAGAGCAGGGCAGGGACATGAGGGAAGGCAGGAGGTGTCCCTGACAAGGCCCATGATGGTTACCTGGGGACTGGAGGAGCAATGGGCTGCCCTGACATGGGGTCATGGAGGAGGATAACACAGAGAGGAAATTCAGCAGAGGTCTGATTAGAAGGGCCTTGAATGTTGAAGAGGTTGGACTTTATACTGAGGGCACTGGGGAGCTATGGAAGGATCCTTAGCAGGGGAGTAACATGGATTTGGAAAGATCACTTTGGCTGCTGTGTGGGGATAGATAAGACGGTGGGAGCCTAGAAAGGAGGCTGGGTTGGAAACTCTGGGACAGAAACCCAGAGAGGAAAAGACTGGGCCTGGGGTCTCCAGTGAGTATCAGGGAGTGGGGAATCAGCAGGAGTCTGGTCCCCACCCATCCCTCCTTTCCCCTCTCTCTCCTTTCCTGCAGGCTGGCCCCGGCTCCATTTCCAGGTGTGGTCCCAGGACAGCTTTGGCCGCTGCCAGCTTGCAGGCTATGGATTTTGCCATGTGCCCAGTAGCCCGGGCACCCACCAGCTGGCCTGCCCCACGTGGCGGCCCCTGGGCAGTTGGCGAGAACAGTTGGCACGGGCTTTCGTGGGTGGTGGGCCGCAGCTGCTGCATGGGGACACCATCTACAGTGGGGCCGACCGCTATCGCCTGCACACAGCTGCTGGTGGCACCGTGCACCTGGAGATCGGCCTGCTGCTCCGCAACTTCGACCGCTACGGCGTGGAGTGCTGAGGGACTCTGCCTCCAACGTCACCACCATCCACACCCCGGACACCCAGTGATGGGGGAGGATGGCACAGTGGTCAAGAGCACAGACTCTAGAGACTGTCAGAGCTGACCCCAGCTAAGGCATGGCACCGCTTCTGTCCTTTCTAGGACCTCGGGGTCCCTCTGGGCCCAGTTTCCCTATCTGTAAATTGGGGACAGTAAATGTATGGGGTCGCAGGGTGTTGAGTGACAGGAGGCTGCTTAGCCACATGGGAGGTGCTCAGTAAAGGAGAGCAATTCTTACAGGTGTCTGCCTCCTGACCCTTCCATCCTTCAGGTGTCCTGTTGCCCCCTCCTCCCACTGACACCCTCCGGAGGCCCCCATGTTGACAGACCCTCTTCTCCTACCTTGTTTCCCAGCCTGACTCTCCTTCCGTTCTGGGTCCCCCTCCTCTGGTCGGCTCCCCTGTGTCTCATCCCCCGGATTAAGCCTTCTCCGCCTGGTCCTCTTTCTCTGGTGACCCACACCGCCCGCAAAGCCACAGCGCATCTGGATCACCCGCTTTGGTGGCGCTTGGCCGCCAGGAGGCAGCACCCTGTTTGCGGGGCGGAGCCGGGGTGCCCGCCCCCTTTCCCCCAGGGCTGAAGGGACCCCCCTCGGAGCCCGCCCACGCGAGATGAGGACGGTGGCCCAGCCCCCCCATGCCCTCCCCCTGGGGGCCGCCCCCGCTCCCGCCCCGTGCGCTTCCTGGGTGGGGCCGGGGGCGGCTTCAAAACCCCCTGCCGACCCAGCCGGTCCCCGCCGCCGCCGCCCTTCGCGCCCTGGGCCATCTCCCTCCCACCTCCCTCCGCGGAGCAGCCAGACAGCGAGGGCCCCGGCCGGGGGCAGGGGGGACGCCCCGTCCGGGGCACCCCCCCGGCTCTGAGCCGCCCGCGGGGCCGGCCTCGGCCCGGAGCGGAGGAAGGAGTCGCCGAGGAGCAGCCTGAGGCCCCAGAGTCTGAGACGAGCCGCCGCCGCCCCCGCCACTGCGGGGAGGAGGGGGAGGAGGAGCGGGAGGAGGGACGAGCTGGTCGGGAGAAGAGGAAAAAAACTTTTGAGACTTTTCCGTTGCCGCTGGGAGCCGGAGGCGCGGGGACCTCTTGGCGCGACGCTGCCCCGCGAGGAGGCAGGACTTGGGGACCCCAGACCGCCTCCCTTTGCCGCCGGGGACGCTTGCTCCCTCCCTGCCCCCTACACGGCGTCCCTCAGGCGCCCCCATTCCGGACCAGCCCTCGGGAGTCGCCGACCCGGCCTCCCGCAAAGACTTTTCCCCAGACCTCGGGCGCACCCCCTGCACGCCGCCTTCATCCCCGGCCTGTCTCCTGAGCCCCCGCGCATCCTAGACCCTTTCTCCTCCAGGAGACGGATCTCTCTCCGACCTGCCACAGATCCCCTATTCAAGACCACCCACCTTCTGGTACCAGATCGCGCCCATCTAGGTTATTTCCGTGGGATACTGAGACACCCCCGGTCCAAGCCTCCCCTCCACCACTGCGCCCTTCTCCCTGAGGACCTCAGCTTTCCCTCGAGGCCCTCCTACCTTTTGCCGGGAGACCCCCAGCCCCTGCAGGGGCGGGGCCTCCCCACCACACCAGCCCTGTTCGCGCTCTCGGCAGTGCCGGGGGGCGCCGCCTCCCCCATGCCGCCCTCCGGGCTGCGGCTGCTGCCGCTGCTGCTACCGCTGCTGTGGCTACTGGTGCTGACGCCTGGCCGGCCGGCCGCGGGACTATCCACCTGCAAGACTATCGACATGGAGCTGGTGAAGCGGAAGCGCATCGAGGCCATCCGCGGCCAGATCCTGTCCAAGCTGCGGCTCGCCAGCCCCCCGAGCCAGGGGGAGGTGCCGCCCGGCCCGCTGCCCGAGGCCGTGCTCGCCCTGTACAACAGCACCCGCGACCGGGTGGCCGGGGAGAGTGCAGAACCGGAGCCCGAGCCTGAGGCCGACTACTACGCCAAGGAGGTCACCCGCGTGCTAATGGTGGAAACCCACAACGGTGAGCTCGGAGGGGCAGGGGAGCCGGGAGGGGGGCCCCCAGGGGGCGCCGGAGTGCCGGGGCCACGGGTAGGAAGTGACTGGCAGAAGAAACTGGCTGGAGGAAGAGGACACCCCGGGGCAAAGGGAACGTGTGATGGTGGGAGGGGGGTGTCCGAAAGAGGATGGCACTGAGCCCCCTACCACCCAGGTGTCTGGTCTTGGAGAGGAGGAGATAGCGAAGTGGACCGCTTCTAGAGTGCGACAGAAACATGCGGGGTCGTGGGGGCAGTCCCCTAGAGGGAGACAAGCAATAGGGGGAGGGTAGAAGGCTCCCTCTTCCAGGACGCGTTGAATGGGGGGGGGGGTCGTGGGGTGCCAGGTGCAGAGAAGGGAGCCTGGTGTGGGAGAAGCGAAGACCCCAGCATTTGGGAAAGGAGAGGCGCTGGAGAAAGTTGACCCAGAGCTTGGGGGTCCTGAGGTGGAAAGATTCAAGAAGGACAGAAAAGCTAGATGAAGGCAACCCCAGAGGGTGCCAGGAAAGTGAGAGCGGACCCACTTCCAGAGGCTGCCAGGAACACGCGGGATGCGGGGGTGGGGGAGAGTCGTAGAAAGAGAAACAGAGGTGCGTGTGATAAATGTGGGGAGAAAGGGACGGGAGGTTATTGGAAGGAGGAGGCAAGCGGGAGAGGAGCGGAGACTCGGGAGGGCGCCCGGGATGCAGAGGTGTCCTCGGTGTTTCACACAGGGACGTGAGGGACAGAGTGGGGAGCCCAGCGGAGGAATCGAGCTTCCAGAAGACCTAGAGTCCTGGGTCATGGGAAGGGCTTTACCGAGAGGGGAGACAGGCGTGGGAAAGGTGGTGTGAGCGGGGAGGAGGAGAGATACCCAGCGCCATCCACGCTGCATTCCCCGCAGGATGCAGGGGAATGGGCTGAGCGGAGTCCAGCCGCAGGGGAAGTGCTGGGTGGGGGGTGACTCTACAAGACCGAGGTGAGAAAACCAAGCTGGGAGGAGTGAGAAAGCCCCACGTGGGTGCCACGCGCGGGGGGAGGAGCCTGCGCTTCCACCAAGGGGCAGGAGGACCCCGCTGCGCTAAACGCTGGCAGTCTGGACCCCAAAGTCCCAGTTCCTCTCAGGGTGGCTGGGGAAACCCCAGCGTCCGGCGGCCTCATCCCCCTCCCTTCCCTTTCCTTCCCATGCCCCCGGCGGAGGCGGGGATCGCTCGCGGAGCCCGGGGCGAGACGGGGCAGGTCTGGTCCCCGCCCTCCTGGCTGCGGCGCCTCCCGCCCTCCTCACCCCAGCTACGGGCGGGGCTCCCACTCAGCCGGCCCCGTCGGCATCCATGCGAGGACCCAGGCGTCCCGCGTGGTTCAGAGCCTTGGGGAAGATCCCTCAGGTTTCACTGACTCTTGGGCGGTGTGGGCTTGCGGGTTCCCTGCCCATTTCTGCGCCAGTTTACAGCTCCAGCCCAATGACGCGCACTCCGCACCCAAGTCTCAGCCTTACCTTATCTTCCGTGGCTTCACCTTCGTTGTAGAGGTTCCTTTAACACTGACACCTCCAATCCTCTTCTCCCCAACAAATGCACATGTGTCTCGTCTCGCACGTGTCTCCCCATCTGCCTCTTTCTTTTCGTCTCCGTTAGTCTTTCTGTCCACGCATGGGTCTCCTGGTTTTTGTCTCTCCGACTATTTTCTCTCCCTTTCTATTTTTCTCCTCCACGGTCCTGTTGCCTCGTCTCCGTCTCTGACATCTCCCCGCCTCTCCCTCTCTGCATCACCCTCCAACCCTTCCTCTCCCTCCTCTCTGTCTTCCTCCCTATCTGTCTTCCCCAGCCAAGGCTCTGCCTTTCCTTTGGGGTTTGCTGAGTAACCTCCGGGCCAAGAATAGGGCTTACTGGGGCTGGGTGGGGAGGGAGACTGGGGAGGAGGAGGAGGATCGAAGGGGGCCGTAGGGGAGGGGTTTCCTCTGCCTTTCTCACCAGTCTCTTTTCACACCCCCACTATGGGAGGCTGGAAGCAGTTGCCCCAGTTGATCCAGCAGTTCATGGCCTGTTCCCTCATCCCCATCCCCAAACTTTTCCTAAACTAGAAAATACCTTGGCTGGGCGCGGTGGCTCACGCCTGTAATCCCAGCACTTTGGGAGGCCAAGGTGGGTGGACCACCTGAGGTCAGGAGTTGGAGACCAGCCTGGCCAACATGGTGAAACCCGGTCTCTACTAAAAATACAAAAATTAGCTGGGCGGGGTGGCGGGCGGCGCCTGTAATCCCAGCTACTTGGGAGGCTGAGGCAGGAGAATCGCTTGAACCTGGGAGGCAGAGGTTGCTATGAGCCAAGATCGCGCCACTGCACTCCAGCCTGGGCGACAGAAACTCCATCTCAAAAAAAAAAAAAAAAAAAGAAAAGAAAACACCTTAATTCCTTTTCTCCCCACTACAGCCATTCCTACCCAGAATGAACTTCACTTTCCCTAACCAGCTGGGGAAGGGAGTTAAGGGTGGAAAACTAATAATAAAAATAAGTAGAAGAATCACTTAGGGGTTAAGAGCACAGTCTCTAGCTGGGTGGGTGTGGTGGCTCATGCCTGTGATCTCAACATATTGGGAGGCTGAGGCGTGAGGATCCCTTGAGCCCAGGAGTTCCAGCCTGCCGTGAGCCATGGTTGTGCTACTGCACTTCCGTCTGGGGGACAGAGTGAGACCCTGTCTCTTGGGGGAAGAAAAAAAAAAAGCACAGTCTCTGGAATGAGACAGCTTGAGTTTGAATCCCAGTCTGCAGCTATGTGACCTTGGGGCAAATTACTTAATCTCGGTGCCTCAGTTTCTCATCTATTAAACGGGTATAATAATAGTATAAGGTTGTGAGGTTTAAATGTCTTCATCTTTGTAAAGTGCTTTAGATAGCATCTGGTAAATAGCGCTGTTTTGTGGTTTTTTGTTGTTGTTGTTTTTGAGACAGAGTCTTACTCTGTCACCCAGGCTGGAGTGCAGTGGCGCAATCTCGGCACACTATAACCTCTGCCTCTCAGGTTCAAGCGATTCTCATGCCTCAACCTCCCAAGTAGCTGGGATTAGAGCCGTCCGGCACCATGCCTGGCCAATTTTTGTATTTTTAGTAGAAACGGGGTTTCACCATGTTGGCCAGGCTGGTCTCGAACTCCCGACCTCAAGTAATCAATCCACCTCGGCCTCCCAAAGTGCTGGGATTACAGGCGTGAGCCACTGCGCCCAGCCAGCACTCTTAGACGTATACATGATTGAGTGACCAGTGTATGCAGAATTGGTGCCACATGGCTTGACCTGGGTCATCTAATTTCCCACTATAATACTGGAATGGGTTCTAGAGTCACTCTGTCTTGTCTTACACCTGGCTCAGAGAGAGGAATTCACTTGCCCAAGGTTACACAGCGCTTAAATTAGGAGAGTCTGTGTGGGAATGCAGGGAGCTTAATGTTATTGCTGTTTTTCAAAGAATAACAGGAAACTGACATTCAGAAAGAGGGTGTTAACTGCCCATGGTCACACAGCCAAGAGGCAGCAGAGGCACTATCTGAGTCCAAAGCCTGTGCCTTTGATCCTTACTCTGCATTTTAGGGGCTCTTGCATTTGGGGCAAGGAAGGCCAGAGCAAACAGAGTGGTTCCCCTTGGTGCCAGCCTTAGTCGACTTGAGAGATGATGCTACATGAGAGAGGAATGTGGTTAGGACCTATTTTACAGAGGAGGAAACAAACCTAGGGGGAGAAACCACTTCCTCAAGGTCACACAGCTAAAAAGTATCACAGTCAGGGCTGGGCGTGGTGGCTCACACCTGTAATCCCAGCACTTTGGGAGGCCGAGGCGGGTGGATCACGAGGTCAGGAGATCGAGACCATCCTGGCCAACATGGTGAAACCCCATCTCTACTAAAAATACAAAAATTAGCTGGGCATGGTGGCATGAGCCTTTAGTCCCAGCTGCTCGGGAGGCTGAGGCAGGAGAATTGCTTGAACCCTGGAGGCGGAGGTTGCAGTGAGCAGAGATTGCGCCACTGCACTCCAAGCCTGGGTGACAGAGCGAGTCTCCGTCTCAAAAAAAAAAAAAAATTCATTTAAATAAATAAATAAATAAATAAATAAATAAATAAATAAATAAAAGGTATCAGAGACTGACTCCACCCCAGAGCTGTCAGCTCCAAAACTCCTAGAGTTGGGAGCACCAGCTCCCCTCACCTCTGCCAAACCCCTGATCGCCTCCCTTCATTTCTCCCTGCTAGAAATCTATGACAAGTTCAAGCAGAGTACACACAGCATATATATGTTCTTCAACACATCAGAGCTCCGAGAAGCGGTACCTGAACCCGTGTTGCTCTCCCGGGCAGAGCTGCGTCTGCTGAGGCTCAAGTTAAAAGTGGAGCAGCACGTGGAGCTGTACCAGGTGAGGACATGAGCCAGAAGGAAGGTCAGGGCATGGGCTGGAGAGGGTGAGCTGTGACCAAGGGGGTGGCTGTGGGTCGGCTGGTTACAAGGTCCACCTAGATGGTCCCTGAAGGATAGAAGAACACAAACCATACAATCCTAGAACGCTTTTTTTTTTTTTTTGAGACAGTGTCTCACTCTGTTGCCAAGCTGGAGTGCAGTGGTATGACCTCAGCTCACTGCAATCTCCGCCTCCTGGGTTCCAGTGATTCTCCTGCCTCAGCCTCCCAAGTAGCTGGGATTACAGGTGTGCGCCACCACGCCCAGCTAATTTTTGTATTTTTGGTAGAGATGGGGTTTTACCATGTTGGCCAGGATGGTCTCGATCTCCTGACCTCGTGATCCACCTGCCTCGGTCTCCCAAAGTGCTCAGATTACAGGCGTGAGCCACTGCGCCTGGCCTCTTTTTTTTTTTTTTTTTTTTTTGAGATGGAGTCTTGCTCTGTCGCCCAGGCTGGAGTACAATGGGGTGATCTCGGCTCACTGCAACCTCCGCCTCCTGGGTTCAAGTGATTCTCCTGCCTCAGCCACCCGAGTAGCTGGGATTACAGGCATGTGCCAACACGCTGGGCTAATTTTTGTATTTTTAGTAGAGACAGAGTTTTATCATGTTGGCCAGGCTTGTCTCAAACTCCTGCCCTCAAGTGATTCTCCTACCTGAGCCTCCCAGAGTGCTGGGATTACAGGTGTGAGCCACTGCACCCGGAACCTAGAGCACTTTTAAATGTTCAGACTCTTTGCATCCTAGGATGTTAAACACTTAGAAGGCTGGAATCTTAGGAGTTGGACTCTTTAAGGACACAGGATTCTTGAAAGTTGGAATCTCTGAAAAGGTTGGGGGCTCTAGAATCATTCTGTCCAATATGACAGCCACTAGTCACATTTAGCTTGATTAAAATTTAAATTGTTTAAAATTAAATTAAAAATTTAGGGCCAGGCATAGTGGCTCACACCTCTAATCCCAGAACTTTGGGAAGCCGAGGCAGGCAGATTGCTTGAGCCCAGGAGTCCGAGACCAGTCTGGGCAACATGTTGAAACTTCGTCTCTACAAAAAATACTAAAATTAGCCTGTTATGGTGATGCGTGCCTCTAGTCCCAGCTACTCAGTAGTCTGAGGTGGGAGGATTGATTGAGCCCAGGAGGTCGAGGCTGTAGTGAACTGTGATTGCACCACTGCATTCCAGCCTGGGTGATGGAGCGAGACCGTCTCAAAAATATATATATATAGGCCAGGCGTGGTGGCTCATGCCTGCAATCCCAGCACTTTGGGAGGCCAGGGTGGGTGGATCACTTGAGGTCAGGAGTTCAAGACCAGCCTGGCCAACATGACGAAACTCCATCTCTACTAAAAATACAAAAATTAGCCAGGTGTGGTGGCAGGCACCTGTAATCCCAGCTACTTGGGAGGCTGAGGTGGGAGAATCGCTTGACCCCAGGAGGTGGAGACTGCAGTGAGCGGAGATCATACCACTGCACTCCAGCCTGGGCAACAGAGCGAGACTCTGTCTCAAAAAAATAAAAATGAAAAAGAAATCCTCATTCTCACTGGCCATATTTCTAGTACTCTATAGTCACATGTGGTTAGCAGCTACTATTTTGGATGTTGCAGATAAAGCACATTTCCAGAAAGTTCTTTAGGACAGCACTGCTCTAGAAGATAGGGAGCTTCCAAGAGGACTGGGGCATCTGGAAGGGCTGGAGGCTCTAGCAGTTTCTATGAGCTAGAATCCATATCAGAGGGAATGTTAACTCATAGGATGGTAGATTTCAGACTTTCACAGTGAGAGAACTTTGTCCTATGTTAGCTTGGCTTCTTGGAGTCTGGGGAATTCAGCTTTATTCTGCAGTCCCTGGAGTGGACTATCCAGCCCCAGAAAATTCTTCTTTTTTTTGTGTGTGTGTGTGATGGAGTTTTGCTCCTGTTGCCCAGGCTGGAGTGCAATGGCACCATCTTGGCTCACCACAACCTTTGCTTCCTGGGTTCAAGCGATTCTCCTGCCTCAGCCACCCGAGCAGCTGGGATTACAGGCATGCACCACCACACCTAGCTAATTTTGTATTTTTAGTAGAGACGGTGTTTCTCCATATTGGTCAGGCTGGTCTCGAACTTCTGACCTCTGGTGATCCACCCTCCTCGGCCTCCCAAAGTGCTGGGATTACAAGCGTGAGCGACTGTGCCTGGCCCAGAAAATTATTCTACACAGATGTTGGGTACCTGCAGCATCTAGGTGCGGCATGGCAGACTCTTGGGTTTATAGAACATTAGTCTTCTAAAGCTTCTCAGGCTCTAGAAGTGGAAATCTTGGGATATTATCAAACATTTGAATCACAAAATGACTTTTTTTTTTTTTGAGACAGAGTCTCACTCTGTCACCCTGGCTAGAGTGCAGTGGTGCAATCTCGGCTCACTGCAACCTCTGTGTCTTGGGTTCAAGTGATTCTCCTGCCTCAGCCTCCTGAGTAGCTGGGATTACAGGCGTGTGCCACCACGCCTGGCTAATTTTTGTATTTTTAGTAGAGACGAGGTTTCACTTTGTTGGCCAGGCTGGTCTTGAACTCCTGACCTCAGGAGATCCACCCGCCTTGGCCTCCCAAAGTGCTGGGATAACAGGCGTGAGCCACCGTGCCCAGCCGGAATCATTAGAAATGACTTCTAAGTTACTGAGAATTCAGGGTGTCAAATTTGCAGAACCGTATGCTCAGTAAACCCCAGAATGTTTGCAGCAGAATTTTATTTTATTTATTATTATTATTTTGAGACGAAGTCTCGTCCTGTCGCCCAGGCTGGAGTGCAGTGGCGTGATCTTGGCTCACTGCAGTCTGTGTCTCCCGGGCTCAAGCAATTCTCCTGCCTCAGCCTCCCAAATAGTGGCGACTACAGGCGTGTGCCACCATGCCTGGCTAATTTTTGTATTTTTAGTAGAGATGGGGTTTCACTATGTTGGCCAGGCTGGTCTTGAACTCCTGACCTCAAGTGATCCACCCACCTTGGGCTCCCAAAGTGCTGGGATTACAGGCGTGAGCCACTGCGCCCGGCCCAGAATGTTAGCAGCAGAATTTTAGCATTGTGGGCTGTCCACGCTGAGTGGGGCTTAGCATTTCACCAATGAGGAAACAGGCCTCGAGAAGGCAAGAAAACACCTTCGGCTGAGCTGTGTGAAGGTGACTTGACCGCAGCCTGAGCTTTTTCTCCACCCCTCCTCTCATGGGTACTGTTGGGGAGGATGGGTGCCACAGGACCACACAGGTGGCTGTCTGAGAGGGTAGTGCCTGGGAACTTTCTGGAAGCCTGTTTGGGGAAGCAGATGGGGTGAAGGATTCAGTTAGTGTATGTGGGGTCGTGACACCATCTACCCACTGTCTCTCTCCTGCCTTCATCATCCTCTAGAAATACAGCAACAATTCCTGGCGATACCTCAGCAACCGGCTGCTGGCACCCAGCGACTCGCCAGAGTGGTTATCTTTTGATGTCACCGGAGTTGTGCGGCAGTGGTTGAGCCGTGGAGGTGAGGATTACTTGTGTGTCCCACCCCTGTTTCTCCCTGGGGTCCACCCCATTGTTTGTCCTGGGGTCACTTTGCCTAGGACCCCTCTCCGCCCCATACTGGTGTGAAAGTGCTGAGACCTGGCTCCCCTCTGTGGCATGGAAACCTGAGTGATTGGCTAATCTGTTTCCTGAGCACCTCTCTGCCCTGCCCTGTGATGGGTGATGCCAAGGACACAGCAATGACCAAAACAGCCCCATCCTTGCCCTCACAGAGCTCATATAGTCCATTGGCTAGGTAGCTGGGGAACAGACCTGTAAGGCAGTGATGACCCAGAGTGGGTGGGACTGGGATGGGGAGCCCAAAGGAGGTACCTGACCCAGCCCAGAATCAGGGAGGGCTTCCTGGAGGAGGGGCACCATAGCTGATGTTGAAGGGATGAGTAGAATGGTCAGGAAAAGGAGAGGTGTAAGAGTATTCTGGGGCTGGGCATGGTGGCTTATGCCTATAATCCCAGCACTTTTGAAGGCCAAGGAGGATGGATCACTGGAGCTCAGGAGTTTTGAGAGCAGCCTGGGCAACATGGCGAAACCCGGTCTCTACACAAAAATACAAAAATTAGCCATGCATGCTGTTACGTGCCTGTAGTTCCAGCTGCTTGGGAGACTGAGGTGGGAGAATCACCTGAGCCTGGGAGGTCGAGGCTGCAGTGAGTCATAATCACACTACTGCAATCCAGCCTACATGAAAGAGTGAGATCCCATCTCAAAAAAAAAAAAAAAAAAAAGATTCCAGGCAAAGGGAACAGCCTGTGCAAAGGCCTGGAGGCCAGGGAGAGCCTAACTAACTCATTTGATCTGTCCAGGAGATGATTGTCTCTGTCTGGTTTCTGGCAGGGCCCATGGTGCCCCTATCTCTCTCCCTCACCTCCCTCTCATTTATGCTTTTATTCAATAATTGCCCACAGGTTCCTGCTGTGTGCCTGGCCATGTGCTGGGTGGTGTGGGGGACATAGTGATAACCAAGACAGCCCTCAGTTCTGCCCTCATGGGGCCCACAGTCACTTCTGGACACCTAAGAGATCTTGTCAAGGCCCCACCAGGCAGGAATGACCTAGAATGATCAAGAATGGGATGGGGAGGCACCAGCAGGGAGGACAAGGCTGGGACAGGGAGGCATGCAGGATGGGGGAACGCCCTAAGTGCTGTTGGGAGCCCAGAGAAGGCACCTGGACCCATCTGGGGAGTCTAGGAGGGCTTGCTGGGTGAGGGTGATTGTGTGGAGACTCACAGGATAAATAGTAGTTTGGCCACATGAAAAAAAAGGGATTAGGGGGCCTGGCATGGTGGCTCACGCCTGTAATCCCAGCACTTTGAGAGGCCGAGGTGGGTGGATCACCTGAGATCGGGAGTTCGAGACCAGCCTGACCAACATGGAGAAACCCCGTCTCTACTAAAAATACATAATTAGCTCGGCGTGGTGATGCATGCCTGTAATCCCAGCTACTCGGGAGGCTGAGGCAGGAGAATTGCTTGAACCCAGGAGGTGGAGGTTTCAGTGAGCCAAGATCGTGCCATTGCACTCCAGCCTGGGCAACAACAGTGAAACTCCGTCTCAAAAAAAAAAAAGAAAAGAAAAAGAAAAAATAGGGATTAGGGAGCAGGTGGGCACTGGGAGGAGTGTCCTGGGCTGTTCGACAAAGGCCTAGAAGGAGCTCATCTGTCTTGGTCAATGCTGAGTCCCAAGCACACAGCACAGGCTTCGGCACATTGTAGGAGCCTAGAAAACATCATTCACTCATTCATTCAAGAGATTGATGCTGGCTGGGTGCAGTGGCTCATGCCTGTAATCCCAGCACTTCGGGAGGCCAGGGCAGGAGGATTGCTTGAGCCCAGCCTGGGCAACATAGTGAGACCTCTGTCTCTACAGAGAATTTAAAAAGTAGCCGTGTAGGCCGGATGCAGTGGCTCAAGCCTGTAATCCCAGCACTTTGGGATGCCAAGGCAGGCGGATCACCTGAGGTCAGGAGTTTGAGACCAGCCTGGCCAGCATGGTGAAACCCCATCTCTACTAAAAATACAAAAAATTAGCCGGGTGTGGTGGCGCATGCCTGTTATCCCAGCTACTTGGGAGGCTGAGGCAGGAGAATCGTTTGAACCTGGGAGGTGGAGGTTGCAGTGAGCTGATATCACGCCACTGAACTCCAGCCTGGGCAACAGAGCCAGACTCCATCTCAAAAAAAAAAAAAAAATTAGCCATGCGTGGTAGCACGCGCCTGTGGTCCCAGCTACTCGGGAGGCTGAGATGGGAGGATTGCTTGGGCCTTGGAGATTGAGGCTGCGAGACCTTGTCTCAAAAAAAAAAAAAAAAAAAAAAAGAGAGAGCTGCAGTGAGAGGGCAGAGTGGGGTGGGTGGGGGAGGCAGGAAGGAAGCCCCTGGGGTTTGCTCCTTCCTTCCTCTTCCTCCAGGGGCTGGGTGAGCTGCACTCTCAGACTGGCTTCCCTCTCGCCACTCCTACAGGGGAAATTGAGGGCTTTCGCCTTAGCGCCCACTGCTCCTGTGACAGCAGGGATAACACACTGCAAGTGGACATCAACGGTGAGGCCTGCTTCCCCGGCCATGCCCAGTTGTGACGTGTGTGCGTGTGTGTGTTCCCATCTGCCCCACGCCCCACTTATCTATCCCTCTGAGAGTGTGTGTGTATGTCCCCTATCCCCTGACTCCCACACCAAAGCAGGGTTCACTACCGGCCGCCGAGGTGACCTGGCCACCATTCATGGCATGAACCGGCCTTTCCTGCTTCTCATGGCCACCCCGCTGGAGAGGGCCCAGCATCTGCAAAGCTCCCGGCACCGCCGAGCCCTGGACACCAACTATTGCTTCAGGTGAGCCTTGTAGCCTGGATGGAGGCCTTCCAGGCTGGGGGCATGACTGCCATCTGCTGACCAGGTGCTCCAGGTTGGACACCTGGCTGCTGCTGTGCTTGGGCTGAGCATCTGTCTCCTTTAGCTTGGAGGGCTCAGGGGATGAGGTCTGGGTGTAAGAACCAGGAGTCTTGTGCCAGGTGCGGTGGCTCACGCCTGTAATCCCAACACTTTGGGAGGCTGAGGCAGGTGGATCACCTGAAGTGAGGAGTTTGAGACCTGTCTGGCCAACATGGTGAAACCCGTCTCTACTAAAAATCCAAAAATTAGCCAGGCGTGGTGGGCGCCTATAATCCCAGCCACAAAAAACAAAAAAAGAACTGGGAGTCTTGTAATGTTGGGATCAGGTTCCTTTTTTTTTTTTTTTTTTTTTTTTTGAGACAGAGTCTCGCTCTGTCACCTGGGCTGGAGTGCAGTGGCGCTATCTTGATTCACTGCAAGCTCCACCTCCCGGGTTCACACGATTCTCCTGTCTCAGCCTCCCGAGTAGCTAGGACTACAGGCACGTGCCACCACGCCCAGCTAATTTTTTTGTATTTTTAGTAGAGATGGGGTTTCACTGTGTTAGCCAGGATGGTCTCCATCTCCTGACCTCGTGATACACCCACCTCAGCCTCCCAAAGTGCTGGGATTACAGGCGTGAGCCAACGCGCCCGGCCTAATTTTTTGTATCTTTAGTAGAGACTGGGTTTCACCATGTTAGCCAGGATGGTCTTGATCTCCTGACCTCGTGATCCGCCTGCCTCAGCCTCCCGAAGTGCTGGGATTACAGGTGTGAGCCACCACGCCCAGCCTTGCTTTCTTGCTGGAGTGTTGGAATCACAGAATGTTAGAAAGTTGAACCCTGTGATTGTTGGAATTCAAAGTTGGAAGGTCACCATCTTGAATCCCTAAATTGTTGGCAGGTTGAGGTTCTAGAATGCTGGGATTCTAGAATGCTAGAATTTGGTGTTAATTACTGAAATGGAAAATGTCGGACTCAAGGAAAGCTGAAACATTGGAATCCTAGAATTTGGGGATTCAAAATGGGAAGATGGCCCATGTGGAATTCCTGCACCACTGGCCAATTGTGGATACCAGTGTTGGCAGATTGGAGTCCTTGAATATTGGGCTCACAGTGGTAGAATTCTGTTTTGAAATATTCACATCCACAAATGTTGGAGTTGGAGAAAGCAGAATATTGGTATCTCAGCATGTTGGAACTCAGTGTTGGAATGTTAGAATATTAGAATGCTGGGATTTTATTAATAGAAAGTGGCAGCAGGCTGGGCGCGGTGGCTCACGCCTATAATTCCAGCACTTTGGGAGGCTGAGGTGGGCGGATCCCTGAGGTCTGGAGTTCAAGACCAGCCTGGCCAACATGGTGAAACCCCATCTCTATTAAAAATACAAAAATTAGCCAGGTGTGGTGGCTGGCACCTGTAATCCCAGCTACTCGGCTGGGATTACGGCTATCCAGGTACCCAGGCTGGGGCAGGAGAATCACTGGAACCTCGGGGGTGGAGGTTGCAGTGAACCGAGATCGCGCCACTGCACTCCGGCCTGGGCAATGATGCGAGACTCCATCTAAAAAAAAAAAAAAAAAAAAAAAAGAAAGAAAGTGTCAGTTTGAACCTCTTGAGTGATGGCTCAGAACTTTGGAATGTTGGGATGCAATACTGGCATACTGGAATTCAGGAATGCCAAGATCCTCAAAGGTTGGAAAGGGGGAATCCTAGAGAGTTGAAGATGCTGTCAGAATGTTAGAATCATAAGATGCTGGAATGCTAATACTGCAATCTAAGAAAGCTGAAATGTTGGATTCCTAGAAAGTTGAAATGGAGAGTTAGAATGTTGTAAATTTAGAGTGATCATCTGACCTTATTCCTCCCTTGCTTAAAATATTTTGGTCCTGTCTCTGGGCTTTGTTACCGGCTGTTTCCCTGCCAGAAAATCAGCCCTGCTCCCAGGCTCCTTCACCACCAGATCTTAGCGCCATCAGCCCAGCAACGCTGTCAATGAACAAATTGAGGTCTTTTTTGAGACAGAGTCTCGCTCTGTTGCCCAGGCTGGAGTGCAGTGGCGTGATCTCGGCTCACTGCAACCTCCGCCTCCCAGGTTCAAGTGATTCTCCTGCCTCAGCCTCCTGAGTAGCTGGGATTACAGGCGTGTGCCACCACACCCGGCTAATTTTTGGTTTTTTTAGTAGACACTGGGTTTCACCATGTTGGTCAGGCTGGTCTCGAACTCCTGACCTCGTGATCCACCCGCCTCGGCCTCCCAAAGTGCTGGGATTACAGGCATGAACCACTGCGCCCGGCCACAAATTGAGGTCTTGAGTGCCAACAGCTCCTGACATTACAAAGGGAGATAGCCAGCCATGTCAGCCTCCGTAGGGAGGGACCCAATGTTGCCTAGGAAGTCTTGGCAAAAAATCAAACCTGAAGGCCAGGTGCGGTGGCTCATGCCTGTAATCCCAGCACTTTGGGAGGCCAAGGCAGGCAGATCGCTTGAGCTTAGGAGTTCAAGACCAGCTTGTGCAACATGTTAAAACCCTGCCTCTGTACAAGAAATACAAAAAAACTAGCTGGCTGGGTGGTGTGTGCCTGTAGTCCCAGCTACTTGGGAGGCTGAGGCAGGAGTGCTTGAGCCTAGGAGGTTGTGGCTGCAGTCAGCCAGGATCACGCCACTGCATTTCAGGACAGAGCAGGACCTTGTCTCAGGAAAAAAAAAAAAAAATCAAACCTGAATCTGATCAGGACTGTAGATCCTAACAGTTTTCTAGAAAGACAGGAACAGAGGAAATGGTCAGCAAAACTCAGACTGCAAGAAACCTCACCCAGTTTCTTCATCAAATACAATGCAAAGAAGGGGAAAGCACACACACACACACACGTACCCCCCATGCAACCAAAAATTCACATACAAGTTTTGACTCCCCAAAAACTTAACTATTAATAGCCTACTGTGGACTGGAATTCTGCTTTATCCACAACATAAACAGTTGATTAATACTTTTTTTTTTTTTTGGAGACAGAGTCTCTGTCATTCAGGCTGGAGTGCAGTGGTGCGGTCTCGGCTCACTGCAGCTTCTGCCTCCCGGGTTCAAGTGATTCTCTTGCTTCAGCCTCCCGAGTAGCTGGGACCACAGGTGCCCACCGCCACGCCCAGCTAATTTTTTGTATTTTAGTAGAGATGGGGTTTCACCGTATTGCCCAGGCTGGTCTTGAACTCCTGAGGTCAGGCAATCCGCCCACCTCAGCCTCCCAAAGTGCTAGGATTACAGGCATGAGCCACTGCTCCCGGCCGAATAATACATATTTTGCATGTTTTATGTATTATGTCCTATATCCCCTTTTTTTTTTTTTGAGACGGAGTTTCGCTGTTGTCACTCAGGCTGGAGTGTAATGGCACAATCTCAGCTCACGGCAACCTCCACCTCCCGGGGGTTCAAGCAATTCTCCTGCTTCAGCCTCCTGAGTAGTTGGGATTATAGGCACCTGCCACCATGCCCGGCTAACTTTTGTATTTTTAGTAGAGGTGGGGTTTCACCATGTTGGCCAGGCTGGTCTTGAACTCCTGACCTCAAGTGATCTACCCGCCTCAGCCTCCCAAAGTGCTGGGATTGCAGGGGTGAGCCACGCACCCGGCCGTATTCTTTGTTTTTTTTTTTGAGACAGAGTCTAGCTGTGTCACCCAGGCTGGAGTGCAGTGAAGTGATCTCAGCTCACTGCAACCTCCGCCTCCCAGGTTCAAGCAATTCTCCTGCCTCAGTCTCCCAAATAGCTGTGATTTCAGGCATCCGCCATCGCACCCGGGTAATTTTTGTATTTTTAGTAGAGACGGGGTTTCACCATGTTGGCCAGGCTGGTCTTGAACTCCTGACCTCAGGTGATCCATCAGCCTCGGCCTCCCAAAGTGCTGGCCTTACAGGCTTGAACCACTGCTCCCGGCCTATGCCTGCATTTTAAAAATAAGATAGAGAAAAGAAAATGTCCTTAAGAAAATCATAAGGAAGAGGAAGTATATTTTCCATTCATTGAGTGGAAGTGGCTTATCATAAAGGTCTTCATGTTGAGTAGGCTGAGGAGGAGGAAGAAAAGGTGTTGGTCTTGCTGTCTCAGGGCAGAGGTGGAAGAAAAATTCACCTGTAAGTGGTGAATTTTGTAAGAGGACCCATGTAGTTCAAACCCATGTCCAAGGGTCAGTCTATATATAGTTGACCCTGAATATATATACAGAGAGAGAGAGAGATGATTTTGTAGATTTTGAAAAAAGTCCTAAGAGAGGCCAGGTATGGTAGCTCACACCCGTAATCCCAGCACTTTGGGAGGCTGAGGCAGGTGGATCACTTGAGGTCAGGAGTTGGAGACCAGCCTGGCCAACATGGTGAAACCCTGTCTGTACTAAAAATACAAAAATCAGGCCAGCTGTCGTGGCTCACACCTGTAATCCCAGCACTTTGGGAGGCCAAGGTGGGTGGACCACCTGAGGTCAGGAGTTCGAGACCAGTCTGGCCAACGTGGTGAAACCTCCTCTCTACTAAAAATTCAAAAATGAGCCAGGCGTGGTGGCGGGCCCTGTAATCCCAGCTACTCTTGAGGCTGAGGCAGGAGAACTGCTTGAACCCAGGAAGTGGAGGTTGCAGTGAGCCGAGGTCGCGCCATTGCACTCCAGCCTGGGCAACAAGAGTGAGACTCCCGTCTCAAAAAAATAAATAAATAATTAAAAATACAAAAATTAGCAGGGTATGGTGGCAGGCGCCTGTAGTCTTAGCTACTTGGGAGACTGAGGCAGGAGAATCACTTGAACCTGGGAGGCACAGGTTGCAGTGACCCGAGATTGCACCACTTCACTGCATCCTGGGTGACAGAGTGAGACTCCATCTCAAAAATTAAAAAAAAAAAAAAATCCTAAGAGACATATCAACCAATTGCAATGTGTAGACCTTACTTGAATCCTTATTTACACAGGCTTAAAAAAAAAAGATATTTATGAGACAGTTGGGTAAATGTGAACTCTGTCTAGATATTCCTCTAGATATCAAGGAATTGTTAATTTTCTTACATGGTATTGTGACTGTGTTTTAAAGTAGTCTTAATTAGAGATACATTTGAAATATTTATGGATGAAGCAACACGGTGGATTGCATGTGCTTTGAGATAAACCATTGTCGGCTGGCTGCAGTGGCTCACAGCTATAATCCCACCACTTTGGGAGGCCAAGGCAGGAGGATTGCTTGAGCCTAAGAGTTGGAGACCAGCCTGGGCAATATGGTGAAACCCCATCTCCCAAAAAAAAAAATATGAAAAGTAGCTGGGCCTGGTGGTGTGTACCTTTTGTCCCAGCTACTCAGGAGGCTGAGGTGGGAGGTTGGCTTGAGCCCCAGGAGCTGGAGGCCACAGTGAGCTGTGATTGCACCACTGCACTCCAGCCTGGGTGACAGAGTGAGATCCTGTCTCAAAAAAAAAAAAAAAAGAGATAGTGGATAGGGGTAGAGATGCAATGGAAATTGGCCATGAGTTGGTCATTGTTGAAGCTGCTTTTGTGTACATCTGAAACTTTCCAGCTGGACGCGGTGGCTCACACCTGTAATCCCAGCACTTTGGAAGGCTGAGGCGGGTGGATCACATGAGGTCAGGAGTTCGAGACCAGCCTGTCCAACATGGTGAAACCCTGTCTCTACTAAAAATACAGAAAAATTAGCTGGGTATGGTGGTGTGTGCCTGTAATCCCAGCTACTTGGGAGGCTGAGCCAGGAGAATTGCTTGAACTTGGGACATGGAGGTTGCAGTGAGCCAAGATTGCACCACTGCACTCCAGCCTGGGGCAACAGAGCAAGACTCCATCTCAAAAAAAAAAAAAAAAAACTTTCATAGGAAAATTTGTTCTTAAGGCAGCTCGAACACTACCTCCTTCCTAACCCCTTTCTCCAACATCCAAGATGGATGTGAGGCCTCTGGGCTCCCCTGGGGCCCTAAGTAGATCTTTGACTCAACAAACAGTCTCTGTTGGGTCTTTTATTTATAAAAAGTTTTGTAGCGACAGGGTCTCACTATGCTCCCCAGGCTGGTCTTAAACTCCTTGGGCTCAAGCGATTCACCGGTCTTGGCTTCCCAAAGTGCTGAGATTACAGGCGTGAGTCACTGCACCTGGCCTAGGTCTTGAGAGACTGGACGGAAGAGGCTTGGCAAGGGCAAGGGCTGTGGGTATCCCAAGGCCCGGTGCAGGGTAGGCCCCGAATGTGTGCTGAAAAAATGAGTCAGAGGATCACCTAGACGGCTTGTTCAACACGGACTGTTGTTCCCAGTCCTGCACACAATTTCTGATTTCAGTGGCCTGGGGTGCCACCTGAGAATCTGCATTTCCCATAGTTCCCAGGTGATGCTGCCGCTGGTCCTGGGAGCTCACGTGGAGAGCTGCTGACTTGGATAACAGTATCACAGATTGTTCAAATCCTAGGATCTCAGAACCCCAGCTAGGGTTGAACTGCATATTAAAGATGATTCTGAGCCGGGTGCGGTGGCTCATGCCTGTAATCCCAGCACTTTGGGAGGCCGAGGTGGGTGGGTCACCTGAGGTCAGGAGTTTGAGACCAGCCTGACCAACATGGTGAAACCCAGCCTCTACTAAAAATACAAAAAATTAGCCAGGCATGGTGGCACATGCCTGTAATCCCAGGTACTTGAGAGGCTGAGGCAGGAGAATTGCTTGAACCCGGGAGACGGAGGTTGCAGTGAGCTGAGATCACACCATCGCACTCCAGCCTGGGCAACAGGAGGGAAACTCCATCTCAAAAAAAAAAAAAGATTCCGGACACTAGTTCTTCCCCTTTTGTGAGTTCAGAACTTCCTGTGAGAAAGTGAAAGCCAGGACTCTTTTTCCCAGAAATACATGCATACATACACACATGTGCATATGATCTCAGGCACTCATGGCCCTCCCTAAGCCTGCCCATGATGGCCCCTTGGCCCTCAGCTTAACACCTTATTTTATCTAGTAGCTCCTACCTCTGAACAGATGAGGAAACTGAGGTCCAACCAAATTGGGTGGTACGGGCTGAGTTCACAGGGATCTCAGTTTCTTGACTTCCTTCTCAGGCTTCTGTGGCTCTTGGAAAGGCTTTATCTTGCCTCTAGGTTATCCGGTGCCACTTGAAGTTGGGTTCAAGCGATTCTCCTGCCTCAGACTCCCCAGTAGCTGGGATTACAGGTGCCCGCCACCAGGTCCAGCTAATTTTTGAATTTTTAGTAAAGACAGGGTCCTCAAGTCTGCCTGCCCTAGCCTCCCAAAGTGCCGGGATGACAGGCGTGAGCCACCGTGCCTGGCTGGCCCCACCAATCTATGAGCAGAGGTTGCAGTGAGCCAAGATTGCACCACTGCACTCCAGCCTGGGTGACGGAGCAAGACTCTGTCTCAAAAAAAAAAAAAAAAAAAAAAGGCATTGTCAACTTTTTCTTTTCTTTTCTTTCTTTTTTCTTTTCTTTTCAAGACAGAGTCTCACCCTGTTGCCCTGGGTGGAGTGCAGTGGCACGATCTTGGCTCACTGCAACCTCTGCTTCTTGGGTTCAAGCAGATTCTTGTGCCTCAGCCTCCTGAGTAGCTGGGATTACAGACAAGCACCGCCACACCCAGCTAATTTTTGTATTTTTAGTAGAGACGGGGTTTCGCCATGTTGGTCAGGCTGGTCTCAATCTCCTGATCTCAGGTGATCCACCCGCCTTGGCCTCCCAAAGTGCTGGGATTACAGGCGTGAGCCACTGCACCCGGCCTCTTTGACAGTTCTAAGAAGTAAAATAAACCAGAAGAAGGCAGGCAGAGAGTAATAGATATTGGGAACTGTTATTTTTCCTATTCTGATTTAAATTCCTTTATTATGGAAAATTTCAAATGTATACAAAAGCAATGAAGATAATGAATGCCCGTAAACTCTCATCCAGCGTCATCGGTAATTAAGATTTTGCCCCATTTCAAATGCAGACATTTTTATATTTTCTTGCATAACTGCAATACCGTATTGCACTAAATGGAACTAACAGTCACTTGGATATTTTGGAAAGGATGGCTCAGAAAGGTATCTCTGAGGAGGTGATGTTCAGTCATGTAACTGATATTTACTAGTACCTACTGCATTCCAGACACTGCTTTAGGAGTTAAGGGTCCCTGAGTGAAGGACATTTGAGCTAAGGTTTAAATGAAGTGAAGGGGCCAGGTGTGGTGGCTCATGCCAGTAATCCCAATGCTTTGGGAGGCCGAGGCGTGCGGATCGTTTGAGCCCAAGTTCGACACCAGCCTCAGCAACATAGTGAGACCGTGTCTCTAAAAAGAATAACAAATTAAAAAGAATAAATAGGCCAGATGCAGTGGCTCAGGTCTGTAATACCAGCACTTTGGGAGGCTGAGGTGGGCGGATCACAAGGTCAGGAGTTCGAGACCAGCCTGGCCAACATGGTGAAACCCTGTCTCTACTAAAAAGACAAAAAAATTAGCCGGGCATGGTGGCACACGCCTGTAATCCCAGCTACTCGGAAGGCTGAGGCAGGAGAATCGCTTGAACCTGGGAGGCGGAGGTTGCAGTGAGCCGAGATCATGCCACTGCACTCCAGCCTGGCAGACAGAGTGAGACTCTGTCTCAAAAAAAAAAAAAAAAAAAAATAGAAAAAAAAAGAAGAAATGAAGTGAAGGAACAAGCTGGAGTGGGTATCTGTGGGACTAGCAAGGCAGGCAGAGGGAACAGCAGATGCAGGAGCCCCGAAATAAGACTGTCTGAGGAACAGACAGGACGCCAGTGTGGCTGGAGTGGAGTAGGCGTGAGAGAGGGAGTTGAGATCAGCCAGATTTGATAGCACCTTGTGGCTCACGGTGAGGACTTGGGCATTTGCCGTGAGATGGAGCCAGGTTCAGAGCAGAGGAGTGACAAGACAATTTATAGCATGCCCATGGAGGGCAGAGATTTCTGTCTCTTTTTTAAAAAAATTGAAAAAAAATTTTGTAGAGACAGGGTCTTGCACTTTGTTGTCCAGGCTGGCATGCAGTGGTGTTATCATAGTTCACTGCAACCTCGAACTCCTCGACTCCAGCGATCCTCCCACTTCATCCTCCCAAAGTGCTGGGATTAAAGGTGTGAGCCACCATGCCTAGCCTATTTCTATCTGTTTCATTTGTCCTCAGTCCACAGTAGATCCCAGCCCAGCACACAGTAGTAGTTCAATAAACATTTGTTGCACAAATAGAGCAGATCAGTTTACATGGAGCTGTGTTATTTTGTATGTTCCAGGGTGTGGCATGCCATGATTTATTTAGCCCCCCCGTGGATGGTCATCTGGCTTCTTACAGGCTTGTCTTAAGCATTGCGTGAAATTAATTATTACATTGCTCTTAGCACTGGAGGAAGTGCTTAATCTGTGTTAGTGATTATCATGACTATTTGTGTTGTTATTAACACAGTGGGTGCAAGGGAGACCCAGATGGAGATAGGGCTGGGGGGGCAACCTAGGGTGACACACGCACCTGGGGAGGAGGGGCATGTGGCTTCTATGGTGGTAGCCCCTCCCTGCCCCTGACGCGTCTCTCCTGCCTGCAGCTCCACGGAGAAGAACTGCTGCGTGCGGCAGCTGTACATTGACTTCCGCAAGGACCTCGGCTGGAAGTGGATCCACGAGCCCAAGGGCTACCATGCCAACTTCTGCCTCGGGCCCTGCCCCTACATTTGGAGCCTGGACACGCAGTACAGCAAGGTACGTCTGGCCCACCGGGCTACGAGATGCGCTTGGGGGGAGCCAGGACGGAGGAAGAGGAGAGAGAAAGAGAAGTAAAGTCAGAGAGGTGAGTTGGCAGGATGGGGAGAAAGAGAGGGATGGGGTGGGGAGGGGAATGAATAAAGAGATGGGGAGAGAGGCAGGAAGCTAGAGAGGGGCTCTGAGCAGGGGCCAGAGGGAGATGAGCTATGAAGACCCACAGAGTGAAGTAACAGAGGGATGGGGGTGAAGGGGAGAAGAGAGACAGGGAGATGGAAGGAAAAACGCAGAAATGGAGAGACAAAATGAGAGAGACAGATACAGACACAGAGTTAGGCCAAGGAGAGACAAAGACAGATACACAACAAGGCAAGAGGCGAAGATGAGGAGGGACAGAGACTGAGAAAGAAAATCAGGCGGGCGCGGCGGCTCACGATGGTAATACCAACACTTTGGGACGCTGAAGCAGGAGGATCGCTTGAGCCCAGGAGTTCGAGAGTAGCCCAGGCAGCAGACTGAGATCCCATCTCTACCAAAAAAAAAAAAAAAAAAAAAAAAAAAGCTAGGAGTGGTGGCGCTTGCCTGTGGTTGGAGCTACTCCGGAGGCTGAGGCGGGAGGATGGCTTGCGCTCAGGAGGTTGAGGCTGCAGCGAGCCATGATCGTGCCACTATACTCCAGCCTGGGTGGCAGAGCGAGACCCAGTCTCAAAACAAAAAGAAAATCAGACAGGTGGGGAGAGACAGAATAAGATAGGATGTTAGAAGATAAGAGAGACCGAATTGGAGATGGGAAGAGGGGATGCGGGGAGAGACGAAGTGAGAGAGGCTGGCGCGGTAGCGGGTGGGGGATGGGGCAGTGGAGGGCCGTTTTCCTCCCTCCACGAGCCCTGAGCCCTGACCCCGCCCGCCGCCCGCAGGTCCTGGCCCTGTACAACCAGCATAACCCGGGCGCCTCGGCGGCGCCGTGCTGCGTGCCGCAGGCGCTGGAGCCGCTGCCCATCGTGTACTACGTGGGCCGCAAGCCCAAGGTGGAGCAGCTGTCCAACATGATCGTGCGCTCCTGCAAGTGCAGCTGAGGTCCCGCCCCGCCCCGCCCCGCCCCGGCAGGCCCGGCCCCACCCCGCCCCGCCCCCGCTGCCTTGCCCATGGGGGCTGTATTTAAGGACACCCGTGCCCCAAGCCCACCTGGGGCCCCATTAAAGATGGAGAGAGGACTGCGGATCTCTGTGTCATTGGGCGCCTGCCTGGGGTCTCCATCCCTGACGTTCCCCCACTCCCACTCCCTCTCTCTCCCTCTCTGCCTCCTCCTGCCTGTCTGCACTATTCCTTTGCCCGGCATCAAGGCACAGGGGACCAGTGGGGAACACTACTGTAGTTAGATCTATTTATTGAGCACCTTGGGCACTGTTGAAGTGCCTTACATTAATGAACTCATTCAGTCACCATAGCAACACTCTGAGATGCAGGGACTCTGATAACACCCATTTTAAAGGTGAGGAAACAAGCCCAGAGAGGTTAAGGGAGGAGTTCCTGCCCACCAGGAACCTGCTTTAGTGGGGGATAGTGAAGAAGACAATAAAAGATAGTAGTTCAGGCCAGGCGGGGTGGCTCACGCCTGTAATCCTAGCACTTTTGGGAGGCAGAGATGGGAGGATTACTTGAATCCAGGCATTTGAGACCAGCCTGGGTAACATAGTGAGACCCTATCTCTACAAAACACTTTTAAAAAATGTACACCTGTGGTCCCAGCTACTCTGGAGGCTAAGGTGGGAGGATCACTTGATCCTGGGAGGTCAAGGCTGCAGTGAGCCCTGACTGTGCCACTGTATGCCAGCCTGGGTGACAAAGCAAGACTCCATCTTTTTTTTATGTTTTTTTTTTGAGACGGATTTTCACTCTTGTTGCCCAGGCTGGAGTGCAATGTCGAGATCTTGGCTCACCACAACCTCTGCCTCCCGGGTTTAAGCGATTCTCCTGCCTCAGCCTCCCAAGTAGCTGGGTAGCTGGGATTACAGGCATGCGCCACCATGCTCGGCTAATTTTGTATTTTTTTTTAGTAGAGACGAAGTTTCACCATGTTGTTCAGGCTGGTCTCGAACTTCTGACCTGAGGTGATCCGCCCGCCTCGGCCTCCCAAAATGCTGAGATTACAAGCATGAGCCAGCGCACCCAGCCAAGACTGCATCTTTAAAAAAAAAAAAAAAAAAAGACTGGGCACGGTGGCTCACACCTGCAATCCCAGCACTTTGGGAGGCTGAGGCAGGGGGATCACTTGAGGTCAGGAGTTTGAGACCAGCCTGGACCACATGGTGAAACCCTGTCTCTACTAAAATACAAAAAAAGGCTGGGCGCAGTGGCTCACGCCTGTAATCCCAGCACTTTGGGAGGCCAAGGCGGGCAGATCACGAGGTCAGGAGTTTGAGACCAGCCTGACCAACATGGTGAAACCCAGTCTCTACTAAAAATACAAAAATTAGCCATGGTGGCGCACGCCTGTAATCTCAGCTACTCAGGAGGCTGAGGCAGGAGAATCGCTTGAACCTGGGAGGTGGAGGTTGCAGTGAGCCGAGATCACGCCACTTCACTCCAGCCTGGGAGACAGAGTGAGACTCCATCTCAAATAAATAAATAAAAATAAAAAATACAAAAAAAAATTAGTCTGGCATTGTGGTGCACACCTGTATCCCAGCTACTCAGGGGCCTGAGGCAGGAGAATCGCATGAACAGGGGAGGCAGAGGTTGCAGTGAGCTAAAGTCGCACCACTGCACTCCAGCCTGGGCAACAGAGTGAGACTCCATCTCAAAAAAAAAAAAAAAAAGAACTTGCACTCAAGGAAGACAGGAGCCATGGCAGGGTTTGACCTAGGCGCTCAGAGGGTCCGCCGTCTTGCTCATGGTTGGGAGTGGACAGAAGTGTCAGGGTGAGGGTGAGCACAGACAGACCAGCTGTCCAGGCAAGAAATGGCAGCAGCCACAGGTGGGTCTCCCTCTGCTGTCTCCATTTCTTCCCATCTGCTATGGTCCTGCTTGTGAATTCTCTCCTGCTTCCTCTTTCTCCTGCCTCTCAGTTTCTGCTCTTTCTCCTAGGTTTCACTTCCCCACACCCAGTGATTGTCCTGGGAGGAAGGACAGTATGAGTGCTGCGGTTCCTTTGCCTGTGGGCATGAGAGCTGTTGGCAGCACTGGGTCTGGGTGCCAGGGACCTGGGGCCCTCCCAGCTCAGCATAGGGGTAGAAATGTGGTTACTCCTCTGGCCTCAGGTCCCAAAGCACACAGGGCTGAGGGAGGAGTGGGGAGGCAGGAGTTCACTATGCAAGGACATGCCAACAAATGGATAGGTATAGAGATGCTGAGGTCTGGCCCCAAGAGGCAGAGTCACAAGCTAGGACACAGTGACTCGGCTGTAATCGCTGCAGCCCTATGAGGATGTGGTGCGTGTACACATGCAGACACACTCACACGGCGGGAAACACGGACGGTGCCCCACACTACACAAATATTCACCTCTCAGAGCCGCCGTGGACACACAGAGATTCCTGCAGGGCCCGTAACACATGGGCTGTGTCATTTGGCAGCAGCTGCAGCCCACATATACACAGATACAAATAGAGAAAGTGTCAGCCCATCACGTAAACACCACCCAGCCTCGGAGCCTCACTGGGACACAACACGAGCAGAGACTTCAATAGGGACCTGGCACAACACAGTCATATACAAATATATTCCACAGGGTCATGGTCGCAACCACCGCACACCAGACACTGATTCAAACAGTGTCATGCACGCACACGCATCACGGCATCAGAGCCCGGACAGGAAATGGATCCCTCAACAGCCACCTCCTCCTCCATGGGTTCACAGTCACAAACAGGTCCAGGGTGCATGTCCACAGTCGGACCTGTCACAGTCCCACCAGACACACCCCACACAGAGGTCTGACACGTCACAACCTCACAGACAGCAGGTCGGTCTTACCCACTCAGTCTGACATCCCACACCCTCCGCCACACACGCACAATTCCAGCCTGGGGAGTCCCACAGGGCCCCACAGATTGCAGCGACCCCGTCACGTCACGCCCAGACACACTGTCACACCCAGGGTCCCAGACGGAGCAGACACACCCCCAGGGTGGCAGACGCGGCCCTCACATGCCCAGCCCCAGCTCGTGCCTCGGCCTGAGGACAAGTGCTGGCTGCACATTCGCGGTGTGGTCGGCCTGCCCAACACGCCCTCATGACACACCCCGCCCACCTGCCCAGGGCTGCCGGCTGAGCTGGCACAGCCCCACAGGGCGGGGAGGGGAAACTGTGGGCTCAGCACCTTCCTCTGGCCGCGTGCGCACTGCCCCTGCCCTGCCACCCTGGCACCCAGGCCCGATGGGTGGCTCAGCCCCGTCGGGACAAGTCTGCCCCCGCCTGTGGCCGACCGCAGGGGCAGGGCAGGGGGTTTGGGGCTCCCCGCTTCCTCCCCCTGCCCCGCCCCTGCCTCTGCAGGCGGCCCGGGGCCACAGAGGGAAGTCGTGGGGGGAGCCTGGGTTCCGGCTGGAGCCCCAGCTTCCTGTCCAGCCCCCGTGGGGCAGGAAGCTGCTGGGGGAGGCCAGCTCAGGCCTTCCTGCCCCCTCCCCCGCCCCCAAGACGGGCCTGGGACCCGGGTCAGCAAGGGGGAGTGGGGAGATTGGTGGGTGAGAGAAAGCCCCTTCCCCCTTAGTCTCTGGACATGCAGAGTATTTGAGGTTCCAGTGTGGATTCGGATTTGTGTGTTCAGGAACTTATTGTGTGCGTGATTCCAAGCTTTGTGGCGTGAGCTGCGTCTGGCATGGGTGTTCTGGGGGCCTGTGTGCTGTTTGGTATGGATGGTCTTGTCTATGTGTGTCCCCAGCACGTGTTAGCTCCGTGTGTTTGTGGCTGCGCTGCATTTCTGGGGTGTGCGTCTGCATTTTGTATTTCTGCTGGGCAAGCTGTTGTATTTTCTGTGGGTTTTATGCTCTGGCACTGTTTGATTCTGCAAGTCGGCCATGTATCTGGGGCATATTGTGTGTCTGATATTTTTCTCAACATCTTCACTGTTCTTCTGAGTGTAAATTTGTGCATTTTTAAGTGTAAGTTTGACTTGAAATGTGGTGTTTTCTGCATATGTTAATCATCTGTGGGAATGGTGTTTCTCCAGGAGAGGGGAGTGAGTGTGTGTGTATATGTGTAAGACGGGGTCTTGCTCTGTCGCCTGGGCTGGAGTGCAATGGCGCGATCTTGTCTCACTGCAAGCTCCGCCTCCCAGGCTCAAGCGATTCTCCTGCCTCAGCCTCCCGAGTAGATGGGATTACAGGCACCCACCACCACACCCGTCTAATTTTTGTATTTTTAGTAGAGATGGGATTTCACCATGTTGGCCAGGCTGGTCTCGAACTCCTGACCTTGTAATCCACCCACCTTGGTCTCCCAAAGTGCTGAGACACAGGCATGAGCCACCGCGCCCGGCCGTGTGTGTTTCTTACATATGAGGCAGATGAGTTGAGTTGTTTCTGGGTTGCACTGTGATCAGTGCATGTGTCGCTGGTATTCTGAGCATGTTTGTCTACGTGGTGTGCATCCAGCATGCTTCCTGTGGTTCTCAGTGTTTGTCTGTGTGAGGGAGGGCTGTACTTCGGGGCTGTGTGTCCATCTCAGGGACTGGTGTTCCCAGCCTGTGGGTGCTGTGAGCAGGTGCTAAGGTGGTGTCTGCATGCTGTGTTCCCACATGTAGGCTGGTGACTGCAGTGTGTGGAGTTGTGTGGGTCTGTTTTGCATCATCGTTGAGGGGATTTCGCGTTCTCAGCAGGGGTGGATGTGTGTTTGTGAGCAGCTGCGAGTGTGGGTCCACATTGTGTGCTGGTGTTTTCAGGGGAGGGGGACAGGGTGCGTCCATGGAGCCGCCTGCATCATGAGCGGCCAGTGCCTGTTGGCCTCCATACCCAGCGCAGGCTGTGTCTGCGGCGCGTCCCCTTGCCGGCTGGTGCCACGCTGGCTCGGAGCTGGCTGTGGCAGCAGGCAAGGCAGGGCAGGGCAGGGGCTGTGGTGGGCACTGGACCCACGCCCAGCCTCGGTATAAATATCCCAGGCTGCCGGCGGCTGTGTTTGCTGTGTTTACTCGGCCTCAGCCCCGGCCGGGGGCGGCAGCAGCCCAGCAGGTCCTGGGGGCGGGGGTGACCAGGCCACAGCACAGACATTTCCTTCTGGCCAGACAGGCCCCGCAACCTTGCTGCCCCCTCCTGCGCCCTTTCTGGGTGGGCGAGAGGCGATGACCCCTCATTCTGGGTTTCCAGTGGCCGCCAGTGAGGCTCCAACCTGGATATCCCAGCCGGGCTTCCCAGAGTGTGGGAGACAGAGGAGATGGGGGGCACGGGGGGCGGGCCAAGACACACAGCAGCGAGAGGGAAAGGGCAAAGTGAGGAGAGGACAGAGCCCCCCAGAGGGAGACTCCAGCAGAGAAAGGGATGGGGAAACGAGGTGACAGGAGCTGAGAACAGAGATGGAGAATGGCTGGGGACACGGAGTGGAAAAGGTGGGGAGGAGAGGGAGGGAGGGAGGGAGGGAGAGGCATGGGAAAAACAAGGGAGGAGAGAGAGGGGAGACGGAAAGTCACGGGGAGACACCGACAGCCAGAGGTGTGGAGACAGAACGAGAAGACAGAGCAGTGGCGGTGAGGGAGGAAGGCAGAGGGCTGGAAAGAAACGCACAGAAGCAGGGAGAAGGGACGGGGGACAGAGGGACAGAGTGACTGGAGCTGGAGGGGGAAGAGTGCAGGGAGGCAGCTTGCTTTGGCAGGACGCATGGAGGTGTCAGACGTGGGGGGCGGGGTGGCGGCCAGGCCAGCGAGCCAGGCCAGGGCCAGGACGGACAGGAGACACGGGGGTGGGGGCCGGATGCCCACCTAGGGGTTGTCTCCCAGCGGGGCCCGCCCTCCCTGACTCAGCCTTTCCACCTACCCCGACCCCGGGAGAACTGGGAGGGGGATGGGAGGCACCCGCCCTGGGGCCCACCACCCCCAGGTCTCAGAGGCAGTGACCAGGGGGTGTGTCTCCCGTCATCCCTACCCCACTCTGTCTCCACCTCTCTTCCTGTCTCCCCATCTAATCCCTGTCCCTGGGACTGGCTCCACCTCTGTCTGTCAGCTAGATGCTCACGTCTTGACCATCTGACTAACCCTAATTCTGACTCAATTTCTGTGTCTCTCATCGCTTTTTAAAAACCTACACAACAAATTTACGTATAGCAAAGTATATTGTAAACAAATTTAATGACCAAATGATAGACTGGTAAAAAATGTGCCTATCACCAAGGGCTGATACCTTTCCTGTGGCCCAGGCCCTCTGCTCTTTAAAAATGGGGCACAAATACAGGCAGGTAAGAGACAGACAGCTCTCATCCTGCACTCTTGGCTTTCTGAGAGATATGACCCCAAGGTCCTGGAGTCTAGCTGCTGCTTCCTCCTCTGGGAAATAGAGGAGTGATATTGGTAGTACCTAGGGCATAGCACTGCTGGGACAATTCAGTGATTTGGGGACTGATCTCCATATCAAGATGACCTGATCCTGTCTGTGTGCGGGACAGTGGCTAGCACGGAGCCCTTGTTAGGCCCGCCTACCATCTGACCCTTCTCAAACCTTCCCGTCTGAGGACATCTGCATGCACACTTGTCCCTCCAATGCTGTCTCACTCTGGATGGCCCTGACACCTGAGAGGCCAGACAGCCAAGTGGTTTCTAGGACCTTTGTGATTCTAGGCCTGGGTTCCTGTTTCATTTCTGCCTCTGATGGCCGAGTGGCCTTGAGGAAGCAACATCTTTCCAGGCCTCCTTTGACCCACTTCACTAGTTCATGGGGCCATCTGAGGATCCAACCCGGTGTCAGGCACTTCGCTCGGGCCTGACAGAGGACAGAAGCGCTCCGTAGCAGAGGCTTTCGTTCTTTAATAGTCGCTCTGAGCATCTTGTCTGCCTCCATCCAGCTCTCACTTTCCCTGTCTGGCTCTAATTCTGGTTGACCCAGAGGGCATAGCTGAGGCTCGGAGGTCAGGAACCGTGGACTCCAGGAGGCAGTTTTGAGGGTCCTTCAGGCTTGGCCACGGCAGGATACCACCATTCCATCTCAGAGGCATGAGGAGTCCCTAGGCCCCGACTTGGTGACCCTTGCCCTGTGTGCCCCCTCAACAGTGGCCAGGCCCTCCTGTGTGTGTCTGCTGGGGGAGCAGGAGCCGGGTGTGGGGGCATGGGAAGGCGGGACGCCTGGGTTCCCACAGGCCCGGTGGCTGAGTCACCAGGCGGCCATCTGGCTCCCATTAGCCCAGGGCGGCAGGGGGCTCCATGGGGCGGGCCCTGCGGCCAGCTGGGGGCAGGGACGCTGGGGCAGGCTGTGTGTGGGATGACTCAGGACCCATGATAACAGCCTGTGCGCATTTGGGGAGTGTAAACAGGAGAGGGAGAGGAAGGCGGAGGAAGGGAAAATTGTGGTTGGGCAGAGGGGGGCTGGTGGGGCTGAGAAGGGTAGAGTCCCCCCTCCCTCTACACTCAAGCTGGCAGGCCCCGTGATCCACAGCCTGGGTCCTGGGGAGAGAAGAGAGCTGCCCCCATCCTCCCTGCCTGGGGTCTCCTCCCTCCCCTGGGGCTGTATTACTCAGTGGTCAGGGTTCTGCTGCCTATAGCAGCCAGGTTTGAGGGAAGGGGGAAGAAGGGGCCCAGAGCCTGGAGTGGGGGATCAAAACCCAGAGATAAAGGCTGAGAGACAGACAGAGAGGGACAGTGAGAGCAGAGGCCTAGAGAGGTGGAAATGTACAAGTAGAAAGAAGAGGCCCAGAGTGAGGCAGAAGGAGAGATGGGAACCTAACAGAAGCAAGGAGGCTCTGAGTGTGAGACACAGCGCAGACATAAACAGAGAGGGGGAGACAGACAGCACGGGAGGCAGCTGCGCTGGGGCCTAGGGGTCAGCACCGGAACCAAACTGGCCACTTCCAGCCACGAAAGGCCCTGCCAGCTGGCCTCCGGCAAGGGGAGGACTTTCACCTTGGGCCCTGCGGTGGAGACAGAGCCTAAGGCAGAGAGAGAGGGGGAGAAAGGGAGAGACAGCCAGCCAGAGCACTGGAAAGAGGGAGCGGGGGTAGGGAGAGAGACAGAAAGACAGAAAGAGACAGAAAGAAGCCCAGACAGACACCAAGAAAGACAGAGGCAGGAGACAGGGTGGGAGAGATGAGAAAGGGAACCCCAGAAACAGTGGGGGTGGGGGTTGTCTGAGATGAGACTAGACCCAGTGAGATGGTGGTGTGTGTGGGTTGTGGGGCACTGCCCTGATGTCCCCCTAGAGAAAGGGTCACTGAGCAGGCCTGGAATCAGCTGCCTTGTTGGGGATGGGGATGGGGCAGGCGGTGGGAAGGGTGGCGGCCATCAGTCCCCATCCAGCTCTGGGCTGGGCGCATCCTCAGGTTCTTCCTCATCAAAGTACCTCTCCTCCTCATCCCGTGCCACGATGTCGAGGTTGTCGAAGTCGGGGTTGTCGTCTACTGTGCTGCAGGAGGAGGAGGCTGTCAAGGACTGGGTCTCCCTGGGACCCTCGGATGCCCAGGTCAAAGGCCTGGGGCACCCTGATGTCAAAGGCCATGTGCTGGCAGCCGTCAGAGCTGACCCTCCCAAGGGAGATAGTGTTTAAAACTCTCAGGGTTTAAAACTCAAGGGAACATTTTCCAAATCAGAGTTTGCACAAAAACTCTGGGCTGGGCATGGTGGCTCATGCCTGCAATCCCAGCACTATGGGAGGCCAAGGCAGGAAGATGGCTTGAGCCCAGCAGTTGGAGCCCTGGGCAACAAAGGGAGACCCTGTCTCTACAAAAAAATTGAAAAAGTAGCCAGGCGTGGTGGTGAGCACCTGTAGTCCCAGCTTACTCAGTTGGCTGAGGCGGGAGGCTCACTTCAGGCCAGGAGGTCAAGGCTGCGGTGAGCTATGATCAAACCACCACATTCCAGCCTGGGTGACAAAGGAGACCCTGTCTAAAAAAAACCCCAAAGCTCTAGTTTTTCTTAAAAAGCTGTAAAATGTGGCGACACATGGGCTTACATTCTCAAGCAGGCAGTGGCTCTCAACAAAGAACCACTTGGGGGTAATTTTGCCCCCACGGCATTTTGACATTTTGACGTCATCACTGGGGGCTTGCTACTGCCCTCCAGTGGATAGAGGCCGGGATTAGCCAGAGCTGACCACAGGCAGGACAGCTGCCCATGCCCTAAGGCAGCAAGTAAACCCAGCAGCACGCACTTGGGTTGCCAAGCCTAGCTTGATTTGGCCACTCAGAGATCTCCTACCCCCTTGCGACCCCTTGCGACTGCTCCAGCCCCTTCTGCCCCTTGGTGCTGCTGGGGGCTCTGGCACCTACTATGGCCTCTGCCAGGAATGCTCCTCCCACTTCCTGCAGGCCTTTGCTGTCAGCCCCTCAGAGAGGCCTTCCCTAGCCACCCTGTCACTCCCCTCCCACTGCTTCACTTTTCCTCATGGCCCCATCACCATGAAGTGCTAGAAAATTCTAGATCTTCCTCACTAGAGTGGGACCCCTTTTCAGGCAGGGAAGCCTTTCGTTGGTTTTGGTCCCCGCCTTATCCCCAGAGCCTGTGGACATCACAGATGCTCAGCACATGCCAACTGAATGCACGGATGGGGGACACGTCGGGGCCACTGCTGCCCTCCCGAGGCAACACACTGTGGTCCCTGCCACCCCCAATTTCCTCCTGGGCCCTGGCTTGGGAACAGCAGTGATGCCTGCTGAATGAGGGTCCCCATGGTCCAGGCCCTCTGCTCACCACTTTGCGTGCAGGAACTGGGGCTCTGAGCAGGCCTGCCTGGCTGGAAGTGGAGCAGCCAGATTCCATTCAAGAGCCAGGGATCCCAGAATGGGAGGAGGCTCTGGTGACCATGGCTGGGCCCCACGGCAGGGGCAATCACAATTCCCACTTTCCTGATGAGCCCACCTCAGGACGGACGTAGGGTCCGCTTATGTGTGGTCACACATTTCACATGTCATCGGGGCTGGATGTGAAACCAAGGAGGGTCCTCTGCTGCTGGGCCCAGTGTTTGGGACCACAAGGCAAAGCTACCTTAAATGACAAAACCAATCTTTGACTGACACATCACTCTCCTGGGTCCTTTTCCAAAGCAGGTGGCCCACGTGTCTCAGCCCTGGGGTGCTACTGGAGAAATGAACAACTGTAACTGTGGGGGCAGCCAGTGCAGGCCCCTCCATGCCGGGCATGAACTTTGCCAGGGGTTACTTCCTGCAGCATGAGGAGGTCCAAGGTGAAGCGGAAGAGGTTGGGCTTCCTAGGGAGACTTGGGGGGCTTGGGGTAGTAGCCTCTGCCATTGCCAGGAGGGAAGTGTTTCAGGGTTTCATTGATACTGAGCTATATGTCATCCCTGTCCATCCCCTGCCTTAGAGGTGAGGAGACTGAGGGTCTGAGATGGACAAGGCTAGTCCGAGGTCACCCAGCCTCTTCCTTTGGCTGTTCAACCCCACATCCTGGAACTGTTTTGGGGCCTTGTAGCTCCACAAAGGGAGACCCCCACAGCTTGTTAAGGGCTCTGCATGTGACCAAAGGCCGTGGGATGCTGGGCTGGGGGATGGGGAGGTGGAGGCACAGGAGCACCTGTAGTCAAAGTCCCCGTCCTTGCCATCTAGGAAGCGCTGGTGCATGCGGCTGGTGAACTCCTCTCGCAGGATCAGCCTCTCCTCCGAGTCGGGAACCCAGGCCTCCGAGTCCTTGCCTGACCTCTGGTCTGCAGAGGGAGAGGAGAGGGGGTGTGAATGCGGGTGCACTCGGGCAGGCACTGAGCACAGAGTCCACAGAGAGCTGCTGCTCCTGTGCCCAGCCTTGCGCTGGGTGGCTCTGGGAACACACTAGTGACAGAGATGGCCCTGGTCCCTGCCCTCCAGGGACACGCATAAAACACATGACCATATAGTGCTCTGGAGACTGTATCCTCGGGTCAGGATCTGAGACCTGAAGGGTGGGAGGAGAGGCATTCCTGGCGGAGGGAACAGCCTGTCCAGACCTGGAGGCGAGGGTTCATTTGGTGCCTCAGAGTGGGGGATGGGGATGCTGCAGCGGTTGGAAGGGCATACACAGAGAGTCAGGCTGGGCAGGGGAGGGACGCAATGTCGGCTTTTGCAGGTTGGGGGCCCAGCCTGCTGCCATGAAGTGGAGACAGACAGGCCTAGGGCTGGGGTGTCTGGAATCTGGGGTCTTCCTGCTACTGGCCCTCACCTTCCTCGTCACTGTCCTCCTCCTCTTCCTCTTCCTCCAAGCAGGCCTCCTCCTCCTCCTGCTGTTGGAGCAGACGCTGCTGTAGCTCCCGCTCCTCGTAGGACTGGAGCAGCAAGTTGGAGAGCGGGCAAGCAGGTCTCCCGGGGGACCCGGGCTTGGGGGGCTGGTGGGTTGGGGTGCGGGCACTGAGCTCCTCCTGGGTGAGATACTGCCCGATGTACTGCTCATATAGCAGGGGGGCCCGGAACCGCATCTGCTCATCACTGAAGTACTCGCCCCCTGCACAGAGGAGAGACAGGGTGGGCATGGGGTGAGCGACTGAGCAGATAGTGTCCATGTGGGTATGTGTGTGATCATGCTTGTGGGATGATGTGCATACACAGTCCAAGTGTGTGTATGCACACATTCAAAAACACAGGAAAACATGCAGGCACCTGAGGTGCGCGTGAGTACTCATGCAGGCGCCTGAGGCGTGCGTGTGAATAATGCAGGCGCCTGAGGCATGCACGTGAATACTCATGCAGGTGCCTGAAGCTGTGTGCGCAAGCACTCATGCAGGCACCTGAGGTCATGTGCATGTGATTACTCGTGCAGGCACCTGAGTGTGTGTATGTGGCCCGGCCTCTATCTTCCTGTGTATTCATGTATTCATGCATCCAAGCATGTGTGTGCATGGGCAGACCTGGCTACATCCTGGCCTCTGAGGCTCTGACGGTCTGGAGCTCGTGTACAACTGTGTCCAGGCACGATGCACAAGCTCCTGCCCATGGACGTGTACATGGCCTATGTACACACACATGTCCTGTGAGGCCCAGCATATGCCCACAGACACCTGTCTGTCTGGGTGTCAGCATGCAGGACAATGCAGCAGAAGTTGTGTGTCTCTAGGTTGTGTGCCTGTTTGTGGGGCCCTAGTCTGGCTGGCAGTGGACACGCCTTCACTGTGGGGCGTGTATGTGTGTACATCCACGTGGATTTGGCATGTGTGTGCAAGGGATCAGGTCAGGTGGGGCATCTGCCCGTGTATCCCTGGGAAAGCCTCCTGGTGGTGGAAGGCCCTAGATCCATCCTCTCTCGAGTGCTCCTCTATGCAGCAACCCCTCAGGTGGGCCTGGCTTCCCCACTACCCCAAAACTTGAGTTCCCTGCATCACCCCTGGCTGCCTGTTTCTGCACGAGTGACTCTGTCCCTCAAATAACAGTTAAACCTGCCCTGGTCCCTCCCCTCCACTGGTCCTAGCCGTGTCTTCAGAGTCCAGGGCAAAGAAACTGCTCGGACTCCTGGCCTCTGCAGCACCATAGGCTGTGACTGTCCCTGTCCTGCTCAGCTTCCCCACTCCTGCCAGCAATCTTACCCCCAGCTGTTTGTGGCATCCTCTAGCAGACTCAGTTTTTTGAGATGGAGTCTCGCTCTGTTGCCCAGGCTGGAGTGTAGTGGTGTGATCTCGATTAACTCTAACTGCAACCTCCGCCTCCCGGGTTCAAGTGATTCTCCTGCCTCAGCCTCCTGAGTAGCTGGGATTATAGGCACCTGCCACAGTGCCTGGCTAATTTTTTTTGTATTTTTAGTAGAGCCGGGGTTTCACCATGTTGGCCAGGCTGGTCTTGAACTCCTTATCTCAAGTGATTTGCCTGCCTCGGCCTCCCAAAGTGCTGGGATTACAGGTCTGAGCCACTGTGCCCAGCCTCTAGCAGATTCAGTTTCTATCCCTCCTTCTCCCCAACTTGGATTATCACCCACCCCGGCTCTGGATCTCTCTCCATCTCTTCCTTTATCTCCATCTTTCTATCTTTCCTGCTTTTTTCAGTTTCTGTCACCTACCCCCACCTCATTCATCTTTCTTCTTTTTTTTTTTTTTTTGGCAACCTCCACCTCCCAGATTCATGTAATTCTCCTCCCTCAGCCTCCCAAGTAACTGAGATTACAGTTGCCTGCCACCACATGTGGCTAATTTTTTTGTATTTTTAGTAGAGATGGGGTTTCACCATGTTGGCCAGGCTGCTCTGGAACTCCTGACCTCAGGTCCACCCCCACCTCGCCCTCCCAAAGTGCTGGGATCACCGGCTTGAGTGACTGTGCCCGGCCCATCTTCCTTCTGTTTTCATCCTCATTTCCACATCTGTGTTTTTTTTTTTTTTTTTTGAGACAAGATCTGGCTTTATCGCCCAGGCTAGAGCTTAGTGGTGGGATCTCAGCTCACACAACTTCCACCTCCCAGGCTCAAGCAATTCTCCCACCTCAGCCTTCTGAGTAGCTAGGGCGCCACCACACCCAGCTAATTTTTGTATTTTTTGTAGAGACAGCATTTCGCCATGTTGCCCAGGCTGGTCTTGAACTCATGAGCTCAAGTAATCTACCCACCTTGACCTCCCAAAGTGCTGGGATTACAGGCATAAGCCATCATGCCCAGCCTCTCTCTCTTTCTCTGTGAACCTCTCTATAACTTGTGCCTTCTCCCTAACGGCAACTTAACTCACTCTGCTTCATTCACTCTCATCTTTTAACTTTGGTTCTGGTGTTGTGGTCACAAGGATGCTTTTAATTATGTCATGGTCAAAAAGCTATCTTTTTTTTCCTTCATGGTTTTCACCGTGTGTCTTGTTCAGAAGGCTTCTGTGTCCCCAAGGTCATGTACATACTCCTTTTGGTTTCCCCTGATGCCTCTGTATATGGTATGAGGTAGGGATCTCATGTTTTGTTCCTTAGGTATGACCAATTATCACAGCACTGTGTACTGTGTCCTCAGCCTACCAATCTGAAATGCCACTTCTAACATCTACTAAATTCTGATCTATTCTCATTGTCTGTCCCATTCTCTTCCCTGGACCCCTGTCTATCTCTCCCCCTTACTTTACATTTCTGTCTCAGTCTCTTCCTGTGTCCCTGTCTCTGTCTCAGAACTTCTCTCCCAGGATCTCTGTCTCTGCTCTTGTATTCTTTTCTCTAATTCCCTCTGCCTCAGTCTCCCCTCCCTCCCCATATGTGCCCACTGTCGCCCATCTGGCCCCCACACCTTGGATCAGCTCTCGCAGGGCAGCATAGCGCCGGTTACGCAGGCGGGTACGCAGGGTGCGGGGCCGGGCAGTGCCCTGCCGGGCCACCTCAGCACAGTAGAAGTCTGCACGGTGGTCGCCACGCACGTGGCCAAAGCAGGCCAGATGCTCCTCACGGAGGCCTGTGCGGAAGCGCTCCAGGAACACCAGTGGCTTCTCGTGGTACAGCTGGGCCAGGATGGCCACTTTCTCATGCTCTGTCAAGTCGGGTTCACCCTGCTGCTGGCTGCAAACAGGCAGGCGGCTGGCGGCTACAGCGTGCAGCATAGCACTCACTGCTGCATTTTCAGCCCCGGAGGTGTCACTGTCCAGGGCCACTGGTGTTGCCTCAGCTGCTTCCACTTTGTCCTGGGGTTTAGATGGGACTGGTGTCCGGCTCAGCTCACCCCAGTGCCCAGGTCCAGGCTCTATGCAGCCTGAGGAAAGGAGAGATTGGTTAGTTCAGAGATGGGAGTGTGGGAAGGGACTGGGGGCTTAGTCACTCACTCAGCTCACATTTACTGGGCACTGACTATATTCTGGGCACTGTTCTGGGCACTAGAGAAACCACAGTGAGCAAAAGTTGACATTTCAGTAGGGGACACAAACAATTAGCAACATAATTACCGAAAACATAATGTGTTAGGTGTTTCCTGGAGTTATGCGGAAAAATAAACAGGGAAGGAGGAGGGAAGAGGTGGAGGAGGCTGCAATTTTATTTTATTTTCGAGACAGGGTCTTGCTCGGTCACCCAGGCTGGAGTGCAGGGCGCAATCACAGCTCACTGCAGCCTTGACCGCCTGGGCTTGAGCGATCCTCCCATCTCAGCCTCCCGTGTAGCTAGGACCACAGGCATATACCACCATGCCTGTGTAATTTTTAAATTTTTTGTAGAGACAGGGTATTGACATGTTACTCAGGCTGGTCTCGAACTCCAGGGCTCCAGCAATCCTCCTGCCTTGGCCTCCCAAAGTGCTGGGCATTAAAGGTGTAAGCCACTGTGACTGGCCTATTTTTATTTTTATTTTTTAAGAGATAAGGCCTTGCTCCATTGCCAGGCTGGAGTGCAATGGCACAACCATGGTTCACTGTAACCCTGAACTCCTGGGCTCAAGCAATCCTCCCACCTCAGCCTCCTGAGCAGCCAGGACTACAGGCATGCACAACCATACTCAGTTAATCTTTAAATTTTTTTTTCTTTTTTTTTTTTGAGATGGAGTTTTGCTCTTGTTGCCCAGGCTGGAGTGCAATGGCGTGAGATCTGCCCACTGCAACTGCCGCCTCCTGGGTTCAAGTTATTGTGGTTGGTGCCTCAGCCTCCCAACTAGCTGGGATTACAGGTACAAGCCAAATGCCTGGTTAATTTTTGTATTTTTAGTAGAGACAGGGTTTCGCTATGTTGGCTAGGCTGGTCTCCAACTCCTGACCTCAGGTGATCCACTCCCCTTCGGCCTCCCAAAGTGCTGGGATTACAGGTGTGTGCCACTGCACCCTGCCAATCTTTTTTTTTTTTTTTTTTTTTTTGAGACGGAGTCTCGCTCTTTCGCCCAGGCTGGAGTGCAGTGGAGCAATCTTGATTCACTGCAACCTCCGCCTCAGGTTCAAGCAATTCTCTGCCTCAGCCTCCCGAGCAGCTGGGATTACAGGTACCTGCCACCATGCCCGGCTAATTTTTGTATTTTTAGTACAGACAGGGTTTCACCATCTTGGCTGTGCTGGTCTCGAACTCCTGACCTCGTGATCCACCCGCCTCGGCCTCCCAAAGTGCTGGGATTACAGGCGTGAGCCACTGCGCCTGGCCTGCACCCTGCCAATCTTTAAATTAAAAAAAAAAAAAAAAAGTTTCAGTAAAGACAAGGTCTCACTAGGTTGCCCAGGGTGGTCTCAATCTCTTGAGCTCAGGCAATCCTCCCACCTCGATCTTCCAAAGTGCTGGAATTACAGGCGTGCACCACTGGACCCGGCCTAATTTTAATTTTTTTTGGTAGAGACAGGGTCTTGCTGTGTTGCCCAGGCTGGTCTTGAACTCCTGGCCTCAAGTGATCCTCCTGCCTCAGGCTTCCAAAGTGCTGAGATTACAGTGTAAACCACCATGCCTGGCCAAGGCTGCAATTTTAAATGGAAGGCTCAGAGAAGGCTTTGCCAAAAAAGTGACATTTGATTAGAGACCTCAGGTGGTGAGGGATTAAGCCATGAGGTCTCTTGGAAAAGAGAATTCCAGGCAGAGGCAACAACTACTGCAAAGGCCCTGAGGCCTGACTTATTGATCCACTCAATTCTTTAAATCGTTAATACATTTGCTAATTTGTTTACTCATTCATTCACTCTCTCATGCATTCATGCGTTCACCCAACCACTCTTTAATAACTCTAAATCTTAGGCCGGGCGCGGTGGCTTGCGCCTGTAATCCCAGCACTTTGGGAGGCTGTGGCAGGTGGATCACCTGAGGTCGGGATTTCAAGACCAGCCTGACCAACTGGGAGAAACCCCGTCTCTACTAAAAATACAAAATCAGCCATTGTGGCACATGCCTGTAATCCCAGCTACTCGGGAGGCTGAGGCAGGAGAATAGCTTGAACCTGGGAGGCAGAGGTTGCGGTGAGCCAAGATCGTGCCATTGCACTCCAGTCTGGGCAACAAGAGCAAAACTCTAAAAAAAAAAAAAGAAAAAAAAACACTAAATCTCTGAGAGGCCCTAAGTCAGGCAATGCTGAGGATCCATAGGATGAATCCAGTCCAGCTCCTGCCCTCAGGGAGCACCCAGTCTGATGTGGGAGACAGTCAGGATCAACAATAATATGGGCAAAGAAAACAGGAAAGCTGGCTGGGCACCATGGCTCATGCCTGTAATCCAGCACTTTGGGAGGCCGAGGTGGGCAGATCACTTGAGGCCACAAATTCAAGACCAGCCTGGCCAACATGGTGAAACCCTCTCTCTATTAAAAATACAAAAATCAGCTGGGCATGGTGGTGGGCACCTGTAATCCCTGCTACTCAGGAAGCAGAGGCACAAGAATCGCTTGAACCCATGAGGCAGAGGTTGCAGTGAGCCGAGATCAGCCATTGCACTCCAGCCTGGGTGACAGAGTGAAGACTCTGTCTCAAAAAAATGGAAAGAAAACAGGAAAGCGGAGCGCTGGGCAAACCTTGGTGAGACTTGTTTCCCAAGAGTGGAGGGAGCAAGCCTGCGGCAAGCAGGAAATACGTGAAAACAGAATATAGAGACAACTTTAAGCAGCGTGGCTGGGTTGGGGAGGAAAGAAGTCACAGGTGACATACATGTGTTGTGTGTATCAGGGAGGATTTAAATCACTGATGCAGCTGAAGACTGAGCTGGACAAGGGCAGGGGCTGTGGAGGAAGGAACAGGATCATGAGTGAGCGAATCAGAAAGATGTCAGGAGGCTGAGTGGAGGAGCCACAGGGCTGACGTGCTGGAAGTAAGGGAGGCATCCAGGGGAATGGTCCGACTGCTGCTACACGGGCCTCCAGACTCCTCAGGAGAGAAATGTTGGGCTGGAGACAGAGCTGTGGGTGTCATCAGAATCAAGACAAGAACCAAAGCCAAGAGAAATGAGAGGTAGGGACTGGGGAGGGCACAGGGGAGTGGGAGAGGGATGACAAGAGGGTCCAGGAAAAAGCACTGCACAGATGCGGGGAGGACATGCCTCTGAAGCTAAAAACTGGCTGTGCAAAAGATAGCTACATCGTAATCCCTGGAGCCCATTACTGTTATCTTAAAAAAAAAGAGGCCGGTTGCAATGGCTCACCCCTGTAATCCCAGCACTTTGGGAGGCCAAGGTGAGAGAATCACTTCAGGTCAGGAGCTCAAGACCAGCTTGGCCAACATGGCGCTCTACCAAAAATACAAAAAATTAGCCAGGTGTGGTGGCGCACTCCTGTAGTCCCAGGTACTCAGGAGGCTGAGGTAGGAGAATTGTTTGAACTCCGGAGGCAGAGGTTGCAGTGAACCGAGATCACGTACTCCAGCCTGGTCAACAGAGCGAGACTCCGTCTTAAAAAAAAAGAAGGCAACGTCAAAAGGGGAAGCAGAGATTGGAGTGATGTAGCCACATGCCAAGGAATTCCAGAAACCACCACTGGCTGGAAGAGGCAAGAAATGGGTTTTCTCCCAGAGCCTGTGGGGAAGCACGACCCTGCAGACACCTGGATTTCAGTTCAGCAACACTGACTTCAGCCTTCTGGCCTTGAGAACTATGAGAGAATAAAGTTCTGTTGTTTGAAGCCATGCAGTTTGTAGTACTTTGTTACAGCACCCCTGGGAAACAAAGTCAGGCTGAGAAGGAGCAGCCTGAGAGACAGGCAGGAAATCAGGCACTGTGGTGTCGCTGAAGCCAAAGGAAAACATGCAAAAAGGATGGAAGGATCAACAGCATTTAATTCTAGTCCAGTCTAGTAAGAAAAAAAACCTGAATGGGCCAAGTGTGGTGGCTCACACCTGTAATCCCAGCACTATGGGAGGCTGAGGCAGGAGGATCTCTTGAGGTCAGAAGTTCGAGGCCAGCCTGGCCAACATGGTGAAACCCCATCTCTACTAAAAATATACAAAATTAGACAGGCATAGTGGCGGGCACCTGTGATCCCAGCTACTTGGGAGGCTGAGGCACGGGAATCACTTGAACCTGGGAGGTGGAGGTTGCAGTGAGCTGAGATCATGCCACTGCACTCCAGCCTGGGCAACAGAGTGAGACTCTCTCAAAAAACAAACAAACAAACAAAAACCTGAATGGGGGGACTGAATTGAACAACATGGGGGAAGTCAGTGCAGACCCTAATCAGAGCAGTTTCTTAGGAGAAAAGTCAGACAGTCGTGAGCAGGAGACGAGGAAATGAAGACCAAGTATACATGACTCTCTGAAGGAGACAGATGGGGCCAAGAGACAAATTTTTTTTCTTTTTTTTGAAACAGGGTCTTGCTCTGTTGCTCAGACTGCAATGCAATAGTGCAAACACAGCTCACTGCAGCTTTGACCTCCTGGGCTCAAGTGATCCTCCCGCCTCAGACTCCTGAGTAGCCGGGACCACAGGAATGCACCATCAAACCTGGCTAATTTTTTTTTTTTTGAGACAGAGTTTTGCTCTGTTACCCAGACTGGAGTACAGTGGTGCGATCTCTGCTCACTGCAACCTCCGCCTCCCGGGTTCAAGTGATTCCAGTTGGTGCCTCAGCCTCCCGAGTAGCTGGGATTACAGGCACATACCACGACGCCTGGCTAATATTTGTATTTTTAGTAGAGATGGGGTTTCGCTATGTTGGCTAGGCTGGTCTCCAACTCCTGACCTGAGGTGATCTTCCTGCCTCCGCCTTCCAAAGTGCTGCGATTACAGGTGTAAGCCACCGGGCCCGGCCTTAATTTTTAAATTTTTTGTAGAGATGGGGTCTGGCTATGTTGCCAGTGCTGGTCTCAAACTCCTGGGCTCAAGTCTCACTCTGCTGCAGAGGCTGGAGTGCAGTGGTGTAATAATCTTAGGTCACTGCAATCTCAAAGGATTCGAGTGACACTCCCACCTTAGTCTCCTGAGTAGCTTGTCCTAGCTACTCCCTAGCCACCAGGCCTGGCTAATTTTTAAATGTTTATAGAGATCAGGTTTCTCTCTCTTGCCCAGGCTGGTCTCAAACTCTTGGGCTCAAGCAACTCTCCTGCCTTGGCCTCCCAAAGTGTTGGGATTACAAGCGGGAGCCACTGCACCCGGCCTTAAGACTTTTTTTAGGTTAAATTTTTTATTTTTAGAAAATTTCAAACATACACAAAAGTAGAAAGTACAACGACAATTCTCCCCCTACCTCCATATACCAATCATCTCCATCTGGCTTCCACAATTACCAATTCTTGGCCAGTGGTGTTGGAGCCACGCTTCCAATCACACCTCACCCGACGTCGGATTACTTTGAAGGTTGTGGGAAAGCACAGAAATTGAGTAAGGACTTTGAAAGGAGCCTGGCTGGATTTCGGACTTTGGGGGAAACGGGAGTTACAATGAAATGAAGGAATCGTTAGATTGGGATAAGTTTGCATGAGGCAGGTAGAAGTTTAGCCTGGAAAGGTAGGAGGATTCGTCTAGAGAGCAAGGGAAGGCTCAGCTTGGTACAGGGAAGGAGGTAATTTGAGAAGGGCTGGTCTGAGGCAATGCAGGAATTAGGCCGGGGTAGAGAGGTTTCTGTTAATTTGAGAGTTAGCCTGGTAAGGAAATGAATTAGGGACATGGAAAGGATTGGTCTGGAACTGGGAAGAGGTTAATTTCGGGGGGAAGGAATGGAGGAAAAGAAGGTCAGCCCGCGACAAGGGAGGGAATAATCTGGGCAAAGTAGTGAAGAGGACCGGTAAAGCTGAGGGGGGTGGGTGTCCCCCTAAAACGAGTCCTACTTCGCGTTCCTGGGGGAATCATTTCCTAGAGACACCGCAACCGCACCCACCCGCCGCCTGCGCGTGACCAAGATCTCACCCTTATCGGGTTCCTTCGCCGCCGTCGCCGTCGCCACGGCCTCCATCCTGATTCTCTCGGACTTTTCAACCGCCCGGCGGGCCCCGCACACTAACCTCCGGCCCACGCACGCAAGAGACACTTTCGCCTGAGAATGTTCCGGGTCCGGGTGCACCGCTGCGCCCAGGCACCGAAGTTCCGGGCCTAAGGCAGACGTTGCATTGCGCATGCGTGCCTCTCTCGGGCTCCGCCCTCCGCAGCCAGGAAGGAAAGGGGCTCCCCGGAGAGTGAGAGACCCTTAAACCTCTCCTGTCAGTCAGTAGGAACCAGAATCATTGTTCGTTTTATCACTGCTGTGACTCCAGCTCCCAGCGTGCTTAATTTTGGGATGGATGGCTAAAGGACTTTCCCCCGGAGCCTGGAGCCGTCATACGCTGAGGGTTCGTGCTCTCGTTTAGACCCCCGCTTGTCCTTTTCCTTTCTTAACTCCTTCAGGAATTCAGGAATATTACTAAGCCTTGACTCTTTTTTTTTTTTTTTTTTTTGAGACAGGGTCTCGCTTTGTCGCCTAGACGAATGCAGTGGCGCGATCACAGTTCAAGTAACCTCACATTCCTGTGCTCAAGTGATCCTCCTGCCTCAGCCTTTGGAGTACTTGGGACTACAGGCGCGCACAACCGCGCCCGGCTAATTTTTAAAATTTTTTTGTAGAGCCAGGGGTCCCACTTTGTTGCCCAGGCTAGTCCCCAACTCCTGGCCTCAAGCAATCCTCCCGCTTCAGCCTCTCAAAATGCTGGGATTACGCGCGTGAGCCACCAGCCTGGCTTACTTCCGTCATCATACCCTGTCTCTGGCTGGCATGAGATGGATAGTGAGATAGAACTTCCCATTTTGTGTTCCCAGGACCTGGAGGAAATCTACAGGTGTGAAACAAGACAACTCTGGTCCTTATTTCCCTATGGGATGGGTGGGGCTCTATTTAGGTGTTACCAGCAGAGTAGACAGACATGTCACTCAGTGGCCAGGGCTTTGATGGATCCAGAGGGCTGAGGGAGCTGTCCACCCCAGGCTGGAGGGTCAAGGAAGCCTTCTTTCTGGGAGGGTACCCTCAAGCTAAGACCTGAAGAACGAGTAGGAGCTGGGTTAAGAGGAAGGTAGGGAAGAGTCTTGAGGAGGATGGCACGTACGGACGGTTCTGGTTGCTGCAAGCACTTCACTACGGTCAGGGCATAGGAAAGGAGCTCTAACTTGAAAGCCATGATTGGGCTGTGGAGGTTTTGAGAACCTCATGAATTTTTATGCAAAATTCCATGTACCTCTGTATTCTCCAATGCAGTGGTTCATGGCATCATTTGTGGGTTCCAAAAAGGACTTATGGCTCCTCAGAACAAAATAAACACTGATTTGATATTCAAAGGGGGAGCAGAAAGAGAGGGCGCCAGCGATGTTACCAGGTGCTAGGCCATGCAGGGCCTCATAAGCCATAGTAAGTGGCTTGACCTCCTTTATTCTGAAGGGAGTGGGCATCAAGGGACTGGAGATGAGACGTGTGAGAAAAACTGGCTGAGAACAGAGGAAGAGCTTCCCCATTTGCATTCCCTTGAGGTCTGGAGTTGTGGAAGAAAGCCAAGGAGGTCCCTATTTACCAACCCAGATTCCTAGGCATTACCAGGAGAGGCCAGCAGAGGGCGCTGTAGCCCAGCATATGGACATGAAGGGAAGGGGACTTTCCAGACTAAAGGCCCTGCCACCTCCTCTCTGGCGCATTCTAGGGTCCCTTTTAGCCACCAACCTTGGTTCCTTCTCACGTTCTGATGCCCTACCCGAGATTCTGAGACTAGTCAGTTTCCCTCCCTTGTTTTTGTTGCCCATCTCCCCTTCACAAGGCTCTGAGCTCCCACCAGGGAAGATTGGGGCTGAATTGGCTTCTCCTGTGGCCCAGCATTGTCTCTCACAAGGAGCCAGGAACACAGCATGTATGAGGGAACGAAGACATAAGGTTGCTAAGGAAGGGGAAGATGGGCCATGGGGATGCAATCTGGAGTCTTTTACCCTGGCTCACTCCTCCAGGAAGCCCTCCCTGCACACCACCCCAGGCTCTCACAGCTGACCACTTGGTGCTGGCAGGTCTTTGTTCTCTCTGGAGTGGGAGCTCTGTGAGAACGGGGTCCAGGACTGCCGTGGCCATACTATGTCCCCAGCACTGTCCAGGACAGCTGAAGAACACAGCAGGTGGCTCACACACACTGGCTGAAACATGAAGCTCCTGGAATCCCCATGAGCCCCAAACACAGAACAGGCAGGAACTGTCCTCCGTGCTGCACACAGGCCAGGCCTGAGGCAGGTGGTCTGTGGATGCCCAGTGATGATGCCAAACAAACCAGCCCTGGTCTCTGCCCCATCAGTCCCACCCATCCCTCCACCTAGAGGCCTGTTCCATGTCCTTTACTCAAAAACTCCTGGAGGGATTTTAGACTGTGAGAGGTAGAGAACAAGAGAAGCACTTTAAAAATGAACTAGTGGATTTTAAACCAGGGACCCTTGTTTAAGCGTGCATTTTTAGCACCAAAATCGGGGCCAGGCACATGAATCCCTCAGTTAAGTTGTTTAATGAATGAGTAAATAATTTCCCTTTAAAGAGGCCCCCACCCCAATTAACGGCCAACTGCAGTAACACTTCAGGGTTTCAACCCTGCTTCCTTCCTGCTAGGAGGTGCCATGTCATTTATTCAAAGAAAACAAAACGAAACCAAACAAAACAGGGCAAACACATTTCTTAATAAGTGCAGTTTGTTAAAATCATGTTAAAACATATGAGTCAAGGGGAAGTAAAAATAAAGGGTATCACTGTAGGAAAAGCTTTTGGGTCTGGCACCTGGGAGACCACTGGAGAGGAGGCAGTGGGAGAAACTTCAAGTTCTGAAGGGAAGGAGCCCCCCAACCTCCCCTTCTTCCCTCTCACCCACTGAATCCCACCAGAAACTACCAAGACGCCCGGAATAAAAGGTTTCAAGTTCAATAGTCACTCTCTCCAAATACAAAAAGCAGTTACAATTCAACTGAACACAGAAGCTTGTGTGCAAAGTTATGGGGAACTGGGGCATCGTATAAAAAGTTGGGTTAAAGATGATTCTGTGGTTTGGTTTTGTTGTGTTTTGTTTTGTGGCTCTTCCTCAGTCACCTGAACTCAGGAAAGAAATGCTTATCTTGATGAAATATCAACAGCCCACCCACAGTAAAAAGACAAATTCTAAAAATTAAAAAAAAGCGCATAATTACCAAAAAAAAGTCACTGCTTCCTCCCCCTCCCCATTTTGCTTTTTAAACTTTTTTTTTTTTAAGTTTTGATTTTTTTTTTAATCCTGAAAAGTAGACAGTAAAACAGCTCCTGGGAGAATTTACAACCAACTGCATGAGGGTCTGGGAAGCTGAGGGGCTGGAGCAGGGTTGGGAGAGTGAACAGGAGGGGATTCTCCCCTCAGTCACTGTAGCCTCACTGTATGATCAAGGGAGGTGGGGATTATTTAGTCAAAAAGGAAGAAGGTAGGAAGAACAGGAGGTGGAAGGCTGGGGAGGTGGGGACAAACAGAAAATAAAAGGTCATTGTTGCCTGTTTGAATCCAGAAAAAAATGCCTGGCCCTATGGAGGGGAAGGAAGCCCCTCAGAGGGGAGGCAGTGGGCTGGAGGGAGGCAGCCCTGGGATGACCCCATCCCCAGCACCACGGGATCTGGCGGGGGCAGAGGAGGGGCCGAGGCAGGCGCTGGTGGAGGAAGCCGGCAGGGGCCTCCGGGAGCCTCTGGGTCACACTGGCTACTGTGTACTTGTGCCACCCTGTGTGTTCCCGGAGTAGCTCCCGTAGTCGTAGTTCCCGTAGTATGGCGGCCACTGGCCCTGGTTCTGATAGTACTGGTTCCACTGCTGGGCATACTGGGGAAAGAAACCAAGAACACCAAGTTGTCCTGCATCCACCACACATTTAGCCTCCCCACCAGCCCCACCCTCACCTAGGGCAGAGACAGCTGCAGTGACAACAGTTGAACACAGGTCCCCTGACAGAGAAATCAAGGCACCTTGGAAAGACCTGACACCACACAGGTAGGCAGTTAGGGACTGAAGCCCAGGTCTCAGCTTGTCAACCCAGTGCCTTTTGGGTATAGCTAGATATCATAGTCAAAAGATTTAGTAACAGGTATGGGGGCCTGGGCACCAACCTGCAGCAGGATTTGGAGCCCCCTGTCTATGGTGCTGAAAGAGGACTCTGAGGCCCCTGGTACTTAGGCCAGCCCTTCCCCTTCACTTGCTAGACTGTGGAGGGGGCTAGGATACCAATTACCTAGCAACCAGTGCAGAAGTGTTGACCAAATGGAATGGCTGCACCAGATGAACGCCAGGCCGAGGCCAGCAGGCTGTCTTTTTAGGGATAAGCAGGGACTTAAGTCTGGGAATACACACCCAGGAGGGGCCCATGGAAGTCTCTCCATCCAGTTGGCCCCCAGTCTGGCACCTACCTGCTGATACTGGTTATAGCTGGGCTGAGGGTAGGTCTGTGCAGTGGGGGGTGGCGGTGGGGTATAGGGGGCCGGGTTGTAACCGCCGTAGCTCCCATAGTTGTAGGCAGGTGGTGGTGGAGGTGGAGGCGGTGGGGCTGTGTAGCCCTGGCTGTAACCTCCCTGGTTGTAGGGTGGCTGGCTGTAACTCGGCTGGAAAGTGGAGGGAAAAAAGCCAAAGCTCTGTGAAATAGAGGAAATCTGCAGATGTGAAATGCTGGGATGGAAAAAGGGCCTTTTTAAGTGGTTGGCCCACAGGGGCCCTTCCCTTGCCTAGTGGACATTGTTTGTGGGCTGAGAAGGAGGAGAGCCAGCTCCATGCCATGGTAGGGCAGGATGAAGGGCAAGCCCCAGGGCTGTGATGTGGACTCTAACCCCAGCTCTGAGACCCCCAGGGAGCAAGGTACACGGCACTTCTTGAAATCTCAGTTTTCTTTTTTATAAAATGAGAATCACAATAGAACAAGAACAACTCCTTTAGCTTGCCCTGGGTATCCAATAAGCTTGTGTGTATAAACCACTGGGTACTCAACAGGTGGTGGTAGTTGTTACTGGAAGATCTGCTGAGAAACAGTAGTGGCAATTGACTAAGTGCTTCCCAAGTACAGGTTGGATCATTACATCATATAATCTCCATATAGAACCTAGGGGTAGGTCCCACTAGCCCCATTTTAAAGAGAAAGAAACTGAGGCTCAAGATGAAATTTCTGGGCCAAGGAAAAAGGACTTGACCCCAGGTCTGCCTAGTCCCAGAGCTATAGTGCCACCCATTCCTCACAACAAACCTTGGAAGGGACTTCTACTAACACCTTTATGAGGAAAATGAGGCCCAGAGACGGGAAGCTATTTGTCCAAGCTCACAGAAACAGGATGTTGTGGGGCTGGGGGTTTGGATCTGTGCCTGCCCAACTCTTGTTCTAAGAAATATTCTAGTTAGCTGGGCCTGGGAACCATCCATTGGTCTCCTGGCAGCTGATTCCAGGCCCGGCATGAGGAAAGTGCTTGGGAAATGGCTGTGCGATAACTGAAAACCTCTCTGGTTTACAGGAGCCTGTGCATACCAGAGCCAGGGCACTGGCTTTCCAAGAATGGGAACTGAGCCTGGAGCTGCTCAGGATTGAAGCTCTCTGTGCAGAGGGCAAGTCCTCAGCAACCTTAGTGCCCTGGTTATTATGTCCAAAAGACAAAGAGGTCAGCCAGCCTGGGCAAGGGGTGACTCCAGTCAAGTGCTTTCTTGGGGATTTAGTGAGGTTAGTGACACTAGCCAAGAATAATGTACTTGCTGGAGGGATCAGTGCTTACAGCCCATCCCCTTGAGGGTGGTGGGAGAAGAGCAGGTTCTGGGAAGGTCTACATTTACTCCTGGGTTTGGAGGGGATCTGGGAATGTGTAGGGTCCATCTGAGTCAAGATCACGGCCAGGGAGAAAGAAGGGCAGGCTAGAGGTTAGAGTGAAGACCAGTAGCTGGGGCATGTGTTGATTTCCCCAGATCCGCCTCCACCTAACTTGCTCAGGTTCAAAAGCACACGTGCGATCACTACATACAAACACACACTCATTCTCTCACCTGTGGAGGGCTGTAGCTGCTGACGGTGGGGGTGCTGGTATTGGCGCTTGAGCCAGGGATGTTGCTGTTCTTATTGTAGGTGCTGGCCCCTGGGGGGTTCCGAGCAGGGCTGTAGCTGGGTGGTGGCGGTGGCTGCTGGGGTGGTGGCTGTGGTGGCGGAGGCTGCTGTGGTGGCGGCTGTTGCTGGGGAGCCCGGTTGTAGCTGCCTCTGTTGTTGGAGTTGTTGTTATCCCGGTTGTTGTTACCCCAGCGGTTCTGGCTATAGCCACCACCTCCGCTGCGGTTGAAACCTGTGTTGGAGAAATCCAGATGAAAGGCGCCATCATTCCCAAATGGCAACCCCAGGGAACTGGGTTGTCTTGGTGACTACTGTGAGCCGGCATGGCCAGGCGCAGAGCAAGAACTCAAGGTGAACAACAAAGCATGTCCTCTGGGATTCTCTAGACCCCCGGGCATACTCCCCTGTCCCAGCCCTTATGACAGGTTTGTCTCATTCACTGGACTGCAAGAATGGTGAGGCAGAGACCAAGGCAGTCCTGGGTTTCTGTGTCCCAGCATCTCAATAGCTGTTGAATATGCAGGAAGGAGATGCTCAAGGAGAGGAAGCTGGCAGGGTGCGGTGGCTCACATCTGTAATCCTAGCACTCTGGGAGGCTAAGGCGGGTGGACCACGTGAGGTCAGGAGTTCAAGACCAGCCTGACCAACATGGAGAAACCCCATCTCTACTAAAAATACAAAATTAGCCGGGCGTGGTGGTGCTTGCCTACAATCCCAGCTACTCAGGAGACTGAGGCGAGAGAATCGCTTGAATGCCGGGAGGCAGAGGTTGCAGTGAGCCGAGATTACACCATTGCACTCTAGCCTGGGCAACAAGAGCAAAACTCCGTCTCAAAAAAAAAAAAAAAAAAAATGAGAGGAAGCTAAGCACTGGTGACAGCCATGAACGAGTCACATCTAGTCCTCTTCAGACCTGGCCAAAGATGTAGCCCCCATTTCCAATAGATTTTGATCTAGATCCTATTTCCAAGGAGCTCATGGTCAGATGGGGGAAGGTTCACAAAAATGACAGCAATGTGACAGAATGTGCACTGTGATATGCAAATGGGCAAAGGGCTTCATAACCAGCGTCCAGGGAGTGGGAAAGTGGGAGCGTTTCTGAGGTCTCCGTGTCTGACTTGTTTCAAGTTTTCTACCAGAGTATAACTCACAGCTGGAGCTCAGAAAACTTCAGTTGCTGATTGAATAAGCAGTCAAAGCCCAGCCCCAACCTGGGAACAGAAAGTGGAGAGTGCTGTGTGTGAGATGTCTCACCTCCTCGGTAGTTGCCTCCTCCACCGCTGCCTCCCCCTCGGTTCTGGAAGCCGCCACGGTTGCCTCCAGGGGGTCCTCGGTTTTCATAGCGCTGGAAGCCACCACCACCCCCGCGGCCCCGGAAGCCACCACCACCTCGGTTGTCAAAGCGCTTTTCAGGGGGTGGCCCAGCCTTGCGGCCTTCCTCGTTGTACTGCCTCACTAGCTTGTCCGCTTCCTCCCGCTGCAGCTCAATGAACAGAACCTCATCCAGGAAGTCCCCAACATCTGGCAACGTGAAGTTGGCTAGGAGGAAGGAAGTGCCCCAAAGAGAACAAGAAGAAGAGGTCAGTACCTTCTGAAGTCTGGTCCCCTCCACCCAGAAGAGTGGCCTTCCAGAAGGGAGAAGGTGAAGAAAACTGGAATAGTGAATAAGAAAGACATAGACAGAAGGGCGGGCGCGGTGGCTCACGCCTGTAATCCCAGCACTTTGGGAGGCCGAGGCGGGTGGATCACCTGAGGTCAGGAGTTCAAGACCAGCCTGGCCAACATGGCAAAACCCCATCTCTACTAAAAATACAAAAATTAGCCAGGCATGGTGGTGGACACCTGTAGTCCCAGCTACTCGGGAGGCTGAGGCAGGAGAACTGGGTGAACTCAGGAGGCGGAGGTTGCGGTGAGCCAAGATCGCACCACTATACTCCAGCCTGGGTGACAGGGCAAGACTCCCTCTCCAAAAAAAAAAAAAAAAAAAAACAGAGAGAGAGAGAAAGAGGTAGACAAAGCCCCAACCCCTCAGCCTGCTAAGTGTCAGGGGCTAACAAAGACTCCTCCGTTTTCTGAAGAGGTGGCTAAGACCCACCTAGACACAGTGCACAGCTCCCTCAGGCCTCACCCCAGGGAATGGGTCAGACAGATGGCATCACCATCCCTATATTTACAGAGAAACAAACTGAGGCCTGCCCACAGTCAGCCCATCTGGGACCAGAGGCAGGGTGAGCACACAGGACTTTCAGCTTTAGCTCCCATACATCCTTTCCCTTGTGCTGCCCCAGCCCCATCCAGCCTGAAAACCCCAACATAAGACAGATGGGTAGCTTTTCCATTCACAGCTGTGGTAGACAAGGAAGGGACAAAGCAGAAGCAAAGAAAGAGTAAGATCAAAAAAGAAATCACTGGGGAGCCAGGGAAGGACAAACTGAGTAAAGAGCTTCTTCTCTCCAGGACCCTGCATTGACGTTCCTCTGGGAAGCACTCATTTCCTACCTTTCATTTCTAAGACCGCATGATCTGGGACATCCTTCCCTTCCTCGTCGGTTCGCTTTATTGTTCGGTCTTTTAGGTCCTCGTCAGTGGGACAAATTACAATAGCTTTGCGCTGGAAGCCTTCAAATGGTCTCATTTTTCGTCTCTGGGCTGACCCATAAACATTTGTCTAAGGGTAAGGTAACAGAAGAGGCAAGAGATGGTACATTAAGAGTTGGTTTTTTCCTCTGAGGGGTATTATGTAGGCCAGGGACTGAGAAAAGGATATCAGTGCTCCTTGTAAGCAGAGAAACTCAGGAAACAGCTCTTCTTTACTTAGAAGATTCTTGAGTCACCCTCAGCAAATGAATTGACTTAGGTAAGTGGCTGCAGACAGGCACAGGGCAAAGGATTCCTAATGGTTGGGACTTTGCTTTTTAATCCTATTTGTTCTTGGTACTGGACCTTACAATTTCTTTTCCCTATTCTAAAAGCTAATACATACTCTTGGTAAAAAAATTCACAGTATAAGGCATAAAGTTTAGAGGAAAAACCCCTGTGTTCCCTTAGTGCCAGCCCTACTTCCCAGAGAGAATGAAGAATGAATTTCTTCCGTGCACTTTTAGAAATATCTATGTGATTTTTTTACACAAAAAGAATTGTATTATGCACATCCTCCTGAGGCTTTTTCATGTAACGTGAAACTTTCTCTGAAGTTTTTCTGTGCAGTATTCTTTTTTAATGGCTGTGTAATACCTATAGATTAGCTATGCTACTAATTAACCAGCTCCTTTGGACAGTTTTGTAGTTTGTTCTTATTAACATTGGTTCTTTTATTCCCTCAGTCCTTCTCTGAAACATCAGCCTCACCCACAAGCTTCTAACCAGCAAGCTCTACACATCAGGAGACTCTGCTTTTCGCAAGTGCAGTTTTGCTCCTAATGTTTCCTTCCCTTCCTCTAAGTGATGGCAGGTGTGTCCTGGGCTGGTGCTGGCAGAGCGGTGCTCTAGCACATATGTGGTTGAGAGCAGTAACAACATCGGCTTCCATTTACCGAACACCTCCTTCATGTCGGGCCCTTTGGGAATGGGGCCTACCTCTGTTGGATTCAGGGTTCCATAGACTCAGCCTGTATACTTGAATCACGAGGACACTACTTAAAAAGTGAGCAGCTCAAACTTCATTTGAGACTTCCTGAGCCTGAACCTCTAGAAGTAAGACCCAGGCACCTATACAGGTACCCTCCCTATGGAAACTCAGGAACTCAGCAGAAACGGAGTAAGGAGTTTTTAACTGCATTTAAACAATTTTTTAGTGGCTCTAATAGGGACCCAAGAAAGAAGCCACAGATGGGGAAAACAGTCTGTAAAGGGGTATATACAAATGGACCAAAAAAAAAAAAATGTATTCTGAAGATGTGGCCTGCTTGGGTGCAAAGAGTCTAGGGTCAAGTCCTGGTGTGGCTACTAACATACCTTGGCCAGTCCTTATAGTTGCCTCATCTGTAATACGGGGTTGAAAAGCCTCCCTCCCTGGGCTGGCAAGGACTGAGTAAGAGAATGTCCATAAAGCAATTGACAAAGTGCAAGAAACTACTCAAGTAGGGGGACACAGGTGGCCTCCAGGGCAGAAGACACCTTGACAGGAAGCGGGCAGTGCACTGGGATGGCCCAGCCTCAGCCTGCTCCTCTGTAAAATCAAGCCCTGAAAAGGGAAAACGGCATGGATGTCTTAGGGTTGCTGTGAGGACTGAATGAGTCCACGTGAGTAAAAGCCCTCGTCTAAGCCCAGGCCCTGGCTCATAGCCAACACTCAACAACTGTGAGCTGCCATTGATGTGGTCATCACTGGGTAGATATTTATACTGTCATGTTGACTTGAAGCAACTCAGACCAAAGAAAAGGTTAAGCTTATAGTGACCTCCCAAGCAGAAAAGCAGGAACAGTGAGACAGGGTGGAATGAACACAGGCTTTGGGGAAGAAACTTGGGCTTGAAATCCCCGCTGTGCCCTTTACTATTTGTGAGACTCAGACAAGTCCCCAAGTAGCCTGAGTCTCAAATTTCCTCGTCTGAAAGACAAGGATCATCACCCTCGTCCTGGCTCTGGAGAGCATTTGCAGATGTAAAAATCTCTGGCTAGTGCCAAAGGAGTGGGCAGTGAAAAGTCAACACCCAGAGTGGATCTGAAAATAAGACCTACAGGACTGACTATCCAGGAGAGGCTTCCCAATGGAAAATACCAAGGAAAATTGAAGCTTGAGGAAAAAACAAGGTTTCAAGAGATCGTCTTCTAAGACATAGGAACAGGGTGCTGGATGTGGATTAGCCAGGGGCCAAGGACTCCAGCACAAATCTGCTGGAAGTTCTGGGGCCGTGGGTGCAGTTGCTTAAACTAACCAGATCCTCTGGCCCTGAAACACGCGCCAGGAAAAAATGTTCTTCCCTGTCCCCCAGGGAAAGTGTCCCTACCCTCACGAAGGAGGATGTGGGCAGTCATGTGGGTGACAGGCACACACATACTGTTCTTGGGGTCTTGGACACCGGCCCACAAAGAGCACTTGGGCCACAAATGGTTTGAAAAGGAACATCATGTTACAGAGGAAAAGTTAAGTCCCCTCTCCCCACTACTCTTCTTTGACTCCATTCCTAAAACCAAAGCAGAACGTGGCATCTGGTCATAGGAAGAAAGAGTTTGGCTTCCTCAGCTAAATATAATTTTCTTCTGACACAAAAGCTCAGAGTAGGTAGGTGCCAGGGTGAATATGGCCCCAGACCATTCTGCATTTTTTTTTTTTTGCCCCTAAGTGATCCTACTTTGATTCCTCTGAACTGCGAGGGCATGGAGTGACAGTCCTGGAGGTCTTCCATGTGGTACAACTGCCCTGTCAATGTCCTGATGAGGGGACAGAGAAGAGAAGCAATGCTGCCAAGACGGCTAGCCCCTGCAGCTTCATGGGATGAGAGGAATGGAGGTGGAGCAGATTGGACTTATAAATAGCTGGCCTTTGTCCTTGGAAGTGGGTAGACTCAGAGATGGCTTCTCAGGCACTTTGGAATTGAGGTGCTGAGAATCAACTCAGCAGTGGTTTTTAAGACTGCACCTCCCTCCACTTACTCCTTCGTTTGGGGAAGGGAAGAAGAGTATCTAAACCACACCAGCAGAAATGCAAATACTTGGCTTTCCTGGAGGAAAGGGAATTAGCTGCTGGTGGCTGTTGCCACAGCAAACACAGTGAGGTCACAGCCCCTGGGCCAGCCCAGCACTTCTGTGGTCGCTGGGGGCTGCTGGCAGCTGTTGCTATGAGACCAGCACAACAGCTAGGTCAGCTTTTCCAGCTGCTTTGGTTCCCTCTGCCTAGCTTCTGCTTCTCCCAGTCCCACCCTGCTTGAAGATGTTGATTCCAAGAGAAAATGTGGCTGTCTGTGTTCCCTGAACCCTGTGACATGGACTAAGGGACAAGAGTTGGGTTTCTCAGAGAAGCTATATGGGGAGTTTTGGTGTATAACAGTCTGAGGGAGGGAGGAGGGAACACAGCAGGTACGAATGATGATGTGACAGCCCAGGATCTCTCAAGCCCCACTGTCCCTGTCTACTCTCACTTGTCACAGCTCACCAGGGTCATACTGGCAGCAGGAGAAACCTAGCTAGATCTGAGGAGCAAAGTGAAGGCTGATGAGGAAAGATTTACTTTGGGCTCAGAGTGAGGTGAATTCCAGTCAAAAGAACCACATTTATAGGAAGAGAACTGGCTGGTGTGTCAAGAATGGAATGGGCTTCAGGCTCTAGGGATGGCTGGCTGGGGATGAAGGAAAGAAACATCCTTCCTCCAAGGCCTGCAAATAAGACACAGGTTACGGTGGGAGACTATTCTAGCCCTGGGTTTCTGTTTCAGGCGAAAGTGTGGCACCTGCTGACCAGGATGCAAATGAGGACTAGAACGACATGTTCTGACTGTGACGTCAACCCATCCAGCCCTGATTCTAACTGATGCCTGGCCTGGCTCTAGCTGTTAGAGCCCTCTAACGGAACTCCCAGGCAACAGTGCCCTACTCTGGGGTGGGCTTGGGCAACATGGCCCTGCGGAGGCTCCCCAGAAGCCTCCAGAAAGGCAACTTGTTTGCCTCACAGCAGGCCAGTCAGTTCCTGTTCTGTACTCCATTTTGAGGCCCTCTGGGACAAGGCCAGAAAGCATCTCATTCCAGAGGCTTCCCACCTCCAACAGAGGACCCCAAAGAGACACCTGAAGCAATGTGGCCTTCTACTCCACCTTTCTCTCTCCTCTGCAGCCTTTTACTAGCCAGGCAAATTTATCCACATTCCTCCGGATGAAAACCTAACCATGACTCCCCACTCTCCTCAGGACAAAGCCCCAACTCTTTTAATCATCCTCTGTGCCCCGACTCAGACATTCCACCTCCAGAAAGCTTCCCCAAATTCCCACCATGGCCCCAACCATTCTAGACTATGGCTGTTTGGGAAGTCAGCAGAGCTGTGATCTATCAGTACACTGAGTGCGTGACTTAGCAGTCCTATAGTCCTCTGCAGAGGCTTCAGCTTCCTCTCTGGTCTACCTCTTTTTCCTCTTCTGATGTTCCACAGCTGTGATGCCCACATCATCTCAAAAGGCTACTCAGGTTATCACAGAATGTAGGTCAAAGCCCCGATATACCTGAGAGTTTGTGCCCAATCACATACATCCCAGGGTAGGAGTTAGAGTCCTGGCCAGACAAACACAGAATCCTGGCTTACAAAGGCCCACCTGGCTTCTGCAGACAACCTCTCCTTCCCTCTCAAGGATGAGCATTTCTAAGGCCAACCTACATAACAGGAGGCTGGAAGAGCCAAATCTGGGGAGATCTGACCACTCAGGAAAAACCAGTAAAGGCAAAAGATGGTTCTGGGCTGAGATCCAGGAACTGCAGGGATTTTGCCTGTAGTATGGGTTTCCCCTTTGGAAATTCCACCTAGCCCAGGAGACAGCTATGCATCATCAACTTACCTGTCACCGCCAAAGCTGGTGGAATGGAAGTGCCAGGATTGGCCAGGGGCCTGCTCTGAACCCTCTATACACAAACACACAACTTCCCCCTCCCTCTTTCTCATACCCAGAGTTTTCTGGAACCCACTTTTGGGGTTTAGGCCAAAACAGGTGAAACCACTGGCTTTACAATCCCTCCCTCAGCCTGAGTAGCCTATGGCTTCAGGCCCCGAGGCAATCCTCCAATCTGTGGTTAACCAGAGAACCCTCCTCCCCAGCCTTCAGAGTTTAGGTTCTCTGTCTCATTGTTGGCCAAGATCTCTTGGCCTGACCCACATGTCCCTTAAGCAGGAGGCTGGTAGCCCTGAAGACCACAGGCATACCTGGTACAGCCCTAGACCCTGTCCCTGAACAAGCCAGCAGCAGCCAAGAAGGCTGACAGTAGGTCTTCAGAGTGCAAAGCTGTCATGGGCCTGGCTTCCAGAGAAAACCCACTTCAGCATCCTGGACAGAGATGTTAGACGATCCACTCTAGACTATAATCATTCTCCCCTAGGCCACATATTTGAAATGAGTTTCACAGCTGATTTAACCAGCAAACCAAGAAAAAGACAGGGAGGAATACTGGCTAGGGTATCCAAAAGAGGTATGTATCCTCAGAGTGTTAAAATGGTATTACTGCTCTCCCTTTCACGACAATGAGTCCAACTGGGGTCAATACAGACTAAAAAAATTCTTGAATGCCCCGACAAGGAGGATCAGGTAAAGTGAGGCCAAGGGTTTAAAAGACAAATCTTCAAAGCGGAGAGAACACTGATTGTACACAATATGAGCTGGGGGGATAACCACGGATGGCTTTTAGACTATCCTGTGCTCAACTGTTTTGTGTAGGATCCTCATTCCTATGTGAAGGCAACTCGGTCTCTGGCGATTCCTTTCTAACAAGCAAACTACCATTCTGACAAAGCCAAACGCTGTCCCCACCTCCACTCTTATCAGGAGCCCTTTGAACTCATGGTCACCAAGTATCCAGGCCTACACGTATGGAAGGCACTTCAGGAAGGCTACAAGGGCAGGGTGTTACTTAGTTTACATATTTGCTCACTCACAGGTTCTTAAGAAAGCACAAATGCAAGGCTGAAGGGAACAGAGGCTCATTCACAGATCCCCAAACATAGAAAATAAGGAGACACCCTTTGTTACTTGTGAAAGCCTTCAGGACAAATGTCAATAGGCAATGACGTTGCATAGGCAATAACCATGTGGAACTCATTACTCTGAGACAGGAATCTGTAATGATTTTTGGGTCACTCATCCTTTTGAGAATGCTGAAAGATAGGGACAAAAAACTGTTTTTTTTTCCCTTCTTTTTCATAAAAAGGATACACCTGCAGCTGCATACAATATTTATGTTCAAATACAAAGGTTCCAAGGTCCCTGATGTTAAGAACTCCACCATTAACTGAAGTGTAGGTAGAAAATATGACTTAGGTATGTACCTGCCAGTCATACGTATTTGTGAAGAGAAAATGACGGAAGCAATAATAGCATTTACCTTACAGCACTGCTGTTGGCATGAAAGCTACTCTACCTATTCTGTAGAGTATTTAACAATAATCACCAGCTACTAAGTGCCAGGTCCTGCGTTAGGGGTGCAGATGGTATTGAGATCCCTGTTTTACAAACCAAGAGATGGAGATTCAGAGAATAAAGTCAGCTGCCCAAAGGCACAGAGCTAGGGAGTAGCCGAGCTGGCATTCAAGCTCCAGTCTCTCAGGCTTGGAAATCCATACTCCTTCCATTTTGCTAAACAGTTCTTACCTGATGTTCTTTGGGGCTGCTGATGAGTCTGAGTAAGTAGGCCTAGATCATGATCCCAGTCCAGGCTCAGCTGTGTGTAGTACCATGTCATCATGTATGACAAGGTCTGACCCCCCCGACTAGCACAGCAGTCCATCATCATTACGGGGGAAAAAAGAAAGGGACCAGAGGGAGATTCTCAGGCATGCAAGGGGTCCCCTCCCTTCTCCTGAGGACACAATGGTCATCATTAAGTACCTGATCTAGGATATAGTTGCGTTTCTTGCGGGCAGCAATCTGGATGAGGCGGTTGAGGCACTGGGTGGCCTGCTGGATCAGGACATCCCAGCGGCCAGCATAGTTCCGCTGCCGGCGTAGGCCCATCACCTGCGGGCAGGAATTGGTGAGGGGTGAGTGATTTTAGTTGCAGGGCAGCACTCAGTAGGTTGGAGGTGAGTAAGGAGAGTCCAGTGGCTGGCCTTACCCGCATCTTATCCATGATGGCATTGGTACCCAGGATGTTGTACTTCTTGGAAGGGTTGGAGGCTGCATGTTTGATGGCCCATGTGGTCTTGCCAGCAGCAGGCAGGCCCACCATCATCAGAATCTACAAGAACAAGACAGGGAAGGTGTTGCGGCATGGTGGTATGGCACCACTTGGCTCGGTGGTGACTGTGAGTGTGACTCTGGACCTCTGAGCTGTGGCTGCCTCTACAAAGCGGAAGCAGTAATACCATCTACCTCACAGTACTGGTATCGGGATTCAAAAAGATCAGGCTTGTCAGACTCTGAGCACAGTGCCTGGGACAGGGTGAGCATTAAGTCAAGTGCTGGCCAGGCACGGTAGCTCACGCCTATAATCCCAGGACTTTCGGGGGAAAACAAAAACAAAAAACCAAGTGCTGTCATCATTAGCATTTATAGTATTTTGTTTTTTTGAGACAGGGTCTCACTCTATTGCCCAGGCTGGCGTGTAATGGCCCAATTACAGCTCACTGCAGCCTTGAACTCCCAGGCTCAAGCAATCCTTCTACATCAGCCTCCAGAGTAGCTAGAACTACAGATACAAACCATCACACCCAGCTAATCTTTTTCTCTCTTTTTTTGGTAGAAATGAGAGTCTCCTTATGTTGCCCAGACTGGTCTCAAACTCCTATACTCAAGGGATCCTCCTCCCTTCTTGGCCTCCCAAAGTGCTGGAATTATAGGCATTTGCCACCAAACCCAGCCCATTTACAGGATTATGTGACCCATTCCCCGCCCCCTGCAATAGCCCAGGGAAGGCTGTGTACTGGGACTGGCCCCATGGAGTGGGTAGAAGTGGTACAACTTTCTTTAAGTATGAAATAGGAACAGAGCTGCACACACAAGGACATGAATTGTATCTAATCAGTACATTTAGAATTTGGTAAACACAGATGCATCTTAAATGCCCGACTAGGGGGGAGTGGCGAGTTTGTAAGGCCATTAAGAATGACGTTCATTCCCTTGAAGGATTTTTAAAAAAGAAAAAATGATGTTCAAAGAGAGGTTTTTATGTGATGGGATAAAGCTCACAAAATAATGTGAAGTGAAAAGAGCAGGGTATCATAATGCTTATACCATAGAATCTCAATGATAAATGTTTGTGAGCATAAAACAGGCACTTAGACATTAAAAAGAACAGATGAACTCCAAAACTCTGCAAGTAAACTTATTTGTAGATGATGGCATTATGAAAATTTAAATTTTTTACTTCTTAATTTTCTAGAACAAGCATAAATAACTTACACATACAAGAAAAATATTGTTTTAAGAAAAAAGACACTAGTATAGCTCTTGGAATCAAATCTTCCCAAAGGCCATTTATCTTTTGATAGCTCTGGGTGAGAGGTGGAACTTACTCAACCTCCTTCAAGAACACTCGGTGGGCCAGGCTCAGTGGCTAAAAAAGTTAGCCTGGCATGGTGGCATGTACCTGTGGTCCCAGCTACTCGAGAAGCTGAGGTGGGAGGATCACTTGAGCCTGGAAGGTCAAGGCTGCAGTAAGCCGTGATCGCACCACTGCACTCCAGCCTGGGTGACAGAGCGAGACCCTGTCTCTAAAGAAAAAAAAAGAACACTTGGTGGCACAGTGCACTCCCCAAGAAGCGCCTAGTGTCCTTTTCTGCTGTAAGAAAAGCCTCCTTTTCCCCTATTCTGGCCTCACTTAAGAAGAAGATGCAATCTTTCTGAGATTTAGGTAGCCTCTCCGACTTCAACTTAGGTCACACCAACACCCCTCACCTCACACTCAGAGCAGCTTTTCAGCTCTGAGTCCAACCCTGAGGAGCTGGGACAAAGTGGCCACTTGCCCCAAGGCTACTCTCGCAGCAAGTCTGTGTGTGTGTGTGTGTGTGTGTCTCCTCTGTCTTGGCAGCAAGGTGGCCACCAATACATTCTGGCCCCACTCACCTCACATTCTGCCTTGCTCTTTGGTCCAACGGTGCCCCGGATACGCTCACTAAGGGGAAGGTGCTGGATGAAGGTAAACCCCGGGAGGACAGAACAGTAGGGCTCTGCTCTCTGTCCGAAGTTGAACTCCACTGCGCAATTCTTCACCAGGACATGAGGATAGAGGGCCTGACCCCCCAAGGCTTCCTTCTGGATTCGGAAAGCAATGCCCATCCACTTTCCATTCTTGGTAAAAGACAGTTCCACGTCATTTCCACATTCAAAATCCTAGGAGAAAAAGCCAAAGGAATATGATTGCCAACTCTTGCCATAGGCACTGGGAGTCAAATGTGAGGACAGTAGATGCAGGGAGTAGAATGTGGACAGCTTTCCAGATTGAAGTGCATCCTTCCCCAACATACAGGTAAGCTGGGCAGCATCAGTGAACATCTCAGAGAATGTCCAGCCCAAAGTCCTCCTTGCCTAAGACCCCAAAGTTGGTGGATATGAAGCAAGTAAGCAAGAGTTTTTTTTTTTTGTTTTTTTTTTTTTTGAGACAGGGTCTCACCCTGTCCCCCAGGCTGAGTGCAGTGGCACAGCTAGGGCTCACCGCAACCTCAAACTTCCAGGTTCAAGCAATCCTCCCACCTCAGCCTCCTGAGTAGCTGGGACTACAGGCATGTTCCACACCTGGCTAATTTTTAAATTTTTTTGTAGAGACAGGGTCTTGTTATGTTGCCCAGGCTGGTCTTGAAATCCTGGACTCAAGTGATCTTCCCACCTTGGCCTGCCAAACTGTTGGAATTATAGGCTTGAGCCACTGCACCTGTCCTAAAGCAGGTAATTTTAAGAAGCTCCAAGTATTTGAGTCTTGTGCCTAGACTGAGATGAAGACGAAGGAAAAGGTGGTCCAGTCCTGTCCTGAAAACTGATGAGGAGACAGGTGCAGTGGCTCACGCCTATAATCCCATCACTTTGAGCAGCCAAGGCAGGAGGATGCTTGAGGCCAGGAGTTCAAGTACAGCCTGGGTAACAGAAAGAGACCCCATCTCTACAAAAACAAACAAAAGAAACCCAGAAAGGGCAGTCTATGAATATAACAGATGAAGGAAAGCCACCGCAGGGCCTTTTCGAACTGAGTTCAGCTTGTTCAACATGTTCCCTGAGTTCGTACTCTTTCTGATACACATGTCTGCATAATCTGGGACCGACAGAGCTTAGCGACCAGTGGGGAATGAGACAAGGACACTCTATCATAATTCAGTAAGATGACCTACCTAGAAGCAAGTTTCTGAGGTTTCTCAGTTGCTTGTATATAAGCCTAGCAGTGACAGAACACAAGGTCAGATTGGCTGAGGCATAAAAGATGAGGGGGAAGTAATTCAGGAACAGCTGAAGAGCCATGCAGGGACCACATTCATTTATTCTGTAACAACTACTTATTGAATTGCTAAAGTTAGTAATTAAGATCCCCCCTCTTTTTGTTGAGACGGAATTTCACTCTTGTTGCCCAGGCTGGAGTGCAATGGCGCAATCTCGGCCCACCACAACCTCCGCCTCCTGGGTTCAAGCGATTCTCCTGCCTCAATTAGCTGGGATTACAGGCATGTGCCACCACGCCCGGCTAATTTTGTATTTTTAGTAGACGGGGTTTCTCCATGTTGGTCAGGCTGGTCTCGAACTCCTGACCTCAGGTGATCCACCCGCCTCAGCCTCCCAAAGTGCTGGGATTACAGGTGTGAGCCACTACGCCTAGCCTATGATCCCATTTTAGAAGGTGGATGGCTTCAGTTCTACCATTTACTAACTTGTGGCCTTGGTTAAGTTATTTCATCTTGTTTCTTTATCAAAAAAAGGGGGGCGGGGTAATAATATTTTATACAGCCTATGTTTATTCTAACTGTTAAATGGGCTAGTACATTTAATACACAGTGAGCACACAAGGAATGTGAGCTATCACTGCAAAATGTCAGGCACTGTGCTAGAAATAAGGGGCTGGGACTGAAGTGGTGGGAGGGGACACGGCCTACCTCGGCATGTGAGGGACTCTAATTTACCGCAGGAATTTGAACTTGATGCTGGTGGCAGAGCAGAGTGTCTGACTTATTTTGAATAGAGGAGCAGCCTGCTCAAAACTGTGTTTTGGAAACATTGCTTTGGCTGCAGGATACGAGAGGCTCTTTTTTTTCTTAGTGTTTTTTTGCCTTTTTAAAATTTATATTTTTAAAACGTTTGTTAAATATTTTTCTAAATGCCCATCTCAGAGAAGAAAAGGCTCAAAACTTGAGATTAGATAGCAGACTGAAGCAAAATACACGGTTCGCTTTCTGATATGAAAGTATAATTTCTTTCTCTATTCAGGTGACCACCTTGGGAATTGCCCTTCAAGAAGCGACAGAAGCACCCTCCCTTGAGGAGCTTCCTCATTAACCTCCTCAGTGCTCACAGGGCACAGCTCTGTGTCAGAGGCCCTCATGCCTGTTCATCTCTAAGCATGCACCCACGTCAAGACCATGGAGAGCGGCTGGATGTGGTGGTTCACGCCTGTAATCCCAGCATTTTGGGAGGCCGAGGTGGGCAGATCATGAGGTCAAGAGATCAAGACCATCTTGGCCAACATGGTGAAACTCCGTCTCTACTAAACATACAAAAATTAGCTGGTCATGGTGGCGAGTGCCTGTAATCCCAGCTACTCAGGAGGCTGAGGCAGGAGAATCACTTGAACTAGGGAGTTGGAGGTTGCAGTGAGCCGAGATCATGTCACAGCACTCCAGCCGGGCAACAGCAAGACTCCTTCTCAAAAAAAAAAAAAAAAAAAAGACCATGGAGAGCAGGTATGACTGTTGGTGTTAGTTAGCCTTCCTTATGGCCACCAGCTTCACTATAGGAACTTCCCATAATGCACAGAAACCGGCGCCCTCAACCAACCCATCTACCACCAACAGAGCCATCTGTCCAAAAGGCAAGTGGAGTTGTGTTGTTGTTCCTGCTGAAACACTCCTGTGTCAGTCCCAGGCCTAAAGACCCAAACTCCTGAAGCCTGGCATAATTCAGAGCCTGCCATTTTTATAGCCTGGTGTCTCACACCTCTTTCTGTTGTCCCTAGGCTCTAAGTATCATACTCTTTATGGTTTGCTGAAATGGGTTATTCTGTTCTCCACTTGGAAGGCTGTTTTACCTTTTTGTTTTGCAAATTGAGGACTTGATATTTGACACCAATGTCCTCCCCTCTTGTTCCAGGAGACCAATGATTTTTACACCCCCACCAACTCCTCACCCTGAGCCTTTTTAAAGTTGTGGTATCTTCTGAACAAAGAAAACTATATAAGGAATCTTAAGACTGGATGCAGAGATGTTCTGGTTGAAGCAAGAGTCAAGGCCTAGAGTTCCATACTGCCACATACCAAAAGAACCTCATACTCTGAAAGAACAGACTTTGGCAAACACTGTCACACAGTGACAAGTTAAATTACTGCAACCTGTTTGGAGTGTAGTCTTGGTGGTAGCTATGAAAATTTAAAAATATACCTTTGACTTAGAATCTAACTTTCAAGAAGGAATACAACTACATTCCCACAAGAATGCAAAATTCTATGTGCAAAATGCTCATGCCAGCACGGAAAATGTGCTCCAATGGGGAAGTAGGAGTGGCTAAATTGCACAGGAGATCCATATGTGGGGCTACAAAAAGATCTCCAAGTTACTCCAGTAAATGGAAAAAAGACAAGCCGCATTTATCTGTTCCAGGAAACAACTTTCACAGCCACTAACAGGAAGACGGGCTAAATTAAAGCAGGGTACCCAAACCCCTGCATCAGAATACTAGACAGCCATTACAGTCACTAAATACAAAGCTGCAAAAGTAACGACATGTCCACCAAAGGGAGGCGCTAGGTTAAATCAATTATGGTACAGTCATACAATGACTACAGACAATATAAAAGTACAAAGAAGCTCTCTTGGTAGTACCATAAAAAGATCCCCACCAAGGCCGGGCATGGTGGCTCACGCTTGTAATCTCAGCACTTTGGGAGGCCAAGGAGGGCAGATCACCTGAGGTCGGGAGTTCGAGACCAGCCTGACCAACATGGTGAAACCCTGTCTCTACTAAAACTACAAAATTAGCCGGGCATGCTGGCGCATGCCTGTAATCCCAGCACTTGGGAGGCTGAGGCAGAAGAATCACTTGAATCTGGGAGGCGGAGGTTGTGGTGAGCCAAGATCATGCCATTGCACTCCAGCCTGGGCAACAAGAGCAAAACTCTGTCTCAAAAAAATTAAATAAATAAAAAGACCCCCAAGACATACAAGTTAAAAAAAAAAAAAAAAAGATGAAACCCCGAGTACCAGTGGGTTCACATGCTGGGGAGGGTATATGTGAAAAATGGGTGGGGCGGGAGGGGGGGTGTCTAAAGAAGACTTTACACTGTATCCCCTTTTACATTCCTCGATTTTTTTTTGGAAACCCTATTCTTGAAAAAATCAATTCACAATGATTAACTATTAAGAAACAACTTTAACTGAGCTAGATCTATATATTGTCTGTGTGGACAGGGAAAGATGGCCAAGATTTACTCTTCAATGGGAAAAAAATGCAAGGTTTAAAACCGAACAATTTGTAGAGTATGAACACAGTTTTCATTTTAAAAATGTTTTATTGAAAACATATTGAGGGCCGGGCGCAGTGGCTGACACCTGTAATCCCAGCACTTTGGGAGGCTGAGGCAGGTGGATCACCTGAGGTCAGGAGTTCGAGACTAGCCTGGCCAACATGGTGAAACCCCGACTCTACTAAAAATACAAAAATTAGCCAGGTGTGGTGGCGCGTACCTGTAGTCCCAGCTACTCGGGCGGCTGAGGCTGGAGAATCGTTTGAACCTGGGAGGTGGAGGTTGTGGTGAGCTGAGATTGCGCCACTGCACTCCAGATTGGGTGACAGAGCGAAACTCTGTCTCAAAAACAAAAACAAAAAGATACTGAGATCCTGAAATGCAAAAAAAGGCTGAGAAACTGTTTCAGGCTAAAGGAAACTAAAGACACATGGCAAGAGAATGCAATATGATCCCAGGCCAGATCAGATCCTGAACTAGAAACTCAACTGGACGAAAGAATATTGTTGGGACAAGTGACAAAATTTGAATGCGCAGTAGATAATAGCATTATATCAAGTTTTAAATTTAATAACTTTACTGTCATTAATATCTTTACTCTTAAGAATCAGCCAGTTGTGGTGGCTCACACCTGTAATCCTAGCACTCTGGGAGGCCGAGGTGGGCGGATCACGAAGTCAGGAGTTTGAGGCTAGCCTGACCAACATGGTGAAACCCTGTCTCTACTAAAAATACAAAAATTAGCTAGATGTCGTGGTGTGCACCTGTGATCCCAGCTACTTGAGAGGCTGAGGCAAAAAAATCACTTGAACCTGGGAGGCAGAACTTGCAGTGAGCCGAGATCACGCCACTGCACTCCAGCCTGGGCGACAGAACAAGACTCCGTCTCAAAAAGGGTACACACCGACTGGGCGCGGTGGCTCACATCTATAATCCCAGCACTTTGGGAGGCTGAGGCGGGCGGATCATCTGAGGTCAGGAGTTCGAGACCAGCCTGGCCAACATGGTGAAACCCCGTCTCTACTAAAAAATACAAAAATGAGCCAGGCATGGTGGCAGGCGCCTTAATCCCAGCTACTTGGGAGGCAGAGGCAGGAAAATCGTTTGAACCCGGGGAGGCGGAGGTTGCAGTGAGCCGAGATAAAGCCATTGCACTCAAACCTGGGGGACAAGAGTGAGACTTCTCTCAAAAAAAAAAAAAAAAAAAAAAAAAAAGAGTACACACCGAGCCTGGCACAGTGCCGTGCACCTGCAGTCTCAGCTACTAGGTTGGGGTGGATGGCTTGAGCCCAGTTCTGGGCTGTAGTGCACTATGCCAATCGGCTGTCCACACTAAGTTCGGCATTGATATGGTGACCTCCTGGGAGTTAGGGACCATCAGGTTGCCTAAGGAGGGGTGAACTAGCCAAGGTAGGAAACAAAGCAAGTCAAAACTCTCATGCTGATCAGAAGAGGGATCACCGCCTGTGAAAATGCAGCAAGACCCTGTCTCATTTATTAAAAAAAAAGAAAAGAAGGAATACAGACCAAAGTAATGAAGACATGATGTATGCAACCTCCTCTCAAATGGGTCAGATGAAAACACAGCTGACCTTTAGCAACACTGGCTTCAAGCTGGGCAGGTCCACTTACATGTGTACTTTTTTCATTCAATATACTGAAAATATTTGTGGACACTTGCAACAATTTGAAAAAACTCTCAGATCCCTATGACTAGAAATACTGAAAAAAAAAAAAAGGAAAAGTTAGGTATGTCATATGAGTGCATAAAAATTGTAGACACTAGCCTATGTGTTAATTGACTGTTTATGTTATCAGTAGGCTATTAATTTTTTTTTTTTCTCACCTCAGTCTCCTGAGTAGCTGGGACCACAGGCGTGTGCCACCAGGCCCAGCTAATTTTTATTTCTATTTTTGGTAAAGACAGGGTTTCCTTATGTTGCCCAGGCTGGTCTTGAACTTCTGGGCTCAAGTGATCCACCCAGCTTGGCCTCCCGAAGTGCTGGGATTACAGGCGTGAGCCACTGCGCTCAGCCAGTAGTTAAGTTTTTGGGAGTCAAAAACTATACGTGGATTTTTGACCGCATGGGGGTTGGTGCCCCTAATCCCTGCAAAGTTCAAGGGTCAGCCCATTGTTTAGGGACAAATAAACCACTTTGACCCCTTCTGTACTAAACTCATGGGGTTCTTGGTGGCATTCTCCAATATCAAAATAATTTTAAAAGGGAACCACATATTGGAAAGGTATTTCCTAACTTCAGAAACAAAGCATCAATGGAACCAATCTAGAAAAAGGATTTTCATCATCCACACCTTCTTGTTGTACAACCAAATGACTGGCAACTGGTGTTGAGGATTTAGGGTTTGAGAGTTACCAGCTTTATAAGTAACAGTCCTGATCATCAATCTGACAGAATTTGCTGGGCATGGTGTCTCCGGCCTATAATCCCAGAACTTTGGGAGGTCAAGGAGGGCGGATTGCTTGAGCTCAGGAGTTTGGCGAAACCCCATCTCTACAAAAAATACAAATTATTAGCTAGGTGTGGTGGCGCAAGTATGTAATCCCAGGTACTTGGGTCGCTGAGGTAGAATAGCTTGAACCGGGGAGGCGGGGGCTGCAGTGAGCTGAGATCATACCACTGCACTTGGCATTAAAAATCTGTTCAGGCAGATATCCCTTCTCTTCAATTATACCTTAATGATGCCTGGGAACTTGTTTGTTGCCTCTTCGTTGGCAGAAGCTGCCTTTCCTGTAAAGAATTTTTAAGCCAAACCTCTTTCTAAAGTTATTAAACCATCCTTTGCTGGCATTAAATTCAGCAGCTTTAGATCTTTCCCCTTTCTTTTGCTTTATGTTGTCATATATAATGACTTCACTTTTTCTTGAATTATAGCCTATAGGTATGCCCTTTTTTTTTTTTTTTTTTGAGACAGAGTCTTGCTCTGTTACCCAGGCGGGAGTACAGTGGCGCAATCGTGGCTCACTGCAAGCTCCGCCTCCCAGGGTCACGCCATTCTCCTGCCTCAGCCTCCCGAGTAGCTGGGACTACAGGCGCTGGCCACCACGCCCGGCTAATTTTTGTATTTTTAGTAGAGACGGGGTTTCACTGTGTTAGCCAGGATGGTCTTGATCTCCTGACCTCGTGATCTGCCCTCCTTGGCCGCCCAAAGTGCTGGGATTACAGGCGTGAGCCACCGTGCCCGGCAGGTATGCCTTTCTTATAGCAACTCTGTACCTACACAAAAGCTGCAGTTTTATTTATTTATTTTGAGACAGAGTCTCATTCTGTCATCCAGGCTGGAGTGCAGTGGGCCAATCATAACCCACTGCAGCCTCCTGGGCTCAAGCGATCCTCAGCCTCCTATCTGGGACTACAGGCGTGCATCACCAACCCAGTTAATTTTTATGTTTATAAAATATTAAAAGTTTGTTTTCACCATGATGCCCAAGCTGGTCTTGAACTCCTGGGCTCAAGCGATCTGCCCACCTTGGCCTCCCAAAGTGCTGAGACTACAAGTGTGAGTCACAGTGTCCGGCCTTGCATTGTCAATATATGATAAAAAGTGCAGGGATTTAGCACCTGCTAGCACAGCAGTAGTGATGGCTTCGGGAATTTTTTCTTTTTTTCGTTTACAGTGGTCCTTATGCTGGATTAATCTTGAAATGGCAGGCAACTACAGCTGCAGACCTCAATCTATAGTGCATATCAACCAATTCAAATTTTTCTTGTAATACCATAACTTTTTTCTGCTTCTGAGCAACACTTCCAGCATCACTAGTGGAACTTCGTATGGATCCCATGGTGCTACTCAAGGCTTATGATATTGCAGTAACATGATTAAAAAATACACAAGAATTGCGAGATCACTTTTTACTGTGATACACAATTTACCGAAAAGAACTGCTCACGTGAAGATGTATGACACACAGTGTTTTAAGTAGAAACTTGCAACAATTGAGCTCACCATAATAGCAATAGGAGGTGGCTTCAAAATTATTACAGTATGCGCTGGTTAATTTTATGCAGTTGGCTGGGCTTGGTGGCTCACACCTGTAATCCCAGGACTTTCGCAGGCCGAGGTGGGCAGATCACTTGAAGTTAGGAGTTCAAGACCAGCTTGGCCAACACGGTGAAACCCCATCTCTACTAAAAATACAAAAATTAGGCCAGGTGCAGTGGCTCACACTTGGTAATCCCAGCACTTTGGGAGGCCGAGGCAGGTGGATCACCTAAGGTCAGGAGTTCAAGACCAGCCTAGCCAACACGGCGAAACCCCAACTCTACTAAAAATACAAAAATTAGCCAGGCATGGTGGCGTGCACCTGTAATCCCAGCTACTCAGGAGGCTGAGGCAGGAGAATCACTTGAACCCAGGAAGCGGAGGTTGCAGTGAGCCGAGATTGCGCCACCGTGCTCCAGCCTAGGCAACAAAGTAAGACTCCGTCTCAAAACAAAACAAACAAAAAACAATAATTAGCCAGGCGTGGTGGTGCACACCTGTAATCCCAGCTATTCGGGTGGCTGAGGCACAAGAATCACTTGAACCCCGGAGGCGGAGGTTGCAGTGAGTTGAGATCGCGCCACGAGACTCCAGCCTGGGTGACAGAGAAAATAATCTGTCTTCAAAAAAATAAAATAAAAACAGTTATGATTTAATACTGTACTGTTTGTTTACATTTCTCTCAACTGTGAATGGTACCATGTAGAGTCTGTGTGCACAAGTTTTGATAAGTTTTAACTTTTTGTAATAGATTTGTGGATATTTTATGCTAGTAAATGATGAAACAGACTAGTACCTACTTATATTTTATGCATTCATGACATGCTTAACTTTTTCTTAATCTTACCGATATTTCTAGGCTATGTCTGTTGTTTCAAATTGTTGCAAATCTCCAAAGAAGTTTCCAATATATTTATTGAAAAAAATGGCCGGGCGCGGTGGCTCACGCCTGTAATCCCAGCACTTTGGGAGGCCGAGGCGGGCGGATCACGAGGTCAGGAGATCGAGACCATCCCGGCTAAAACGGTGAAACCCCGTCTCTACTAAAAAAAAAATACAAAAAATTAGCCGGGCGTAGTGGCGGGCGCCTGTAGTCCCAGCTACTTGGGAGGCTGAGGCAGGAGAATGGCGTGAACCCGGGAGGCGGAGCTTGCAGTGAGCCGAGATCCCGCCACTGCACTCCAGCCTGGGCGACAGAGCGAGACTCCGTCTCAAAAAAAAAAAAAAAGAAAAAAAGAAAAAAATATGCACATAAGTGAACCAGTGCAATTCAAACACATTGTTGAAGAGTTAACTCTCTATGTGTATGTACACCATAAACATGAAAATGGTAAAGCAAATGTGGCAAATGTTAGAATCTGGATAAGGCCCTGTGAGAATTCTTTATTCTCAAGCTTTTCCGAGTTTGAATTTATCTCAAAGTTAAAAAAAGAAGAAGGGGCCAGGCGTGGTGGTTCACACCTGTAATCCCAGTACTTTGCAAGGCCGAGGCGAGCAGATCATCTGAGGTCGGGAGTTCGAGACCAGCCTGACCAACATGGAGAAACCCCGTCTCTACTAAAAATACAAAATTAGTTGGGTGTAGTGGTGCATGCCTGCAATCCCAGCTACTCAGGGGGCTGAGGCAGGAGAATCGCTTGAACCCAGGAGGCGGAGATTGTGGTGAGCCGAGATCGCACCATTGCTCTCCAGCCTGGGCAACAAGAGCAAAAAACTCATCTCAAAAATAAATAAATAAATAAAAAAGAAGAAGGAAGAGTACATGTGTACAAATATGAAGGAAGGCAAAAGAATAAGCTTCAGAGGATGAATCCATCCAGGTGGTCACTTCCTCTGGGGCCTTACGGCACATTTTACAAACATCTCTTATAACTCCTAATGTTAACAGTATTAAGTGGTATTTACTGAGCACTTACTGTGTGTCAGGCATTATTATAAGTGCTTTTAATGGATTAACTTAATGACTCCACACAAAATTCTGAGGTAGGTGCAAAGATTCTCATTTAGAGGGAACTGAAAAACAAGAAGGGTAAATTGCCCAGGGCTTGAATGGAAGAACATAACTGGGTCCAGGGAGTCCAGCCCAGAGCTGACAGCCATACTGCACAGCAAGGTGACTGCTGGTCACTGTTCTCAAAGACTGAAGTATGGCAGCAACAGCTGTTCTGTTTTGCATCATCTCTACTCTTCCAGAAGGCAGTGCATTGTAGGAAGCCTGGCTCAACCAATGTGAGATGAAGAAAGGGAGAAGTTTTGGGATAAGATGATGCCAACATGGGGCAAGAGCCAATACCACTGCCTTCAGGAGCAGACAGGCTATTTCCTAGCAATGAAAGATAAGAAATTCCTAGGTTTGTTTAGAAAATGTTACTCTGGTACCTAGGAACGGAGGAAGGCTATGCACACCTGAAGTCCCCAAACCTCTTCAGGGTGTCATCTGAAAACTTTGCACACAAGACCAGAGGAGATGGAATGACAGAATTTCCCACAAAATGACAGTAAACATTCCAGTCTGTCAAGCAGAGACAAAGAAGTATGGCGAGAGTGGCTGGATATGGGGCAGACAATGGATAGAGGTATCCTGAAAAAGAAGTCTGTAGCCCAACATCTGGTTCTGCCAACTCCCACAGGCTGCTAGCACTCACCGCAAAGCAGCCAATCACATCGTTCTCTGCAAACTTGTCTCCGTAGTTTTCAAACCGGCTATTGGTGGACTTCTTCCCAGTGCCTCCATAGCCATAGGAGAAAGGCTCTTCGCCTGACGGAAGAAATAGGCAAAGGCAGGTTAAACCTGCGATGGTCATAACAGCCTCAATGGCTGCCACATACTTTTATTTTTGAAGAAAAAAATCATTTTCTTTACTAGTTTTATTAATCAGATGCCTTTTTAAAATAGGGGTGGGGAAGGGTGAAAGGAAGCCCTTAATGATGTAGAACTTGGAGGGCTTGATGGGTTTCATTGTCCAGTCTGGGAGTAGGAGCTCAACTGAATAACTCTGCACAGAGGGGAGAATTTGAAAAGAAAGGGAGGAAGGAAGACAGGAGTTGGGATGGAGGAGAATGGCTGTATGCTGAGATGCAACCCTTCCTTGTGACACCCAATATTCAGTCCAGTCTACTTGTGGTAGAAATCAGTGAAGGGGCTGGATTTTGCTCCTGGAGACCATGAGGACTGACCCCTGGGAAAGGTACTAGATTTCCTCAGGCTACAGAACTGGGTGCTGAAGTGATATGACTGAGAGATCCCAAGGGCTCTGGCTGACACCTGAGTTAGAGATTCCGGGCAGAACCCAAAGAGTATGCTGTTAGAAAAGCAGGGGCCGACAAGCATGAATGCCAGGGCTCGTTCTGCTACAAACCAGCTATGTGACCCTGGATATGGTGCTTGACCTCCTGGGCTGTTTCCCCATCCCTATCAACTGCCACCACCTACATCTCAAAACGGAGACAGAGATAAGATGAGATGACTTATGAGTCTTAAATAAAAAGTGCTAACACATATGGAAATGAAAACTGTATACTTTTTTTTTTTGGTGCTAACATATCTACCTTTTTGAGGAGGTACCAATTTATGGGGTACATGTGCAATTCTGTTACATGCACAGATTGCATAGTGGTCAAGCTTTTAGGGTGTTCATCACCTAAAAAATGTACATCGTACCCATTAACCAATTTCTCATCCTCCTCCACCTTGTTACCCCCTAACACTTCTGAGTCTCCATTATCTATTATTCCACTCTCTAAGTCCATGTGAACATATTTTTTAAACAAACACTTGTGAGTGAGAATATCATCTATTTTTAAAGATTAGTCTTAAGTGGTCAGGCAATTATGGACCAGGATAATGGCTCAAGTGTTAAAACAGCAAAAATTTGCAATAAGTTTAAATGAGCTACAGAAGGGGACTTGTTAAATAATGCAACTATAAAATGGAAAATTATGCAGTAGTCAAAAAGCTGCAGTTATTTACAAAAATATGCCCATCATACATTAAAACAAGGCTATACAAAGTAGTCCTAGTGTGATCCAGTTTAAAGATGTACAAAAAAATAAATGTCCAGAAGACTACAAATGGAATGTTAACATTGGTTAGTTTCTCTCACAGGTTTAGGAAGGATTTTCATTTTTCCCTTTCTGTATGGCCTGAATTCTTATACGCAACACATATTATTTTCATAATTGGAACGTTTGTATGATCATAAACGGAAGGCAGGAGGTGTCAGCATTGGTCAGAATAATCAGTCACTTGGGACCAGAAGGTCATTGAAGCCTGGGGACCCGCAAAATTCAAAACCTTTCAATAGGCAGCCCCTGCCCCTCTCCCAACTAGCCCTGGCCTCACTGGTCTCTGCTCCCCTTTTTCCTCTAGGTTAGGCTCCGGACAGAAAATACAGACAGAACTTAATGGAGCTTGGGAACTTATCAGCAGCTTGGTTTAAGGGCAGGAGACACTGATCCTTTTTACAGAAAGGGAATAGATTCCTAAAGAGAATTTTGGACCCTCTCCTAAAAGATGAAGGATAAGAATTGATTCTTCACAGAAAAGTTGTTTCATGACCATAGTCCTCTCAGTTGAATACAGCATGACAGAGACAGTGGCATATACCTAATCCTTGTACCTGTTCCACTTCAGCCTAGTTCTATTCTAAGTCTGACGCTGGAAAAGGAAGCTTAGGAGCCTTGAAAATCCAAGGGTAGGGACAGTCACTCTATTCTCTGGACTGCATAGCTGACCCCTCCTTACCTAGCTGGGTGCTGCAGGAGTCCAGGGACCAGCCGATACGGACCACGTGGGGGTCAGGCTCTGTAGACGGAAGGTGCTTCACGGAGATTTCCTCATTGATCTGAGGAAAGAGGACAAAAGGGCTCAGGGTTGCTTCTCTGGAGGCCGTAGGTTATGAGCCAATATAGGAGGGAAGCATATCAGGCATTAAAAAATAGCAATGGCTTTTCTTGCTGGAGAAGAAGCGTTTAAGCAGCTCTGAAAAGCCTGTTGAACCGAATCGAAGCCAGGGCCTCCAAAGGGATCAGTAGAGTACAGGGCCACAGAGACAGGCATTTCAAAATACGGTTATGTTTTAGTTTAAGAGACTCTTGTAACATCTAGTAGAAAGATAAACTGTTACAGTGTCTTTAGAGGGCAATCTAGAAGTCTCTATCAAAACTGTAAATGGCTGGGGATGGTGACTCACACCTGTAATCCCAACACTTTGGGAGGCCAAGGCAGGAGGATGGCTTGAGGCCAGGAGTTAGGAACCAGCCTGGCCAACATAGCAAGACCCCATCTTTACAAAAACATTAAAAGAAAAAAACAACAAAACCCCATAAATGCACATGCTCTATAACTCAGCATCCTATAGATACACTAATATGTGGACAAGTATGTCTACGTATGTGTGACTGTATTTGTATATGCAACATTCTGTGCAGCATTGGATGTATATATGTGCACATATATATATATATATATATTTTAACATCAGAAAAAATATCAATAAAGCACTGATTATGGTATATCCATGCCACAAAATATGATGCAACAGTTAAAAAGAGCAAAGTAGGCCGGGCACGGTGGCTCAAGCCTGTAATCCCAGCACTTTGGGAGGCCAAGGTGGGTGGATCACCTGAGGTCAGGAGTTCGAGACCAGCCTGGCCAACATCATGAAACCCCGTCTCTACTAAAAATACAAAAAATTAGGCATGCGTGGCGTCATGCACCTGTAATCCCAGCTACTTGGGAGGCTGAGGCAGGAGAATCGCTTGAACCCAGGAGGGAGACGTTGCAGTAAGCAGAGATTGCGCCACTGTATTCTAGCTTGGGTAACAAGTGAAACTCCGTCAACAAAACAAAACAAACAAAACAAACAATCAAACAAACAAAAAACAAGGAGCAAAGCAGTACATTGGGCTAATGTACTGCTATGGAAAAATGTCCAAGATACAGTATTAAGTTAAAAAAAAAAAAAAAGCCTTCTGACTTAATTTCGTATTAAAAGACTAGACTGCCGAATATCCGTATCTACCTGTGGCCTCACTGGCTTTTCAGACACACATTTTAAAATCTCTGAAATCAGGATCCATTTTACAATAAATGTGATGAGAAAGCACTGCGTATGCTGGGTGCGGCAGCTCACGCCTGTAATCCCAGCACTTTGGGAGGCCAAGGCAGGCAGATCACCTGAGCTCAGGAGTTCAAGCCCAGCCTGATCAACATGGAGAAACCCCATCTCTACTAAAAATACAAAAATTAGCCGGGCAGGGTGGCACATGCCTGTAATCCCAGCTACTGGGGAGGCTGAGGCAGGATAATTGCTTGAACCCGGGAGGCAGAGGTTGCAGTGAGCCGAGATCGCGCCACTGCACTCCAGCCTGGACAACAAGAGTGAAACTCCATCTCAAAAACAAAAAAACAAACAAACAAAAAAAGAAAACACTGCGTAGTTTATTTTGTTGCAGTGTTTCTCTATGAGAGGTACATAAAATAATGCACAACTTACATCAATGGTGTCGTGGTCAATAAAATATAACCCTCTGTGTTTCAGCTTCTACCTCTAAAAACTGGGGCTAACAGTACCTGTTTCCAGATGGTACTGTGAGGATTAATGGAGATAATCCATGTAAAGAGCTTGGTGCTGTATCTTGTGCATGCAAAGAGCTCTATACTTATTAGCTATCATCAGTAAGTTTGGATACACAAACCACAGGTAAGAAATTGTTAACACAGAAGTTCCCTCCAGGGAGTAGGATGGTAGGATGGGAACTGAGAGGACATGAGAATAACCTGTTTTGTTTTTTTTGTTTTTGTTTTTTTGTTTTTTTTTTTTGAGACAGAGTCTCACTCTGTCACCCAGGCTGGAGTGCAGTGGCGTGATCTCGGCTCACTGCAACCTCTGCCTCTTGGGTTCAAGCAATTCTCTGCCTCAGCCTCCTGAATAGCTAGGATTGCAGGCACCCGCCACCATGCCCGGCTAATTTTTTTGTATTTTTAGTAGACAGGGTTTCACCATCTTGGCCAGTTTGGTATTGAACTCCTGACCTTGTGATCCACCTGCCTTGGCCTCCCAAAAGTGCTGGGATTACAGGCAAAAGCCACCACACCTGGCGAGAATAACCTGTTTTATCCTGTACTTTTCTGTGCTGTCTGAACTTTTGTTAAACATGAGCATCTATTATTTTCATAAACATAACTTGACATGGAACTGTGGAGAGATGACAGCAGAGGCTGGCCTAAGCTGGCAGTTCTTTGCCCTGTTCTCCCTCTGGCCTCCCTTTAATAAGTGACATCTGAGTCTATTCTTTCTAGATCACTTTTCTTCCAAACAACTTCTTTTCTCAGTTCTACAAACATGTCATCACTACACTGGTTGACTACATAATACCTGGGTCAAATCTCACCAAGGAAATATCTGCTTGATGAAGCAATGCATGGTTGGCCTGCTTTTCTGATATGATATTTAGCAATGATGTAGTTGTCTTGAGTTCATCACAGTTTTGTCTGCTTGGACATGGTATTGCACAATCCAATCTCTTTTGCAGTTGCAGCTCTGACCAAGGTGGCTGGTATCAGGATATTACAATGGATGGACTTCTCTGTCCCTTCCCCTTCTCTTGCTCCTACTCACCTTCATCTCGAAGCATACACGGCCCCTTCTGACCCCATAGCTGGCACGGGCTCCTGACCACAGGTATGCAAAGCCCTCAATTGTGAGCGGATAGCCACTACTCCGATCTCGGGCCACCTTGAAGTGGAGGTCGCAGTTATCTGTGAAGGAAAATGCCCACAGTTGGCTGATGTTTTTATTTTGTTTTGTTTTCTTGAGACGGAGTTTCACTCTTTTTGCCCAGGCTGGAGTGCAATGGTGCGATCTTGGCTCACCGCAACCTCCGCCTCCCGGGTTCAAGTGATTCTCTTGCCTCAGCTTCCTGAGTAGCTGGGATTACAGGCATGCACCACCACACCTGACTAATTTTGTATTTTTTAGTAGAGATAGGGTTTCTCCATGTTGGCCAGGCTGGTCTCGAACTCCCGACCTCAGGTGATCCACCTGCCTCGGCCTCCCAAACTGCTGGGATTACAGGCGTGAGCCACCACGCCCGGCCTGGCTGATGTTTTAGAAGTCCTAAGAAAGAAGCAGGCAGAGGGAACTTCCCCAAGTGCTGACCAGGAGTACACAGTGAACACATCATGGGGGCAGTTTCAAAAGGAACCAGCACACCCCTCAACCTCTCTCCCTTTGAGTAGGGAGGATGTGCAGTATTGCAAATTGGCCTGTATGACCTCAGAGAGGAACTGGGGTTCTTTATCTGGTGGGATCCAAGGATGGGGCTTCAGGGGTATCCTCAGAAATTGTCAACACATGTCTTTGGTGGGGATGTGTATTTGCTAGGGATAGGGTCCATATCCTCAGCAGTTTCAAATTAATTTTTTTTTTTGAGACAAGGTCTCGCTTTGTCACCCAGGCTGGAGTACGGAGGCATGATCTCGGCTCACTGCAACTTCTGTTCTCCTGCGCTTAAGCCATCCTCCCACCGCAGCCTCCTGAACAGCTGGGACTACAGGGATATGCCACCATGCCAGGGTGATTTTTATATTTTTCGTAGACAGGGTTTCGCCATGTTACCCAGGCTCAAACTAGTTTTTAGAATACAAAAAGGTTAATCACCACCACCATATATTCCTACCGCCCTCTGTGGTAATTCTATCAATTTGGGAACCGGACTTCTGTTTCCAATAGCTATACAGGGATCTGACCCTGATCCACACCTGCCACCCAGGAACCAATGCCCAGGTGCCCCATAGGCTCCTAATTCCTTTCATGGGCCTAGGACTCTCCTACTGTTGCTCTTACCCTTCTCAATATTCTCAATATTCAAGGAGCCAGTCACGCCTCCAAGAAAGCCTTTCCTGACCATCCCTCCCATGAGGCGCTCTCCTTTCTCTAAAGGCTGACCGTCATGATCTGTACATTTGCATTTCATCTAGACGCTGCCTCATGAACCACTGCCACCCAACACTTTTTAAACAATGTTTACCTCTACTCTGGGTAGATGTTGTTTTCGAGAGCTTGTGATATTAGAGATTGTGTATATTTTTATCTCTTACTAAAGCATGTAGCCAGTGCTTTATAAACAGAAGCTTCTGTAGAAATAGATGAATAAATTGCTGCTTATCTTCTGCTCTGTTGAGAAGTGCAGTGTTCTCAGACCTGATTGGGCTTCTGGGTGCATGTAAAAATTTAGATTCATAGGCTCGACCACTTAGACTCTTGACTAGGAGGTCTGAGCGAAAGGACCTTTATAATAATTCCTCCAAATGCTCAGATGCACAGTGAAGGTGAAAGCCACTTATCCAGTGGAAAGAAAACTGAACTGGAGGACAGACAGCAGGGCGGGCCAGGTTAGTGCCTCACAGGACACAGTGGCATTGGTTTCACCAGGAACTTGAGCAGCTGATGGAAACGGGAACTGGTTGTCAAAGAGTTAAGTTTCCCCAGCTGCACTCAGATTCCCTTCCTGATTAGATGACAACCCCTGTGTGTACAGGGCGGTTCAGGGTTTTCCAGATTGCTCCTATATCCACTGAGGAGTCTCCCTGAAAATCCTCTGAGGTTAGTACAGCAGATTTACTCCTTCCTGAAGGGAAGCTCAGAGAAGTAGAATGACTTGCCCAGGGTCCCACTGCTAGAGTTGGGAGTAGGTCTTTTGCCTCCAAACCAGTACTCTTGCTCCAGAGCTAAGCCGTGTCTCACATGTGGACTAACAATGTCTTTGGACGGTGCCCAGCAGGGATTCTGGTGAAGGTCAAGACCACAATTTCCCCATACTGACTGTAAGGCAGAATTAGATGCACACTCCAAAGACTTACAGGTGTCAATAGCAACAAGGGTATCATCAAAGTCATCTTCATCCTCTTCAGCAGGAGGCTGAGGAGAGCGGCCCCTGTATTAGAAACAGGGGTTAAGTCATACAAGAACAATGGATGAGCACAAAGGAAAGAAAATGAATGTTCTGCTGTAATCTATGAGTGGCCTCCAGACTGCTTCCTGAATCTCCATTTCCTTCCACAGAGGTGGGCAAAAGAACTCTGAAACCCTACATCCTTGCAAGGAGAGCAATGACCGTCAACTCCTACGGTGGAGACAGGGATTGAAGAAGGCATGCTCTGCTGAAGGGGGGCATCAGAATCATTTAGGGAATTTTTTCACTCTTTTTTTACACCCAAAGATTCTGATCCATACCCTCTGCATGTTGACAACCACTTCCACACTGATCTCTGTTACTGTTTGGAGGCTGTGGTATCCCAAAAGGGTGCTGGCCAGGAAGGGGAATGTGCAAGAGCCTATATAAATCCCAATAATTACTATCTATCCATGTACCAGGCTTCTTAAAATCCTACATCTGTAAGAATTTGAGATGACCCATTTTTTTCAGTGTCCTAAATTATAAACGATATTCATTTTCCTACCAAAACGCTAAAAAAGGGACTTAACACTGTTGGTTTCTGCTGTACAGGAACGAGGAAGAAGGGTAGAAAGGTAGAATCTAACACTCAGGGTCCTGCCTGGACAGTCTGGGTGGTCGCAGTGCACTGCATGCACAGATGGGGAGCCCATGCCCATTTGGCTGCTGACTCTCCCAGCAGCAGGCTTCCCTCTGGTGGAGGGCCCCTCTGGCCTCGCCAGGCCAGGGCTAACATGGATGAGCTGTGCTCATCACATGTTAAGTCCATTCTAGGAAACTTTCCCTGCCAGCCCAGGATCAGAGCGAGTGTTCTTCCTTTGCTCTCCATCAGTAAGTAGCTTCCAGGCTTCTGCTCTGTGGGAGGCAGTGGAAGAACCCCATATGAGGTGGGATCCATGTCCTAACTTAAATCATAGCCTGTGAGATCCAGGCCCTGTCTCAGACAGTAACAAGCTAGTTAGAAGGTGGACTCCGCCAGATAGGAAATAGAATGTCAGATGACTAGTCCAGATGAGTACAGTGGCCATTCCTAGTTTTCATAATTGCAAAAGGCTTCAGACAGGAACTGAAGGAAGGAAGGAGGGAAGGGAAGGACTTGGTCTGGAGGGAAAGGAGGGAAGGGCTTGTTAGGGAAGGGAAATGACCAAAGCAGAGGCTGCTCCCTCTTCTGAACTCCTGAAACTCACCTGCATCCTGACTACTCACCTCAGAGGTTGTGGCTTACTAGTGTATGTGTCTGAGTCCCCACACTGGAACAACAGAAGGCAAAACCCACTGTCCATCTGTATGTTGCTAGTGTCCAGCCCAAGAGTGGGCACTTCGTGACAGCACTGTGAGAACTGACTGAATGAGTGGATGAATGGGAAGAGGATGTGTATTTGGGAGTAGTGTTAGGAAACAGATATTTCTTTCATTACGGGTATCAAGCAGCTGACTGCAGGGGCAGTAAGGCAAAGGACAGAACAGGCAGGCTGGCATCTCACGCGTGAAAGTCTAAGATATTTAGAAGTTACCCTGCAGGTAAGAAGGGAGGAACTGGGGGAAGGACCAAAAGTTTAGGAAAGCTGAATCTGGTAGCAAGTACGGGAAGGGACAGGAAGAGTGTGAAAGCAGAGGGAATCTTTACTCAGCCCCTCTAGGTTAGTGCAAATGTCCCCAGCAAGCACGAGGCTATGGATATAGAAACCTACCAGAGCAAGGGTGACTGCTGCCTCATACACCCACCTCCTATCCTCTCGGTGCTCAAAGTACCCCCGTCCCCGGTTTTCTTCATAAGGCCTCTTTCGACTCTGGAATTGCTGCCTGTCTGGCTTGAGTTGAGAAGCTTCAGGCGGGAGGAAGCTGGTGGGTGCTCCTTGCTTCATCTCTGTCTTCATTTCTATTGTCAAGACAAATTCAGATGGTCAAGACACTCGCAAGCTCCCCAGCTATCACTTTTCTGGTCCCTTTTCCCTTGAGAGATGTGAGCAGGATCCTCACTACAGTGATGAAGGGCTGGGCACAGGCAGCTTGCTGAGTTCAACAGAAGCCTGCTGAGCCAGCCAAGAAGGCCATACTGGAGAACAGGGTTAGGATCTGAGATACCATGACCCTAAATTCTCCAATTTCTCTTCCCAAAGAACCTCTCTGCCTTAGTTCTTACAAAGCTTCTTCAGTCTGGCAAGGGAGGGGGAGAGGATGAATTCAACAGGGTACTGTGGTCCTGCAGCTAACTCTACGGGCTTTAGTTACCCTACCAAAAGAGGCCAGAATCACTCCGGTTAAGCCATCCCATAGGTGCAATAACCTCTTTAAGTCATACCATTAACAGAAAGTCAGGATGGGATACCGTGCTGTGGACCACGGGTAAGTCCTAGTCTCAGGCAGACTCCAGGAATCAGTGCCTAACCAAGAGCAAACCACAGATGTAGGCTACCTTCATTTCTCCCACAGCATTAATCCCTGATGCTGAAGCTCATTCACATCTACTCATTTCTGCATTCAACCCCAGACCATTTTGGATCACTCCCCAGCTTCGGCATGTGGACCACATCTCTCAGAAAAGTCTCCTGGTTCTCTAGGGCTGGGATGGTGCTCAGCCATCCTGAAGAGAGCTTCCCTGGTTCCCAGCAATAGGTTGGGCTCACACAGGGCTCCTGATGAATGTCTGTGGATAACGGCACAGAAAATATTCTCCTGTGGCTGAATGATCCTACAAGTCTCACAGAGCCTGACACAAATCTGCGGTTTAACCTACATTCAGTAAAGTTCTGAGCCACCCACAAGAAATGTCTGGGGATTTAACTTTGTGGATGAACCAGAATGGCGTTAGACAAAATCAACCAGATACACTAAGAAAAGGCACTGGGAGGCCACAACACAGTAAAAGCAGCACAAAACTGGGGGTCAGTCCGGGCTCCATCAGTTCTCAATAGTGGGACCCTGCTTTCCAAATAGTAAGGCACAAATGATAAGGAATGCTGCTTATTAACCAAGAGGACTAGCCTGGGAGCAAGTATGCTAGGTTGTAGCCCCAGCTCTGCCATCGGACAAGCCAACTCCTCAATCTATAAAATGGGGAGGAGAGGCCAGGCGCAGTGGCTTACACCTGTAATCCCAGCACTCTGGGAGGCCGAGGCAGGCAGATCATGAGGTCAGGAGATTGAGACCATCCTGGCCAACATGGTGAAACCCCACATCTACTAAAAACACACAAAAAATTAGCTGGGTGTGGTGGCACGCCCGTAGTCCCAACTACTTAGGAGGCTGAGGCAGGAGAATCACTTGAACCTGGGAGGCAGAGGTTGCAGTGAGCCAAGATCACACCATTGTACTCCAGCCTGGGCAACAGAGCGAGACTCCATCTCAAAAAAAAAAAAAAAAAAAAGGGAAGGGAGAGTTGGCATCATGGGGAACTTTGTTCTGTAAAGACATATACTTAACATGATTGGGAAATCCTAAGTTTAAACGATACAACACAAGGTTTTTTGTCTATTTTTTTATTAAAAAAAATATTTTCAGCAACACCAGCCCAAGAAGACACAAGGTTTTTAAATTTAATTAAAAAAAAAATTTTTTTGGAGACAGAGGCTTACTGTTGCCCAGGCTGGAATGCAGTGCTGCCATCATGGCTCATGGAGCCTCAACTTCCTAGCTCAAGTGATCCTCCCACCTCAGGGTCCAGAGTAGGTGGGACTTGGCCGGGTTCAGTGGCTCACGCCTGTAACCCCAGAACTTTGGGAGGCTGAGGCGGGCGGATCACCTGAGGTCAAGAGTTTGAGACCAGCCTGGCCAACATGGTAAAACCCCGTCACTACTGAAAATACAAAAATTAGCCAGGTGTGGTGGCAGGCGCCTGAAATCTCAGCTACTTGGGAGGCTGAGGCAGGAGAATCGCTTGAACCCGAGAGGCGGAGGTTGCAGTGAGCTGAGATCGCGCCATCGCCCTCCAGCCTGGGGAACAAGAGCGAGACTTCGTCTCAAAAAAAAAAAAAGAGTAGCTGGGGCTATAGGATTGTGCAACCATGCTCAGGTAATATTTTTATTTTTTATAGAGACAGGGTTATGTTGCCCAGGCTGGTCTTGAACTCCTGGACTCAAGCAATCCTCCCACCTCAGCCTCCCAAAGTGTTGGGATTACAGGCATGTAACAGCCATCGCACTCGGCCTGTTTTTATTTTTAAGGCAAGGTCTTCCTGTCGCCCAGGCTGCAGTGCCGTGCACGATCATAGCTTACTGCAGCCTTGAACTCCTGGGCTCAAGTGATCCTCCTGACTCAGTCTTCTGAGTAGCTGGGACTACAAGCATGTCACCATGCTCAGGCAATTTTTAATTTTTTCTAAAGACAACAGGGGTCTCACTATGTTGCCAGGCTAGTCTTGGATTCCTAGGCTCAAGTGATCCTCCTGACTTGGCCTCCTAAAGCGCTAGGATTACAAGCATGAGCCACTGTGTTCTAACCTACTTTTAATTTTAGGTTTTTTTTTTTTTTTTTTTTTTTCGTGACAGGGTCTTGCACTGTCACCCAGGCTGGAGTGTAGTAGTGTAATCATAGCTCACAGCAGCCTCAAACTCCTGGGCTCAAGTGATCCTCCTACCTTTGTCTCCTGAGTAGCTTTAACTATAGGTGTGTGCATGTAGTCAGTCATAGCCATGCCTGGCTAATTTTTAAATTTTTTGTAGAGAAGGGGTCTCACTATGTTGCCCAGTCTGGTCTGGAACTCCTGGTCTCAAATGATCCTACTACCTTGGCCTCCCAAAGTGTTGGAATTATAGGTATGAGCCAGCGCACCTGGCCTGAGGCCTGACACACACTTTCTTTTTTTTTTTTTAAATTCTGGACTTCTCAGAGCCTTTAATGTTCTAACAAGCACAGTGAATTTCCAAGAGACGATATAGCACATGCTACAGTTTCCAGACACATTTGGCTAAGGAACCCTTTTCTGAGAATCCCCTAATAATATCCCCTGAAACAATAATCTTCAGAACATGAGAAATACCAGATTAGACTTAGAAGGCTCTTTCTGGCTCCCCCATTCTAAGATTCTAAATAAGATTCAAGTATTAGTCTAGGGGTCTCAACTCTCCAGGGTGCTTATACTAACATCTTTTTTTTTTTGAGATGCAGTTTCACTCTTGTTGCCCAGACTGAGTGAAGTGCAATGACGCGATCTCGGCTCACTGCAACCTCCGCCTCCTGGGTTCAAGTGATTCTCCTGCCTCAGCCTCCCAAGTAGCTGGGATTACAGGTGCCTGCCACCATGCCTGGCTAATTTTTGTATTTTTAGTAGAGACGGGTTTCACCATATTGGCCAGGCTGGTCTCGAACTCCAGACCTCAGGTGATCCACCTGCCTCGGCCTCCCAAAGTGCTGGGATTACAGGAGGGAGCCACCACACCCGGCTGATACTAACATCACTTTTTTACAGATACCATGGAACCTCCCCTCTCCCAACACTTGGAAATAGGACTGAGATCTTTCCTTTAAACAATTCTTGCCAGAGTGACAATGTTTAGATGAACTGCCCAAGAAAAAAGATGCACAGTTTCTCTGGGAAGACCCGCTCTAAGCAGGGGGTAAAGGCTCCATGTAGATTGTTTCCATCCAAAGAGATGAACCATGTGTATTTTCCTACCTGGACGATAGGCCTGCTGCTGCTCCATTTCCAGTGGTCTCCTCTCGTAGCCTGACTCGTTTTCTTGTTTGATGACTTGGGTATCGTAGAATTGGTTCTGCCTGGTAATATTGTCCATGGCATCTTAAAACAAAATTAAAAATGGCCAATTAGAGGGGCGGTTCATGAAGAACCCTGGACCAAAGCATCCAGAAGGCATCTGCAGGTCCAGGAGCTCAACTAAGAGTGGTAAGAATAATAATATTAACTATTCATGGCATGCATACTATACTCCAGAGCCTGGGATACAGCTGAAGACAAGCTTGCCCCACTGAAGCCTTCAGTTTAGTGAGACAGACAAATCTTAAAGACACACAAAAATTTAATATGATTGTGTTGAAGGCTACAAAGTAGTACCAGGAATGAAGAAAGGGACCTGGAAAATAACAGATAAGCCTTGATTCAAAGGATACACAGGTAATGACTCAGTGATGAGAATGGAGAATGTTACTGGGGTTGGGATAACACGTGTGAAAGCTCAGAGGTGGAACTAAAACCAGAAATTCCCTCAAGAACCTTGCAGCCAAACCCAGAGAGAACTTTAGAAAGCTAGGATGGGCAGCATACAGGCTCTCCTCCCCAGGGGCTAGCTCTCAGTTAGGGCCCCAAGGGCCCTACCAGTGGCTATGCCAGGAGCCGTGAGCCAGAACCAAAGGGAAGGAGAGACTATTCTGCCACTTGCTAACTGATCGGATTCCTTCTCAGAGGATAAATACATCTGGGCACAAACCAGGTGCAGCCCAAAGGGAGGAAAGTCACAGGTCATGTGGTTTGCTACCGGTCTGTTTACCAAGGTTGAAGGAGGGCTTAAGGGAGGCATGAAGGGGGCTCAAAGGACTTTGTTGTAGCAAGTAAGGGAGAGAGGAAGAAATAGCATTATCTCCTTAATTGGAATATGGGGCCCTTTCAAACTATTCTGCTGCTTCCAGGCTCCAAGCACAATGCTCCTCTTCCCACAAAGCCTCTTTTCCCCAGCATCTCTCTCCTGTGTTCACAGAGGCAGCCCCTCCTGGAGAAGCTATAATTCTAGGGTCCTTCTCCATTCTCTAAAACATCCCTCTTCTCATAAAAGGCAGGCCCAGTGATAAGCCCTTCACATGTGATCTCATTCATAACACCCCTCAGGGGTTGGAGGGGCTGTGAACACACTATTTGTTGATTAACCCCATTTTACACATTAAGGAAACCAGGCCCACAGAGGTGAAGTGACTTGCCAATATCTTTAAGCCAGATTTGAAACGAAGTCTGTCTTAGTCTAGAGTCTACGCTCCAAAGCACCTAATTCGCTTTCCTCTCAGAGATGACTCTCTGCCCAGACCACCAGGTCACTACTAACCCACTACCCTTTCTTGCTAGGCATTCCTGCCACGATCCCTCCTGCTCTAGACACACACACAGGCCCACTCCTTTCTTCACAAGTCTCTGCAATGGGAAGTCCTCTTTCCAGCACCTGGGTCCTCGATAATCTCTAGGCCACTGCCTACCCCAAATCCACACTCCTCCCTCCGGGAAATTCTCTTATGAACAAGTATCCAATTCCAACCCCAAATCCTGTCTCTTCTGTTACCTCATTTCTCTCCTTATCCCCTTAGCCCCAAGTCCCAGGGTGCCCTCTTTTCAGAAAAACTCCACAAACTCTTACGCCAGAATCCCTTCTACTTACTCCTTAACCTTTCCAGTCCCCCCATTTCCCAGTCCTACTAGAAAGCTGCCCTGAGGCCTGGTGCAGTGATTCACGCCTGTAATCCCAGCACTTCAGGAGGCCGAGGTGAGATCACCTGAACCCAGGAGTTCAAGACCACCCTGGGCAACATAGCGAGACCCCCCATCTGTATTTAAAAAAAAGAGAAAGAAAGCTGCTTTTTTCTTTTTTGAGACGGAGTTTCACTTTTGTTGCCCAGGCTGGAGTGCAATGGCGTAATCTCGGCTGACTGCAACCTCCCCCTCCCAAGTTCAAGCGATTCTCCTGCCTCAGCCTCCCGAGTAGCTGGGACTACAGGCGCACACCACCAGATCCGGTTAATATTTGTATTTTTAGTAGAGACAGGGTTTCACTATGCTGGCCAGACTGGTCTTGAACTCCTGACCTCGTGATCCGCCCGCCTCGGCCTCCCAAAGTGCTGGAATAACAGGCGTGAGCCACTGCACTCGGCCCGAAAGCTGCTTTTTTTCTAACTGAAGATTCACGCCGTCCCATATCAGGTTTTCCTCTCCTCAGACAACCGCAGGTCTACCCGAACCCATTCCCAGAGTCACAGCTCCTGGCTGATGAAGAGTTCCGTGCTGCTCCCCGAGGGCCCCCACTCCCTGGGTACACAAATAACTGCTTCTGGGAACCGTCGAGATTTCTCCTGGAGACGCTCAGGTCCAGAAACATTCCCCACACTCCACTCTGAGGCCTCCAGTGAAGTCAACAGGTTTCTTTCTCTTTGCTCCCTACGGCCTCCCCCCTCCCCATATTCGCTAAGCCAGATACGTACTCCTGTGCTGGACACAGGATCCTCTGTCTCCCGCCACATATTTCATCCACTTGGAATGTTACCAACTCATCTGCCCCCATCCCACCCCCAGCTACCCTCTGTTCTCCAAAAACCCCACAGTTAGCTCCAGACCAGTCAGCAGCAGCCTCAAGAGTTATTTGCCCTCAGTTTTCTTAGCTCTAGACCCCCAGATCCTTTGTCCAGGAAAGCATCCTCTCCCCCGCCAGCCTCTGGACACCAGGGCTCCCTATACCTCTTCTAGAAGCCAACCAGAAAGTCCCCAGATCTCCCAGCACCTAATGTCCAGGCTGTGCCTGCTTCAAGGGTGGCCTTCCAGCCCCGGAAGAGAGATGGGGGTGCCCCCTAGTTCAATCTCCCGCAGCCCCTAAATGCTCACTAGCCAAACTCCAAAGCACTGAGTCCATTAGGACCCTCCCCAGCCACAGACACCAGCGCCTCCACCTCTCCCACCCACCCCCGTACCCAAATAGGAGAACGCCCAGGATCGCATCCAGCGGCATATTCCAGGATCCTCCTTCCTCAGAACTCTCGCAGCCCCGCACACCTGGACATTCCTTCCCCACCCTGGAAACACGGCTCCCCACCCCCCAGCCCACACGCTGGGCTAGCACGACCGCCAAGCCCACGGAGCTCCGTACCCTAGGATCCCCATTTTCGAGACCCTCCCCAACCCAAACGGAAAACCTCTTGTTCTTCCGACTCTCTTCGGCTCCAGAAAGCAGTTTCCGGTCTCCGATCCCTACGGTACGGAATCCTCCCCGCCACCCCCGTCCCTCACCTCCGAAACCCAGAGGCCCCTCCCCCAGTGTCCCCCCTGCACTGAGTGTCAGGATCCACCCTCCGGTCGTGCTGGGGCCCTGGTCCCCAGATCCTTTTCGGCGGCGGGTAGCGGGATCCCCCGATCCTCAGGTCGTCTCCCCGACCTCAGGCGCTGGACTCCCGCGTCCCACAGCCCTTTCCTCGGCCCAGGCTCCGGGCTCCCCGGCCCCCGCCCCGCGCACTCTCACAATGTCCGTCCGGCCCCGAGTAGCCGCCGGGCTCCGCGTGCGGCTGCAGCCCGGGCGGCGGTGGCTGCGCGGTCCCCTCCAGCTCGGAGCCCCCCTCGGTCTCGACCTCCTCGTTGATGTGCCCGGGTCGCCCCGGTTCGTCGTCGGCGTCGAGCTCCCGCTCGTCGTCAGGCTCCTCGGCCTCCAACGCCGCCTGCAGCCGCTCAGCAAGCTCGGCCTTGAGGCCTCGAGTGTCCAGGCCGCGGCGCTGCAGCTCCTCGCGAAGTTCGTTCACCTTCAGACGGCGCACATCCATGGCCCGGGCCCCCGGGGTGGCCCCCGAGCCCGGCCCGGCCTCCCAGGGCTCTGTCCCCCTTAAACCTTTCCTGTCAGGAGGCGAAGGGGGAAAGGGGGGGGGCCCACTCCAATGGCGGCAGCGGCTCAAAATGGCCGCCGCCACCGCCTCCCCCCTCACTCGTGCCTCGTCCGATGTTACATGAGTGCCAATTGGTCAGTGCGTGGGGCAACGGGCGCGGGCCCGGAAACCTAGCCAATCAGAGCGCCGTTTTCAAAACAACGGCCACGAGAAGGCCTAGGAGCTACTGGGGAGGAAGCGTTGGCCTACGTCGAAGCCGAGGCCGGAGCGGAGGGCGGGAAAAGGCAGGAGGCGGAGCGCTTGCTGATTGGGTAACTCTCGCGCGCCGGCTGCCGTAAGGTCCAATGAAAATAAGGGAGTAACAATTTGGTCCAATCAACGGTAAGATCTCAGAATGAGTGTCCCACGGCCTTTCCTGCGCAGTCCTTTCATCAAACTAAGTGTCTCTGTAACACACATTCCGATTGGTGTACATCTCCCGCCCCTTGAGGAGTCCGAGCGGGTAAAACCACTAGAACCAATCAAATGGAGGGTCGGCAGAAACCCCTCCTTCCTGTTGCCTTTAAGAAACCGGAAAGAGATGAATTCACCAGGAGCCCGCCCCTTGCCGTTAGGGCGGTTTCAAAACAATCTGCCCACCAATCGCAGTTATTGTCTTAGCTCACTAAAGCTGGTAGCGATGGCTCATTTTAGGAAAAGTTCACCAGATTGGCCGTGCTTCAGAGGACTGCCTCACAAATTTCGCTGTAGGAGGAGGTATACGAAATAGAGATTAAGTGGATACACAGTTCGTAATCTGGAAGGAACCCAGTTGCCTTTAGGAAAAGCAAAATTTTGAGTTGAGAGAGTCCCGAAGGTTTGGCTATAGAAACTAGACTAACAACGGGAGGCAAGTTGTAAAGGACACGGCCTCCCCTTCCCTTGGGTAGTCCGCGGCCGCCTTGCTCTATGGTCGGGTACCTGACGTGGAACGGGCGCTCTGCACGCGACCATAGAGCCTTCCCCTCCCGAAAGACATCCAGAAGTTCACCGACCGCTCTCCCGAATCCTCTAATCGGCTGTTCCCGTAAATCGGGCTGTCTGGCGTCTGTACCGACAAGCTCAACCCCACGGATCCGTCATTAACCTTCGCGCTCAGGAATACAAAAGCCACAGAGCTTCCCAGTGTCTAACGCTGCACCACCTGTCGCCTCTAACTCAAAACAAAACTCGAGTAAGACGCAATCGGGATACATGATGCAGACTCCCACTGCCTCCTGAGCCACACGTTAAGCCCGCAAAAGCCACACACTATCTCTACTCAGACAAAGGCACACCCCGCAGTCGTAAACAAACAGGCGTGCGTCAGATCAGACGCATCCAGTTCTTTTTTTTGTTGTTCTTTTTTTTTTTTTTTTTTTTTTGAGACGGAGTCTCGCTCTTGTTACCCTGGCTGGAGTGCAGGGCCTCTATCTCAGCTCACCGCAACCTCCGCCTCCCGTGTTCAAGCGATTCTCCTGCCTCAGCCTTCCGAGTAGCTGGGATTACAGGTCCCCGCCACCATGCCCGACTAATTTTTGTATTTTTAGTAGAGACGGGGTTTCACCATGTTGGCCAGGCTGGTCTCGAACTCCTGACCTCAAGTGATCCGCCCGCCTCGGCCTCCCAAAGTGCTGGGATTACAGGCGTGAGCCACCGCGCCCGGCCCCAATTCCGATCTGCTTTGGGTAAGGCACCCCGCTGCAGTGTAGATGTGCCCACTACGGTCCGCAGAGGCAGGCGGCATCGAATAATAAAGATAACACAGGATAGTTGCACTACAAGCGAACACTACAGCAACCCAAACACACAGCACCCACTCAGCAGCGGGACAGACACTCACGTGGGCCCAGAGGTTCCAGTCCAGACACCCCGCCCCTCGCCCACGTCCGACTTCCTCTCTCTCTCTCTCCTCCCAGCTTCCCACAATGATTTGTTCTAAAAAAGTTTGTGGCCCGGATTGAACTGTCCCCGGTTCTCAGGAGCCGCCACTGGAGGGCGTCCGGGCGCTGCCAAGGGTTTCTCCATTTGCTGCCGGCCACACCCGCGAACGCCCGCTCGCGAGTGCGTGCCAGACACGGTGGGCTGGTCTTCGCTGGAGGCCCTTTGTGGGTCCGTGATGATCGGAGGTGTTCTGTGCCTGTGTTTCTATGTCAGTCTGAACGTTCGGGGTTGTGAGTACCTGTTGTACTCTACATGTCTCTTGAGTATTTGTGTCACTTGACTCTAGGTCTGTGTCTCTTCCTATTCGTGGCGGGTATCTGCCTGAGCATGTTTGTAAATATGCTTGTGTCTGTGTAATTCTGTGTGTCTGTGTTACTCTATGCGTCTGAGTTTCAGTCTCTGTATTTGTGACCAGGTCCTCCTGGGTGTGTCCATTAATTCATGTGTCTGTTAGTTTGCGGCGGAACAGGTGTGTGTGTGTGTGTGTGTGTCTGTGATCCTGGATCTGTATGCCAGTTCCTCACTGGGGGTTTCTGAGAACCTGCATCTCTTTGCTTGTATGTCTTTTTGTCTATCTGTGTGTTCATTTCTACCCTCTCTAGTGAGGACAGAATTCCAAGACCCTACCAAGCCCTTCTTTTTTCTGATGGGGGAACTGAATTGCCAGGGAATGGGGCCACATCACAGCTAAAAGGAGACAAGAGGAGACAGAAGCTCGTTGATATACAAAGTTTTATGTGACCTGAGCCCCTCTGGAGGCACCAGAGTCCACACTCTGTACTCAGAAGGTGAGGGATTGGCTCACGGGGGCAACATGGCCCGAAAGGTGGGAGATCGTCCATCCCCTGCGGGAAAGGAGGCATCCCTAATGCATTGCACAGGCTTGAAGGGGGCACACCCCCACAGTTGGGGAGGAGGAAGCAATGATAGCTAAGAAGGAGAGGGGCACCCCAAAGAATACTACAGTATAGGGTTAGAACCTTGAAATTGCACCTAATAGTCTAGACCTGTGGACCTTTAGAATCTTAGAAACTTAGAACATTTGAGTCTTAGAACTACAGTGCCTAGAACTATAAGATTTTAGAAATGTGGATTCTTGGACTCTTAACCATGGTCCTAGAGAGGCAGAATGCAGCAAAGAACCTAAAGGTGTCCAACATTAGAAATTATTAGAACTTTGGTGTCTAGTTAGTCACAACTGAGTGTGAGAGTCTTATAACTTAGATGCTTAGGATCCGGAATCTTGGACCAATGGAATCTAGAGTGCCTTGAAACAGAACAGACCGTTAGAATCTTATTTAATCATCTAGAATCTTGGAGCATCTGATCTAGAATCTTAGACACAGAGAATCTAAGATCTTAGAGTAAGTCTTAGAATATCACATCTTAGAACACCGGACCTTAGAAACTCCATCTTTAGACTCTTGGAACTTTTGAATTGCAGATTCTAGAGCTTTCGACCCTTAGGATCTAGGATCTTATACAAGAGAATCTATTATCATAAAGCCTCAGAAACTATAATTGATCATCATTAGAATCTTAGAACTTGAGAAGATAACATTTTGAAGCCTTATGATCTAGAGCCTTACAGCCAGAGAATCTAGACTCTCAGAGCCTTAGAACATCACATTTTAGAATCCTAGGCCTTAGAACCTCCATGTCTAGAACTATAGAATCTTTAGAATCTATAATCTTACATTTTAAGGACTCTGAACTCTAGAAGAATAAACATCTAGACTCATAGAGCCTTAGCTCCTAAAATCAGAATCTTAGAACTTTAGAACCTAAAACCTTGAGGCTTTATCAAAAATGTTAGAACCAGAAAATCTAAAACCACATAATGTCAGAGCTTTAGAACAGTAGGTCTTAAGGTTGAGTGCAGTGGCTCATGCCTGTAATCTCAGCACTTTGGGAGGCTGAGGTGGGCAGATCACTTGAGGTCAGGAGTTTTAGACCAGCCTGGCCAACATGGTGAAACCCTGTCTCTACTAAAAATATAAAAATTAGCCGGGTGTGGTGGCACACACCTGTAATCCCAGCTACTTGGGAGGCCAAGGCAGGAAAATCACTTGAACTCGGTAGGTGAAGGTTGCAGTGAGGCGAGATTGCACCACTGCACTCCAGCCTGGGTGACACAGTGAGACTCTATCGCAAAAAAAAAAAAAAAAAAAAAAAAAAAAAAAGTAGGCCTTAGAACCTTAGCACTTTAATAGAATTAGAGACTTTGGAATTTCAGGTCCTTAGAACCAAAGACTCACAGCATCTTTGAAACCTAGAACCTTTGAATCTAGACTCTTTAAACCTTGGACTCTAGAGTCTTGGAATGTTAACACCTGGGAGGGCTTCAGATATTGCAATCCAACCCCTTCCTTTTACAGATGGTGATGCTACTGCTTTCAAGGTGATGCTACTGCACAGAGAAGGGGAGGGACCTGTCTGGGATGGAGGTGGGATAGGTAGGAAGACAGGGCTGCAAGTGGGGATAAGGCGTGGGGTGGGAAAGTGGGAAGGTGGAGTTTTCCCCAGTGGCAGTGCTTAGCTTGGATCCTGAGAGGGAGTACCAGGTGGAGGGTTGTCTCAGGCACCATCCTCCTGCCCTGGGGCTGCTGGGGAGCCCCTATCAGCAGGCTGAGCGGGGCTAGGGGTTGTGGAAGGGCAGAGGACATAGCGTCCAGCAGGATGGACCTCAGCCGCAGTGAGGCAGCTACAGGAATCCTTAGGGTCTGGCTGGGTTGGGGGGTCAGCTCCTCCTGCAGCTCCAGGGGGTTCAGGATAACCTCCACCCTCATCCATGTTGACATAGAGGATTTCGTCAGGCTCCTGGGCAGGAGGCAAGGCCTTCAGTGTGTTCTCCAAATCTTCCCGCAGCTCTGTAAAACTTGGCCGGTCCTGGGGATTTAGCTCCCAGCACCGCGACATCAAGGCATACCTAGGGCAGCAAAATGAGGGGTGGGAGATTGAGCAGGGACTCAGAAGGGGTGCATTCTGGAAGCCTGGGGACATTTTAGGACACTCAGGGGACTGGGGGCATTTTAGAGGGTTATAGGGAGCCTCAGCAGTTTGAGGCCATCTATGGGGATTTGGGAATTCCCAAGAATTTCTGAGTTGGGTCCTGGGAGACTCAGGAGCTGGGAAGGGTCTCGGGAAACCTGTCTGTATATGGAGTAGTATTCTGATGAGGGTTTGCTAGAACAGACCTTCCAGCTCCCCAGAACAGACTTGCATCAAAGCCTGGCTATGCCACTTACAAGCTGTGCTGGTTTAAAATAGGTCCATAAATTCTTTGACCCTCCTCCCTGCAAAAGACGGAGAATAAATCCTCTCCTCTTGAGCATGGGCAGGACTTAGTGACTTGCTTCTGATTTGGCAGAAGTGATGGTGTGTGTGACTTCTGAGACTAGGTCATAAAAGGCATGTGGCTTCCTCGCACTTTCTCCTGGGTTGCCATGTTGTGAGTAAGCTCAAGCAGTGCCACAAAGGGGTCCACATGGCAACGAACTGAAGCCTCCTGCTACAGCCATGTGAGTAAGCCACCTTGAAAGCAATCCTCCAGTCCCAACCTTCAGATGACTGCAGCCCCCAGTGATATCTTTGTAACTTCATTAGAGATCCTGAACCAAAATCACCCTGCTAAGCTGTTCCCAGTATCCAACTTTCAGAAATTGTGTGAGATAATAAACGTTTGTTGTTTTAAACTACTTGATTTGGGGATATAGATAACAAACACACCAGCTGTGCAATCTTTGGCAAATAAATCACCCTCCCAGACTGGGCGTGGAGGCTCATGCCTATAATCCCAGCACTTTGGGAGGCTGGGACGGGTGGATCATGAGGTCACGATATCAAGACCATCCTGGCTAAGGTGGTGAAACCCCATCTCTACTAAAAATACAAAAAAAATTAGCTGGGCATGGTGGCACACGCCTGTAGTCCCAGCTACTTGGGAGGCTGAGGCAAGAGAATCGCTAGAACCTGGGAGGTTGCAGTGAGCCGAGATGGAGCCATTGTGCTCCAGCCTGGGCGACAGAGCGAGACTCAAGTCAATAAATAAAAATAAATTACCCTCCCTGTAGGACTGGGTTTTCTTATCTGCAGAATGGGAATCATAATGATACCTATCTACATCACATGGCTGTGGTAAGGACCAAATGATTTGACACATGCCAGGCACCTAAAACAGTGCCTTCTAGTCAGTTATATGAAAATGTTAGCTGTTATTTTTACTCGTCTCAGCTCTTGGAGTACCCAAGGTGGACTGAGGAGTCTGACGCCCCAGGCTGTCTCCTCCTGACCCAAAGTCATCCTCTCTTTACCCTCAAAGTGCTAGCTAAATGTCACGGCCTTCTCCGCATACTCCAATATTGCAAAGTTTGGTAAGCATTCCCTGAAGGATCCTGCAAATATCTCAGAGGAGACCTGAGTCTGGAGAAGGCCAATAAAACAAACTGAAGGGTTTTGCAGAGAGTCTCAGGTGTTGAGGAGCATGTCGGGGAAGCATGGTGTGCTCAGGAGTCTGGAATGAGAAGTCTCTGGGAGTGCATGTCCCAAAGGCAGGGCCGCCAGGTAAGACTGTGCTGTTATTCACTACCCAAGGATACCTGGCTTGGGGGTGGGGAGCCAGGGGGCTGATTCAGCCCACACAGACAAAGGAGGAAAGGGTGCCTTTAGCTGATTTGCACCCCACTGGTTAGTGATGGCCCTACTCAGAGCATTGGTGAGGGGCAAGTGGGTCACTCAGCATTCTCAGGGATTCTGTCTGGGTTATAGAGAGTCCTGGACCTGTGAGGGCCATCTGGGGGTAGTCAGGGGTTTGGAATGAATTCTGGGTTGGGGGAGACCTAAGGGTCCTCACAGTCCATCCAGACAGTCCGCAGGCTGCTTCAGGCGATTTCCCTGGCGCAGATAGTCATAAATCTCGCTGTTCTCCACGCCCGGATATGGGGTTTGGCCTCTTGTGGCAATCTCCCACATTGTCACCCCGAAGGACCACTGTGAGGGGCAGAGGGAATTAGACAGTCTCTCCTGCACAGAATCACCCGCACCAATACCCAGGTTCATGGGTACACCCACACTTATGTACACATGTTCACAACCATCCTCTGGGAGCATCACAAGTATTCATAGAAACATAATACTTTAGCCGGGTGCGGTGGCTGATGCCTGTAATCCCAGCACTTTGGGAGGCTGAGGTGGGCGGACTGCCTGAGGTCAGGAGTTTGAGACCAGCCTGGCCAATATAGTGAAACCCCGTCTCTACTAAAAATACAAAAATTAGCTAGGCATGGTGGTGGGCGCCTGTAATCCCAGCTACTCGGGAGACTGAGGCAGGAGAATTGCTTGAACCCGGGAGGCAGAGTCTGCAGTGAGCTGAGATCATGCCATTGCACTGCAGCCTGGGTGACAGTGCGAGACTCCATCTCAAAAAAAGAAAAATATATATATATAAAAAATACTTGACACGGGTATACACATGAATAAGTAACTTTTGTGGATGCATACACATGCTCACCATCACACACATATACACACTTCATGGACACATGAGCTCATGTGCCACTCTGCACACCCTGGCTGTCCACATTCTATGAGTGTGCGCACATGCACGCATAATCACTGCAGCTTCTTCTAACCTAAACTGTCTACATTGCTACCATGCACACGTGGGCCTGTATTTATCCTGGGCATGTACACACCACTATTCAGAGATGCCCACCATACCCCAAGACATGCCCAGCCCATGTGGACAAGCCCCTGCAAAGGGAAGCCCACATGTCCCTGTGACCCTTGCATCCACAGCCACCCAGGCATAGTGTGTGATGGTCAGGCCATGCCCTCCCATGGTTCCCCACTCTTGGCGGGAGTGCACCTACCACATCGCTCTTGCTGGTGTAGACACGGTCAGCTAGACTCTCAATGGCAATCCACTTGACTGGCATCTTGGCGATACGTCCCTGGCGGTAGTAGTCCCCATTGTAGATCTTCTTGGAGAGCCCGAAGTCCGCCACACACACGGACATGTTCTCATTCAGCCTGTTTGGATTGGGGAAAGGAACAGGGTCAGGGCATCAGTCACCTCCACCAGGAAGCCTGCCCTGGCTCTCAGACACATCTGCACCTCCTCCCCTCACTGTCCTGGCTGCGGGTGGGGATCTGTCTCCTAAACCTTCATCCCAGTCCAGAAGGGAACTGCTTTACTTCTTGTTCACTCTGTCAAGTGAGGATGGGACAAAGGGCTTCCTCAGGACTTCCCAATTTTGGCTCTTTGCTAGATTCTAAGGTCCTTCCTTGGGTTTGATTCCTTGATGAAATTTTTTTTTCTTGAAGTATACTGTACATATGGAAATGTGCACAAGTCATAAGTAAGCAGCTCACTGAATTTTCACACACACACACACACACACCCATGTAACCAGCACCCAGATTAAGAAACAGAACATGGCTGGGCATGGTGGCTGGCGCCTGTAATCCCAGCACTCTGGGAGGCCAAGGCAGGTGGATCACTTGAGGTCAGGAGTTTGAGACCAGCCTGGCCAATGTGGTGAAACTCTGTCTCTACTAAAAGTACAAAAATTAGCCAGGTGTGTTGGTGCACATCTGAAATCCCAGCTACCTGGGAGGCTGAAGCAAGAGAATCAGTTGAACCCAGTAGGCGGAGGTTGCAGTGAGCTGAGATCACGCCACTGCACTCCAGCCTGGGCAACAGAGTGAGTGAGACTCCGTCTCAAAAACAAACAAAAAAAAAAACAGGCACAGTGGCTCAAGCCTGTAATTTCAGCACCTTGGGAGGCCAAGGTGGGAGGATCACTTGAGGCTAGGAGTTCAAGACCAGCCTGGAAAACAAAGCAAGACCCTGTCTCTACAAAAAAATTTAAAAATTAGCTGGACATGGTGGCACATGTCTGTAGTTCCAGCTACTTAGGAGGCTGAGGCAGAAGGATAGCTTGAGCCAGGAGTTGGAGGCTACAGTGAGCTATGATCATGCCACTGCACCCCACCCTAAAGGACAGAGTAAGACTCTGTCAAAACAAAAAAGAAAAGAAAGAAAAAAAGGGAAAGAAAGGGAAAGAGAGAGGGAGGGAGGGAAGGAAGGAAGGAAGGAGATAAAGAGAGAGAAAGAGAAAGAAAAGAAAGAAGAAAGGACAGAGAGAAAAAGAAAGAAAAGAAAGAAAAAGAAAGAAAGAGAAAAAAAGAAAAGAAAATCCACAGGACATTCATATGATGGAATACCATACCACACAGCAAAGAAAAAGAGCAAACTACCCCTACACAGATCCATCTCAAAAACATCATGCTGAGCCATAGAAGCCAGACACAAAGCAGTACAAACTGCATGATCCCATTTGTATGACTTTTCAGAACAGGCTAAACTAGCACTGAGAAGTCAGGATAGTGGGTACCACTTGGCGGTAGTGATTGGGAAGACGAAGAGGCATGAAGGAGCCTGCTGGGGCTAAGAAATATTCTTTACCTTCATCTAGTGGTTACATGGGTCTATACCCATAAAAATTCATCGAGCTGAGCTGCATGTGTATATTTTAGTGTATGTAAAATATACATCAATTTTTTTTTAGATGGGATCTTGCCCTGTTGCCCAGGCAGTAGTGAAGTGATACCATCATGGCTGACTTCAGCCTCAACCTCCTGGGCTCTAGCAATCCTTCCACCTCAGCCTCCCAAGTAGCTGGAACCACAGGTATACACCACCATGCCCAGCTAATTTATTTTTTGTAAAGACAGGATTCACTATGTTGCCCAGGCTGGTCTTGAACTCCTGGGTACAAGTGATCCTCCTGCCTCAGCCTCCCAAAGGGCTGGGATTATAGATGTGAGCCACTGCGCCTGGCCAAGACTAATATTCTAACTCTGTGGTTCCATTCCCTCCACCTTCTACCCTCCCCTTACCCTCTATTCTGGCTTTTGGGGGATTTTTTGTTCTTTCTTTTCTTTTTTTCTTTTTTTTTGAGATGGTGTCTCGTTGTTGTTACCCAGGCTGGTCTCGAGGCTCAAGCAATCCTCTCACCTAAGCCTTGGGAATGGCTGGGACTACAGGTTACTATTTTCTTTTTTCTTTCTTTCTTTCTTTCTTTCTTTTTTTTTTTTTTTTTGAGACAGAGTCTTGCTCTGTCGCCCAGGCTGGAGTGCAGTGATGCGATCTCGGCTCATTGCAACCTCCGCCTCCTGGGTTCAAGCAATTCTCGTGTTGGGATTACAGGCGCACACCACCGCACCAGGCTGAATTTTGTACTTTTAGTAGACAGGGGGTTTCACCAAGGCTGGTCTCGAACTCCTGGCCTCAAGTGATCCACCCGCCTCGGACTCCCAAAGTGCTGGGATTACAGGCGTGAGCCACTGCACCCCATCTGGCATATTTTCTGCTTGTCCATTGGTGGGGAGTTTGATTTTCTTATCCAGTGTGGCCGCTTCCAAAGGGCAGCCCCAGGCAAGACACCCAGCATGGAGTGGGACAGAGATGCAGCTCACGTGTCCCCACCCCCATCGGTCACCTCAGCCCCTTTGCTCACCTCATGCTGTGCACTGAGCCCACCTTCTGGTCTCTTCCCTCTCCGCATCCAAATGCTCCTTCCAGATCTCAGTTCAGGACTCACCTCCTCCAGGAAGCCTTCCCAGACCCCCTTACTGACTTTCCTGGTCCTGAGTTCTGACCTGCCCTCAGCGGGTGTCTAGCCCTGCTTCCATCCTAAGAAGGAGGGAGGGAACTCCCTCAGGGAGTGCAGGAGCAGTTGGGGGGGGGGGGTCCCTGAAAGGCACTCACATGCAGTTCCTGGCCGCCAGGTCCCGGTGTATGAATCTCTTGGTACTCAGATACTCCATGCCACTGGCGATGTCTGCCATGAACTTCACTAGCATCTGAGTGGGCAGGTACTGGGGAGCCAAGGCAGGTGGGAGGAGAGGTCAACAGAGTCCTTGATGCGATCCCTCCTCCCTCCATCCCTCTGTGCAAGCCTAGCTCTGCCCGCAGTGGTTTCCCATGGCCCTGACAATTCAACCCAACCCCTCTCCATGGCCTGCAAGGTCCTATAAACTTGCTCCAGCCTTCCTCTTGGACTTGATTGCCTATGTTCTTGCCCTTGACTGACACTCCCACCAGACTCCTGTCTGGTCTTCAGACAAACGATGATCATTCCCACCTCCGAGCCTTTGCCTATGCTGTGCGCTCTGTTGGGGTCGCTTCCTGCCCAGATCTCCAGACATCTCCCCAGCCCCAACTCCTTCACGGTCACCTCCTCGGCAAGATCTTCCACGTCCACCCAAATTCACTGCCTGGCCTCCTTATCTTCCATCCTACTGTATTTCCTTCCTAGCACTTAAACATTTAAATCATCTCGCTTAGGTATTTATTAGCTTGTTTATCATCCGCCCCTCCCCTGCTGGAAGAAATGCTCCAGGAGAGCAAGCTCCTGGTCACCGTGGTCTTCCCAGGGTCTGAGCAGCACTGGGTACCTGATAGATGCTCAGTTAATATTTGTAGACTGAATGATTAAACGCCCCTTACCACTGGCTGGTCCCCGAGCCGGGAATAGAGGAGGAAGCTGTGTAGGTCTCCATGTTTCATGAAAGGTAAGATGACCACAGGTGCTGGGAAGCTCTCTCGTTCAGAACCCTGGAAACAGACACCTGAGCCCCCCAGGTAGCCCTGTCACTCCTGCTGGGCAGAAGGGGAAGCCAAGCCCCCCACCAGCCAGCCTCCAGCCTCTCCTTCTCACTACCCATCCAATCTGGCCACCATATTGTTTGGGGGTAGTGGCAGTGGCAAGGACCAAGCTGCAGAGAAGCTGTTTCCAGCAGAGTTCCCAGGGACGTTTCCGGAGCCCTCCTGGGGACCTCAGCTATTTCTGGGAATGATCAGAGGTCACATTCCAAGCTGAGGGAGACTAGGAGGGGGAAGCCTGCTGACCCTGAAGGAGCGGGGAGCAGGAAGCCTGGAAGTTTGATCTTCCCAGGGCCAGAAGCAGGGCTCTTCCCTCTGCTATGGCCCCCATGGGGCTTGTAGACCCCTTGAATCTGCCCCTCTCTCACCGATGAGCCTCATGACGTTGGGATGGTCAAATTCCTTCATGCAGACCGCTTCACTCAGGAAATCCTCCAGCTCTGACCTCGTGCAGATGGCAACTTGAGGGAGAGAGAAAGGTCGTGAGGAGGAGGGGAGGAGAGGGAGGACTCTCCCTCCACCTCCACTCCATCATCATCATCATCATCATCATCACTCATCTTCATCAAACATGATTAGTAAGTACCAGGCACCATACTCAGCACTTTATATGTGATATGTGTATGTGTGTGTGTCTGTGTGTGTGTATATAATATATATATATATATAAAATATATATTTTCTTTTTTTTTTTTTTTTTAGATGGAGTCTCACTCTGTTGTCCAGGCTGGAGTGCAGTGGTTTGATCTCGGGTCACTGCAACCTCCGCCTCTCGGGTTCAAGCAATTCTCCTGCCTCAGCCTCCTGAGTAGCTGGGACTACAGGCGTGTGCCACCACACCCGGCTAATTTTTTGTATTTTTAGTAGAGACGGGGTTTCACCTTGTTAGCCAGGATGGTTTCGATCTCCTGACCTCACGATCTGCCCGCCTCGGCCTCCCAAAGTGCTAGGATTACAGGCGTCAGCCACTGCGCTTGGCCAACTTTATATATATTAACTCATTTAATCTTCTCAGGTGCTACTATTATCATTCCCATTTTATTGGTTTTTTGTTTTGTTTTGTTTTGTTTTTGTTTTTGTTTTTTATTTTTATTTTTTGAGACAGGGTCTTGCGCTGTCACCCAGGATGGATGCAATCACAGCAAACATAGCTCACTGGAGGTTAGGCTCGAACTCCTAGGCTTGCCTTCCTGAGTAGCTGGGACCACAGGCACGCACCACCATCCCGGATAATTTTTTTTTTTTTTTTGAGATGGAGTTTCGCCCTTGTCCCCCAGGCTTGAGTGCAATGGCGCAATCTTGGCTCACTGCAACCTCTGCCTCCCCAGTTCAAGAGATTCTCGTACCTCAGCCTCCCGAGTAGCTGGGATTACAGGCATGCACCACCATGCCCAGCTAATTTTTGTATTTTTAGTAGAAACGGGGTTTCACCATGTTGGCCAGGCTGGTCTCAAACTCCCCACCTCAAGTGATCTGCCTGCCTTGGCCTCCCAAAGTGCTAGGATTTCAAGTGTGAGCCACCATGCCCAGCCAATTTTTTGAGAGGGAGTCTTGCTATGTTGTCCAGGCTGGTCTCAAACTCCCAGCCTCAAGTGATCCTCCCACCTCGGCCTCCCAAAGCACTGGGATTACAGGCATGAGCCACTGTCCCTGGCCTATCTCTATTTTAAAGATGAAGAAAGCAAGGCACAAAAAGGTTAGGAGTCTGCCTAAGGGAACACACAGCTTGGAGGTGGAAGAGGCAGATCTCAAACCCGGGCAGTCTGGCTCCAGGGTCCACCTGCTCACAACTGCCCAGGCTGCTTCCCAGCACTTCCCTACCTGCCCTGGGGACCCAAACAAGTATCATCCCATTTAACAGTTCAGGACACTGTGGCTCACAGAGGCAAAATGACTTGCCCAAGGTTGCACGGCTGAGATTCAGACCCAGGCCAAGACTATAACCAGTGGGAGGCTGAGTGGGGAGGATCGCTTGAGCCTCAGAGGTTGAGACTACAGTGAGCTGTGATCCTGCCACTGCTCTCCAGCATGGGCAACGAGCAAGACTCTGTCTCAAAAAACAAAAAACGTAGGCTGGGTGTGGTGGCTCACACCTGTAATCCCAGCACTTTGGGATGCCGAGGCAGGTGGATCATGAGGTCAAGAGATAGAGACCATCCTGGCCAACATGGTGAAACCCCGTCTCTACTAAAAACACAAAAATTAGCTGGGCGTGGTGGCGCACACCTGTAGTCCCAGTTACTCAGGAGGCTGAGGCAGAAGAATCGCTTGAACCTGGGAGGCAGAGGTAGTAGTTAGCTGAGGTCATGCCACTGCACTCCAGCCTGGACAGCAGAGTGAGACTCCTCCTCAAAACAAAACAAAACAGAGCAAAACAAACAAAATAACCTGGTACACAGGAGGTGCTCCATAATGAACGAATGAGTGGGTAATGACTTCATAGCCCAAGCTTTTAAGCCCTGTAATTCAGAAAGGATCATTCTCTATTCACCACCAGCCCCAATCTGAATGCCCTATGCTTCTCCTTCCCTGTGTGTGAAGAACTTAGCCCTGGACTTCCTGTGCTGTGTAACCCTGAAATGGCTCCTGCCCTCTCTGATAATGGAAATAATATAGTCCTACTCCACATTAACAAGCATGTCCTACTTGCCACCCTCAGCATGAAGTGCTTTGCCTCAAAACAGCTTTGGAAGGTGGGGACATTAGGGTCCTTTTTTCCAGATGACAGGTGGGAGGCTCAGAGAGGGAAAGTCATTTGCCTGAGATCGCATAGCTGGTAAATGATTCAGCCAGGTATGCCTCATTCTAGAGCTTCTCCTGCTCCACTATGTATCACAGTGGGCCGGCCCCTGAAAACTACATTTCCCAGGCTCCCTTTCCTAGTGGTTTCCTCTTGGGATTTGCCAATGGGAGGTAGGCCCTTATGGGAGACTGGCAGGTAGCGGGGAGAAAGGGAGAAGCCAGGGTATTTCACCCTCTCTCTGCTTCTGGTATTCCCTTGGTGGTGGTTGTGTCGCCCATGTGTGCGTGTGTGTGTTTTAATTTTTTTTTTTTTTCAGACGGAGTCTTGCTCTGTCGCCCAGGCTGGAGGGCAGTGGCACGATCTCGGCTCACTGCAATCTCCGCCTGTGAGGTTCAAGCGATTCTCCTGCCTCAGCCTCCCGAGTAGCTGGGATTACAGGTGCCTGCCACCACGCCTGGCTAATTTTTGTATTTTTAGTAGAGGTGGGGTTTCGCTATGCAGATCAGGCCAGTCTCGAACTCCTGACCTCATGTGATCCACCCGCCTTGGCCTCCCAAAGTGCTGGGATTACAGACGTGAGCCACCACGCCCAGCCATGTGTGTTTTATTTTTTTAAGACAAAGTCTCACTCTGTCACCCAGATTGGAGTGCAGTGGCATGATCATAGCTGACTGCAACCTCTGCCGCACAGACTCAAGTGATTCTCCCACCTCAGTGTCCCAAGTAGCTGGGACTACAGGCGTGTGCCACCATGCCCAGCTAATTTTTTGTTACTATTATTATTTTTTTTTTCATAGACATGTGGTTTCACCATATTGCCTAGGCTGGTCTCAAACTCCTGGACTCAAGCGATCTGCTGCCTCGGCCTCCCAAAGTGCTATTCTGGGTTTTTAGCTCCCACAGAGCAGCCTCTAACTCTGTGATACCAGCTCCTGCCTGGTGTCCCTAGCTGTGGATTCTGGTAACACCACTTGCTCCCTCTACCCTTCAGGCCTAGCGGGGGAAGTGACTTCCTGCTGCTGCTCATCTCTGGTTTCCCTCCCTGCCCCCAGTTGTTCCTTCAACCCGTCTCCCACCTTTGTACTAATCTCCCCATATTCAATTCCTTCTATTGAGGTACCTGGCAGGGGCTCCATTGCCTATCTGGAAACACCAGAAGTTCTAAGCTATGGCTAACTTGCTTGCTCTCTTCTGTCTCAGGGGCATAGGGAAGGAGCTGGGGGTCCTACACATGTGCACGTAACTCACTCTTCATCGTCTTCACAGCCACCTTGAGGATGGAGTCGTCCTGGTTGAGCTGGCCTTCCATCACAGCTCCAAACTCTCCTGTGGGGGGCCAGAGGGAGACACTGACCTCAGAGGGCCCGTGGGGACTGTATTTCCTATAGTTGGGTGGGAGTGTGGAAGTGCAGGATCTCAGAAGTTCAGAAGGATGTGTGTATGCTGCCGGGGGACTCACCCTCTCCCAGAGTCTTCCCCAGGGCCACCTTGTGCCGGTCCACCATCACATCCCGCAGCTTCTCCTTCAGCTCTTCACTGATGCCCAGGCTGTTCACTGCATGCAAGGTTGGGGTGGACAGAGTCATGGAGCAGGGCTGACATTCAGGTGACATTCACCCACCAGTAGGGATAGATCCATTGTTGAAACACTGACATACTTCTGCACTGATTTAAAATTAGCAACTGCCCTGAGCACCCCTCTACTTCCACCCCAGCTCCTCCTCTGGACCCCCTGAACCTTCCCTCAAAGGGAACTCAAGGGGTAAAGCCTGGCCACGCTCTTGCTCCAGTGGGCACCCTGATGGGTCAGTGCCCTGCTGTACCAGTTGTTAAAAATATTTCTTTTGCTGGGCACAGTGGCTTACGCCTGTAATCCCAGCACTCTGGGAGGCAGAGGCAGGTGGATCACTTGAGTCCAGGAGTTCAAGACCAGCCTGGGCAACATGGCGAATCTCTGTCTCTACAAAAAAATACAAAAATTAGCCGTGTGTGGTGGCACATGCCTGTAGTCCCAGCTACTGGGGAGGCTGAGGCAGGAAAATCACTTGAACCCAAGAGACAGAGGTTGCAATGAGCTGAGATCGCACCACTTCACTCCAGCCTGGGTGACAGGGCAAGACTCCGTCTCAAAAATAAAATAAAATAAAATAAAATAAAATAAAATAAAATAAAAATATTTCTTTTTGCTGGATGCAGTGGCTCATGCCTGTAATCGCAGCACTTTGGGAGGCAGAGGCCGGTGGATCACTTGAGTCCAGGAATTCAAAACCAGCCTGGGCAACATGGCGAATCCCCGTCTCTACAAAAAAATACAAAAGCTAGCCATGTGTGGTGGTACGCGCCTATAGTCCCAGCTACTCAGGAGGCTGAGGTTGGAGGATCACTTGAGCCCAGGGGTGGAGGCTGCAGTAAGCTGAGCTCATGCCACTGCACCCCAGCCTGGGTGACAGAGCAAGACCCCATCTCAAACAAAACACACACACAAAAATATTTCTTTTTATTGAAGTATAATCTGCACAAATCATAAGTAAGCAACTCAGTGGATTTTCTTTTCTTTTTTTTTTTGAGATGGAGTTTCGTTCCTGTTGCCCAGGCTGGAGTGCGATGGCGCAATCTCGGCTCACCGCAACCTCCGCCTCTCAGGTTCAAGCGATTCTCCTGCCTCAGCCTCCCAAGTACAGGCATGTGCCACTACGCCCAGCTAATTTTGTATTTTTAGTAGAGACGGGGTTTCTCCATGTTGGTCAGGCTGGTCTGGAACTCCCGACCTCAGGTGATCTGCCCACCTTGGCCTCCCAAAGTGTTGGGATTACAAGCGTGAGCCACCACGCCTGGCCAACTCAGTGGATTTTCACAAATCAAACACAAATGTGTAACTAGCACTCAGGCCAAGAACAGAACATGACCTGCCCTCCTGGGGTAGCCACTTTCTTGATTTCTGTTACAATCGATTAGTTTTGAAATATTATAAAAATGGAATCACATAGTATATTCTCTTTTGTGTCTGGCTTCTTTCACTCAACATGATGTCTATGAAATAGTTTTAATTTAGTTGTTGAGTGTAATTGTAATTTATCCATTTTCTTTGTTATATAATCATTCTCAAACAAATTGACATCAGGACACCTTTACATTGTTAGAATTATTGAGGACTAGAAAGAGCTTTTGTTTATGTTACATATATATCAATATTTCTGTATTCAAAAATAAAACTAGCTGGGCACAGTGGTTCACAGTGGTTCACCCAGCAACTTGGGAGGCCAAGGAAGGAGGACCAGTTGAGGCCTGGAGTTGGAGATCAGCCTGGGCAACATAGCCAGACCCCATCTCTAAAAAAATAAAAAAATTTTTTTTGAAACCGAGTCTCGCTCTGTTGCCTAGGCTAGAGTGCAGTAGCATAATCTCAGCTCACTGCAACTTCCGCCTCCCAGGTTCAAGTGATTCCCCTGCCTCACCCTCCTGAGCAGCTGGAATTATAGGTGTACACCACCACACCTGGCAAATTTTTGTGTTTCTTTTTTTTTTTTTAAATAGAGATGGGGTTTTGCCATGTTGCCCACACTGGTTTCAAACTCCTGGCCTCAAAAGAAAACCTATCAGGTTTATTTAATTTTTTTTTTTTTTGAGACAGTCTCACTCTGTTGCCCAGGCTGAAGTCCAGTGGTACAACCTCAGCTTGCTGCAACATCCGCCTCCCGGGTTCAAGCGATTCTCTTTCCTCAGCCTCCCAAGTAGCTAGGATTACAGGCATGCACCACCACACCCAGCTAATTTTTGTATTTTAGTAGAAATGGGGTTTCACCATGTTGGTCAGGCTGGTCTCAAACTCCTGACCTCAAGCAATTTGCCCACCTTGGCCTCCCAAAGTGGTGGGATTACAGGCATGTGCCACTATGCCCAGCCTGATAAATTTTTAAAACAAGAATATACAAGCACAAGGTCCATCAGCTGTCAGAGTGTTGGATGACATCATCCCACGTCAGGGAGCCTCTGGAAAACTGCGCTGAATGCTAATGAGAGAATGAGAAAGCAAAAGGGCAAATAATGTCTTGGTAATAGTATGAAAATAGATTTGACCTTATGGGCCCCCTGCAAAGGTCTCAGGGACCACAGGGGACCAGGCTCACACCCTGAGAATGGATGCTGTATGTTACTCAGTTAAATCACTGGGACATCGTTGCTTCTTCCTTCTCTTCTTAAATAAATGTCTTTCCCAGCCCTTTCCAAACATCCCCCTGGGGCCCTGGCGGCTTTCTCGCTGTATGCTAGGAAGAGACCTAGCTCTTCCATTTTCTTTCTGGATTTCAGTTTCCCTAACTGGAAAGATGAGATTCCTTTTTTTTTTTTTTTTTTTTGAGACGGTGTCTTGCTCTATCACCCAGGCTGAAGTGCAGTGGCACGATCTCGGCTCACTGCAACCTCCGCCTCCCAGGTTCAAGAGATTCTCCTGCCTCAGCCTCCCAAGTAGCTGGGATTACAGATTACATCTGGCTAATTTTTGTATTTTTAGTAGAGACAGGGTCTCGCCATGTTGGCCAGGCTGGTCTCGAACTCCTGACCTCAAGTGTCTGCCCGCCTGGGCCTCCCAAAGTGTTGAGATTACAGGCGTGAGCCACTGCACCCAGCCGAAAGAACAGATTTGACTGGGCCTCTGAGATCCCCTCCTCGGCTGAGACCTTGCATGGCTTTCCAGCCTTCTAATGGAGAGTCTATAGTTCTAAGATTTTATGATTTCAAAAGTATAAGGGTGTAGAGTACATGCATATAATTTTTCAGGCCAAGATCGATTCTATCTCTCTACCAATTTATAATTCCAAGAGGTAGTAGAGTGTGGCAGTTCAGAGTATAGACTTCAGGCCAGGCGTGGTGGCTCACACCTGTAATCCCAGCACTTTGGGAGGCACGGGTTCAGGAGGTCGAGACCAGCCTGGCCAATATGGTGAAACCTTGTCTCTATTAAAACTACAAAAATTAGCCAGGCGTTGTGGCATGTGCCTGTAGTCCCAGCTACTTGAGAGGCTGAAGCAGGAGAGTCGCTTGAATCCAGGAGGCGGAGGTTGCAGTGAGCCAAGATCAAGCCACTGCACTCCATCCTGGGTGACAGAGCAAGATTCTATCAAAAAAAAAAAAAAAATAGTATAGACTTCAGAGCAAAAGTACCTGGGTTCAAATCCCAGCTATCCAATTTACAAGCTGTGTGGCCTTGGGCAAGTGACTTAACCACTCTATGCCACAGCTTCCTCATCTGTGAAGTGAAGGTGATAAGAAACCCACCTCTGGCTGGGCGTGGTGGCTCACGCCTGTTATCCCAGCACTTTGGGAGGCCAAGGCAGGTTGATCACTTGAGGCCAGGAGTTCCAAGACCAGCCTGGCTAACAAAGACAGGGTTAGTAAAACCCCATCTTTACTAAAAATGCAAAAATTAGCCAGATGTGGTGCCATGCACTTGTAATCCCAGCTATTCGGGAGGCCGAGGCATAAGAATCACTTGAACCTGGGAGGTGAAGGTTGCAGTGAGCTGAGATTGTGCCACTGTGCTCCAGCCTGGGCAACAGAGCGAGACTCTGTCTCAAAAAAAAAAAGAAAAAAAAAGAAAAAAGAAACCCGTGTCCTTGGGTTGCTCTGAGGGTTAAACGAGGAGATACATGTAGAATGCTTAGAACAGAGCCTGCCACATAGGTAGTGCTAGGGTTGCCTGTGATTTTTATCACATCATCACCATCTAATCTCAACATTATTTCATCATCATCATCATTTTCTTCTTGTCATTATCTTCATCATTATCATCATCATTACATCTTCTAAGATCCAATGGCTCTGAGGTTTGGTGTTTCTTTTCTTTCTTTTATTTTTTTTTCTTTTTTGAGACAGGGTCTTGCTCTGTCACCCAGGCTGGAGTGCAGTGGTGTGATCACGGCTTACTGCAGCCTTGACCTCCCTGGGCTCAGGTGATCCTCCTACCTCAGCCTCCCGAGTAGCAGGGAGTACAGGGGCACACCACCATACCTGGCTAATTTTTTTTTTTTGTAGAGACAGGGTTTCACCATGCTGCCCAGGCTGTTCTCGAACTCCTGGGCTCAAGTGATCCTCCCACCTCGGCCCCCCGAAGCGCTAGGATTACAGGCATGAGCCACCACACCCAGCCTTGGTGTTTCTAAGATTTACTGTGTCTAAGATTCTATTCCTTGAAAGTTCTTTGTGGTTCCACAAATCTGTTATTTCTAGGGTCTGTGGTTCTGACATTCTAGTATCCCAAGGCCTTTAGAAACTTTTGGCTCACACATGTACAGAAGCCCAGCAGGCCAGATTCTCTACAGCCTTTAGATCCAGGCCAGGGCAGTGGGGCATAGGGTTCACTTACAGGTAGCTTCAGTGGTCCGACGACTGTAGGACTTGCGCACGCGGTACCTGACTACCAGTTCACCTCTTTCCACTGTTGGTTCAAACACTTCTCTGGGGGGGAGGGGGAGTAGGTGAGGGCAGGGAAAAACCATGTGGAACCCCCTACTCAACCAGCAGTTGAGCAAGCACCATCTCAGCCTCAAGCCCTGCCTGCCCTCTGTGCTAACATTTGCTGAGCATGCCTTGGGCAGCTACCTTCTGCCTTCCATTCATTCCACACACCCCCTTGCCCTCATTCTTTTTTTTGAAAACAGGATCTCACTCTGTCACCCAGGCTGGAGTGCAGTGATGCGATCTCAGCTCACTGTAGCCTCCATCTCCCGGGTTCAAGTGATTATCGTGCCTCAGCCTCCCAAGTAGCTGGGACCACAGGCGTGTGCCTACACTTCCCGCTAATTTTTGCATTTTTCAGTAGAGACAGGGTTTCGCCATGTTGGCCAGGCTGGTCTCAAACTCCTGACCTCAAGTGATCCACCTGCTTCAGCCTCCCAAAGTGCTGGGATTACAGGCGTGAGCCACCACGCCTGGCTTCCCTTGCCCTCATTCTGATTCTTAGTCATCACTCCTCCTGCACCAGCCTCCTCACTGGCCTCCCTGCCTCCAGCCTCTCCATCCCAGGCCACACAGCCTCCCCATGTGGTTCCAACTCACCCATAACGGGTCTCCTTCTTTCGCCGGTGGACAAGGAAGAGAGCCAAGATGAGGACACAGGCAGCGGCCACGACTGCTCCTAGCAGTACATACCACCAGGGCCACGAGAAGGCAGGAGTTGAAGGTTCCTTCACTATCAGGGGGTATGAGGAACAGGTCATGGATGAAGCCTTGGATCCAGCTCTCTGGGACCCAAAGGGGTGATGTGGGAGGGAGGCAGAAGGCCTCGGCAAAGATGTGCACATACTTGATGAGGTGTGTGATGGATGCATTCACATATCTGAATGGGCTGGGCTGGACAGGGCATGCAATGGATGTGATACAAGTGCAGGTTAAAGCAGAAGTGTGTGAAAGTTGTAGGATGGGTGAGTTAAGAGTGGGATGGAGGCCAGGTGTGGTGGCTCATGCCTGTTATCCCAGCACTTTGGGAGGCCAAGGCGGGTGGGTTACTTGAGGCAAGGAGTTCAAGACCAGCCCGGCCGACATGATGAAACCCTGTCTCTACTTAAACAAAATATATACAAAAATTAGCTGGGGTGGTGGTGCACACCTGCAATCCCAGCTACTCGGGAGCTGAGGCAGGAGAATTGCTTGAACCTGGGAGGTGGAGGTTTCAGTGAGCCGAGACTGGGCCACTGCACTCCATCCTGGGTGACAGAGCAAGACTCCATCTCAAAAAAAAAAAAAAAAAAAAAAAAAAGAGAGTGCCAGGATAGTTCAGGTGGTAGAGCATCAGACTTTTAACCTGAGGGTTCAGGGTTCAAGTCTCTGTTTGGGCGTTTGCAGTTTTCCTTACTTTAAGCTACCAAATATTATGCCACCAAGATCCAAAAAAACAGAAGAGTGGAATGGATATTTGAGGAGTGTGCAGTGAGTGTGGAATGGGAGGGAGAGATGTGTGGAACGCGTTATGAGTGTGCCAAGAGGGCTAGATGAACATGAGATGGGTGTGGAGAAATCTCAAGCAGCATAGGTTAGTGTGAGAAATGTGATGATTGTGCAAGAAGGGTGGACTAGAGTGTAGATAAGCAGGTGAGTGGGGAAGAAGATCCTTGCAGTGTAGGATGGTGCATGAAGCGTGTGCAAGGAGGGCGGACTAAGGAACATCTTTTGAAGAGAATGCAATGACTACAAAAGGGTTTTCTTTGTCTCTTTTTTTGTTTGTTTGTTTTTTGAGACAGGGTCTCACTCTTTCACCCAGGCTGGAGTGCAGTGGCCCGGTCTCAGCTCATTGCAACCTCTGCCTCCCAGTTTCAAGCAAATCTCCTGCCTCAGCTTCTAAGTAGCTGGGATTACAGGTGTGCACCACCATGCCCAGCTAATTTTTGTATTCTTTTTTTGGTAGAGACAGGGTTTCACCATGTCTCCTGAGTAGCTGGGACTGCAGGTCTGTGCCACCTGGCTAATTTTTTTTTCTTTTCTTTTTCTTTTCTTTCTTTTTTTCTTTCTTTCTTTCTTTTTTTTTTTTTTTTGAGACAGAGTCTTGCTGTGTTGCCCAGGCTGGAGTATAGTGGCATGATCTTGGCTCACTGTAACCTCCGCCTCCCAGGTTCAAGCAATTCTTGTGCCTCAGCCTCCCGAGCAGCTGGGATTACAGGCTCGCACCACCAGGCCCAGCTAATTTTTGTATTTTTAGTAGAGATGGGTTTTCGCCAATGTTGGCCAGGCTGGTCTTGAACTCCTGACCTCAGGTGATCCACCTGTCTCAGGCCTCCCAAAGTACTGGGATTACAGGCGTGAGCCATTGCACCCGGCCACAATGGTTTCCATAAAGCCAGGAATGAGGGTGAAATAAATATCCAAAGGGGCATGGTAAGCATATACAGGGTTGGATGGCTGCTGGAAAAGTTGGGGGTGTGTGAAGTGGGAAGAGTATTCGTGAAGTCTTAGATACAAGGAGTGAGCAAGGAATTTTAAGGATGTAATTGCAGTGTGAGAGAAGTGTGCAGTGAGCATGCAAAAGATGTTAGAAGGGCAGATGAGAAGTATGGGGTGCACAGAAAGGGGGTGTAAAAAGGGCAGGGGTGGAATGGAGTGTGTAAGAAATAAAGATCATTATGTGCTGAGTATGCAAGGGGTTCAGGGTGAGTGTGCAGAGTGAGATGGGTTGGGATTAGTGAAGGGTGAGGGAATGATGTCTATGGAGTGTGCAGTAAGCATGCAAGGAGAATCGGGTGTGGGAAAGTTGTGGACAATGTTTTTCAGTGTTTGCAATGTGGAAGGTATGGTAAGTGCATACAAGGTGTGCAGAGTTTGTGAATGAGAAGTGTGTTGTGCAATGGGCCTTTGGGGTCATGTGGGAGGAACGGATTATAATGGGATATATGTGAAAGGAGGGTGGAATAAGCGTGGAAAGCGTATGTGAAGAAATGTAGGAAGGGATGTGAGGAGTATTGAAGGCTAGTGGGTTGAGTTACAAGAGTGAACCATAATAGTGCCCAGAGGGGACAATGGGTGTAGGAGGAATGTTTGAGAATTGTTAGAGAAATATTTGAGAGGGATGGATGTGAGGAGGATACCTCATTCATCCATCCATCCACCTTTCTACCCATCCATTCATCCACTCACAAATCCATCCATCTGTCCATCCATCCATTTATCCAACCATCCATTCATCCATCCATCCATCCATCCATCCACCCATCTACCCATCCATATATCCACTCACCACCCAGTCATCTTTTGTTCATCCACCTATCCACCCATCTATTAATCCATTGACCCACCCACCCATCCACCCTCCATATATCCAACCATCCATCCATCCACCCTCCATATATCCACCCACCCATCCATCCACCCATCCATCTACCCATCCATTTATCCACTCACCATCCAGTCATTTATCTGTTCACCCACCTATCCACCCTCTATTCATCCATTGGCCCACACACCCATCCATTCTCCATATATCCACCCATCCATCCATCCACCCATCCATCTACCCATCCATTTATCCACTCGACATCCAGTCATTTATCTGTTCACCCGCCTATCCATCCTCTATTCATCCATTGACCCACCCACCCATCCACCCTCCATATATCTATCCATCCATCCATCCATCTATTTGTTCATCCATCCACCCACTCATCTGTCATTGCCTGAATACCTACAATGTGCTATGCTAGGCCATTATAGGCACCTCCATCAAGGACCACACAAACTCAAGAAGTAGGTTAGAGTGATGAGTTAGAGAAACATGAAAGGGATGTGCAATGAGTATGCATGGTGACAGTGCCCCCACTAGGTGTTGAGGGTAGGGAAGGAGGAGATGGGGTGTGGAAGCCCTTACCCAGCTGGTGGACTGGCTGTGCTTGCCCTGTGAGAAGAAAGGACAGAGAGGAGATGTGCTCAGAGAGGACAAGACTGGCGTGGCACGGGTAAGGGAGTAAGGGTGTGGCACGGGTAAGGGAGTGAGGGTGTGGCACGAGTAAGGGAGTGAAGGTTTGGCACGGGTAAGGGAGTGAGGGTGTGGCACGGGTAAGGGAGTGAGGGTGTGGCACGGGTAAAGGAGTGAGGCCGTGGCACAGGTAAGGGAGTGAGGGGTTGGCATGGGTAAGGGAGTGAGGGCAGCTCTCAGTAAGGCTCAGGGTAGGAACAGGGCCTAAGTTGCGGTAACACTGAAAGGTACAAGGAGTAAGTCAGGGCTGTCAGGGAGAGACAGGGTTGAAGCAGGTTGGGCATGGCTTTGGACTTACCTGGGCGCCAGGCCTCCAGGGGTACTGGGAGGCTCCAGGGTCCATCCCCAGCAGCAGTGTAGGCTGCCACACACACTGTCAGATTGGACACAGACCCGTCCCCCTGCAGCTCCAGGGTCACCTCTTGCCTTAGCCCTATGTCCATTAGCACCTAGGAGGTCCAGAAGTGGCATCAGGGTAGAACCTTACCCCCCAGCTGTTAAGCCTTCACTCTCGGGCTCAATGCCCCATCTCTTTCTCAAAACGCTCTCCCCATCCTCCAACTCCTCATCCTTCCTCGTCCTCCCCTTCATCTCTCATCCTCATCCTTTAACCTGTATCCCTCCATCCCCTTCTAGCTTCCCTTTCCATCCTCCCTCCCTATGTCAGGGTATTGCTAGCCCTGATAGGAGTGCCTTTGTGAAAATCAGGAAAAGGTACCCCTTCCCCAAGGTGCTATATAACTATCTGCTGTAAAATCGTTATATAGTAAATATGAGTCTGCTGAAATGCTTTTGCAGTGGTTCAAAAACAGCCATTCCCCATGCCCTCCCTTAGACCCCCTTATTCTCCCCAGAATGTGAATGTGAACCTTCCCTGAATGTGCCCCCTAGGCATAGAGCAATTGTGTACTACCCAACCTTCACAACCATCTATGTCTGCCCTGATATGTTCTCCTCCCTCCTCCCCAAGCCACTCCACTCCAATCCCACCAGCAGCACCCACCTCTGGGGTGTCCTGGCCTTGATACGCCAGCCGGTACCCTAACAGGGTACCCTGCAGGGGCGCCCGGGGCTCTTGCCAATGCACGAAGGCCTGGCTCCCATTCCGCGTAGCACTAATGTTCTCAGGGGGGCCCAGGGGCACTGGAGGACAGGGAAGAGGGGAAGCTGGCACCCCCACCTCTTCCTGACCCCCTCCCCTGTTCCCAGGAAGTGGGTGCAGGGTGCCAAGGGCACACACGTGGGCAACTCGTGCAGGCCTCCCATGAGAGGAAGCACAGGGGAGAGAAGGGCTGGGAGAGAGGCCAGCGGGCAGTGCTGCTGAGGGGTCAGAGATTGGATGGGAAGGAGATTGAGGCCATGAGGGGTAAAGGAGTGAAAGGGGACAATGGGGGTGGCACTGATATAAGCAAGGTCCGGTGGGGCAGTGGTGACGTGTCCCTCCCCAACCCTTCTTACCTCCCTCCGGCGTCTCCACAGGAAGCCAGTGGGTCCAGGATGAGGGGCCCTGGCTGCTGGTGCATGCCACGCGGATGTGATAAGGGGTGTGAGGATGGAGGCTGCCTAGCCGAAGCTGATGGGGGGGCACGGATGCTTGCGAGGTGAGGGGCTCCTCTGGGGGGTCTGGTTCTCCCGCCTGGATGCCCATCCCATCGTCTGACAGCACAGCCTGAGGAGAGGCAAGGGTGTGAGGACGGGACAGCCAAGCAATCACACGAGATGGTCACACAGCTCCCAGTGGTGGTGGTCTGGTGTGACTACACAACTTTTCAAGGGTGCGTGTGTGTTGCAGTGCCATGCTAGGATAACACGGGCACCTGGATTTGCAAAGCAAGGAGATCATTTGGCTGTATACAATGTGGTTCTGTCACCACTTCCAAAAGCCACCTCTGGCAAGACTCTTCCCTCTCTGAGCCTCAGTTTTTTCCTTGGGCACACGGGGCCTTAGAGGATCAAGTGCCTTACAGGATTGTTTAAAGATTAAGTGTAGTTATGCCCAAAGGATGCCACAGTGCATGGCGGGTGGTCAGCACCGATAATAATAGTGTGATGACAATAATAACGCAAATAGACTGGGCACGGTGGCTCCCGCCTGTAATCCCAGCACTTTGGGAGGCCAAGGTGGGCGATCACTTGAGGTTAGGAGTTCAAGACCAGCCTGGCCAACGTGGTGAAACCCCATCTCTTCCAAAAATGTAAAAAATTAGCTGGATGTGGTGGCGCTCGCCTGTAATCCCAGCTACTCGGGAGGCTGCGATAGGAGAACCACTTGAACCTGGGAGGCAGAGGTTACAGTGAGCTAAGATCACACCACTGCACTCCAGCCTGGGTAACAGAGCAAGACTCTGTCTCAAATAATAGTAATGATCATCATAATAATAGCACGATACTGTGAGGCCCCATTTATATGACATTATACTACAGGCAAAAGCAATGTTCTAGAAGCAGAAGGGTGGCCATCTCTGGGGCCTGAGGGAGACTTCTTGGGGACTGGAAGGGTCTGTGTCTTGATTTGGATGGTGGTTACATGGTGAATATGTGTGTTAAACAATCTCAAAGGTGTCCAATCTTTTGACTTTCTTGGACCACAGTGGAAGAAGAATTGTCTTGGGCCACACATAAAATACGCTAACACTAACGATAGCTGATGCGTTAAAAAAAAAAATCACAAACAAATCTCATAATGTTTTAAGAAAGTTTACGAACTTATGTTGGGCCGCATTCAAAGCCATCCTGGGCCACATGTGTTAGACGAGCTTGATCTAGAGGTACACTGAAGATTATGCATGTTATACATCTCATTTCTTTTTCTTTTTTTTTTTTTTTCCTTTTTTTGGAGAGGGAGTCTTGCTCTGTCGCCCAGGCTATAGTGCAGTGGTGAGATCTTGGCTCACTGCAACCTCCGTCTCCTAGGTTCAAGCAATTCTTCTGCCTCAGCCTCCCAAGTAGCTGGGACTACGCGTACCACCACGCCCGACTAATTGCCGTATTTTCAGTAGAGACAGCGTTTCACCATGTTAGTCAGGCTGGTCTCAAACTCTTGACCTCAGGCAATCCGCCCGCCTCAGCCTCTCAAAGTGCTGGGATTACAGGTGTGAGCCACCGTGCCCGGCCTATGAGTCTCATTTCATCACCTGAGCTGGAGTGCAGTGGCGTGATTTCGGCTCACTGCAATCTCCGCCTCCCAGGTTCAGGCAATTCTCATGCCTCGGCCTCCCAAGTAGATGGGATTACAGGCGTGAGCAACCATGCTTGACTAATTTTTTTTTTTTTTTTTTTTTAGACAGAGTCTTGCTCTGTCACTCAGGTTGGAGTGCAGTGGTACAATCTCGGCTCACTGCAACCTCCGCCTCCTGGGCTCAAGTAATTCTTCTGCTTCAGCCTCTCGAGTAGCTGGGGCTACAGTCATGTGCCACCATGCCTGGCTAACTTTTTTGTATTTTTAGTAGAGACGAGGTTTCATCATGTTGGTCAGGCTGGTCTTGAACTCCTGATCTCAAGTGATCCGCCCCCCTCGGCCTCCCAAAGTGCTGGGATTACAGGTGTGAGCTACCACACCCGGCTTTTTTTTTATTCTGTGTAGAGAAAGGGTTTCACCATGTTGCCCAGGCTGGTCTCAAACTCCTGACCTCAGGTAATCCACCTGCCTCGGCCTCCCAAAGTGCTGGGATTACAGGCGTGAGCCACCTCACCTGACTATGTTATATATTATCTTAATAAAAAAAGATAAAACACGTCCAACATGTACTGAGTGCCTTTCTTAGCCCTTGACAAATCTGAATTCATTTGGCCCTCACATCAATCCTGTTGTCCTGTGGTAAGCATTATGCTTATTCCCACTGTACAGATGACAACACTGAGGCCCAGAGAGACGGAATCACTTGTTCAAGGTCATCAGTTTGTCACTGATGAAGCTGGGACCTAAACCCCATCCTGTCCCCAGAGTCTTTGCTCTACTGGCGGTAAGAATATCAGTAATGGTAACAATACCTCTTGTCTGTGCACAGAGGCAGTTTAGCCTAGTGCTGAGGAGCACGGATGCTGGATCTGGGGCTCAAATCCAGGCTCTATCATTCCCTAGCTGTGTGCCTCAGTCTTCTCACCTGTAAAATGGGATGACAGTGGCTCCCCACTTCACAGGGTTGACTGAATTGGGGCATGTAAGCATTTAGAAGACTGCTTGTGCATACTGTCATTTATTATCTATCTATCTATCTATCTATCTATCTATCTATCTATCTATTTATTTATTTATTTATTTGAGATGGAGTTTCGCTCTTGTTGCCCAGGCTGGAGTACAATGGCATGATCTCGGCTCACTGCAACCTCCGCCTCCCAGGTTCAAGTGATTCTCTTGCCTCAACCTCCTGAGTAGCTAGGATTACAGGCATGCACCACCACACCCGGCTAATTCTGTATTTTTAGTAGAGACAGGGTTACTCCATGTTGGTCAGGCTGGTCTCAAACTCCCTACCTCAGGTGATCTGCCCGCTCAGCCTCCCAAAGTGCTGGGATCACAGGCACGAGCCACCGTGCCCGGCCTGTCACTTATTATTTTATGTGTGTTTCCTGGCAACAAGTGTCAAGCTCTGCATAGCGGCACAGGTTCCCATACCTATTCCACCCGAGGAATGGCACACTCAGAGTGGAGGGGGCCACCACTGGTGTACACATCTGTATAGCCCTGCCACATGGAACCACAAAACCCCCATAACCACACAATTCACAGCCACGCCTCAGGAATGGTGCAGCCAAGGGCTTCCCCTTCACCCTGGAGACTCCAGCCATACAGCCACACAGTATGTCAGGAAGGAGTTTACTGCCACAGGGTGTGGGCTCTAAAGCCAGATTCCTTGGATCTAAGTCCTGTGTTGGATGTTGTTTGCTGTGTGACCTAGAGTGAGTGTCTTAACTTCTCTGAGTCTCAGTTTCTGTCTCTGGAAAATGGGCATCACAGTTCTTACTTGTCAGGGTATAAGGTTTAATGACATGATGCATATAAACTGCTTTGCACATTATAATTATCAACAGCTAACGTTTGTTTTCTTTCTTTCTTTCTTTTTCTTTTTTCTTTTTTTTAGGCAGGGTCTCACTCTGTCACACAAGCTGGAGTGCAGTGGTGTAATGACAGCCCCACCTAATTTTTTAATTATTTGGAGAGATGGCGTTTCACCATGTTGGCCAGGCAGGTCTCAAACTCCTGGGCTCAAGCGATCCACCTGCCTCGGCCTCCCAAAGGTCTAGTATTACAGGTGTGAGCCATGGCACCCGGCCTAGCAAATATTTCTTGAGTGCCAAATATGTACCAAGCTCTCTGTCAAGCACATTACTGGATGAACTCATTGACTTCGCACTACCACCCTATGGGGTCAATTTCTTTTCTCATCCCCATTTTACAGACAGGGAAGCCAAGGCCCAGAGAGGTTCAGCAACTTGCCCAAAGTCACACAGCCCCCATGGAGGGAGATGACACCACCATGAGACCTGGGGAGGAGTGGGGGCAGATGGTGGGTACGAGGAGGGGGTGAGGCTGTCACCATGCCTGCTCTCTGACCTGCAGTGACAGACAGGAAGAGGAACCTCTACCAGGACAGAGAGGAGATGGGTACAGACAGTTGGTCTCCCCATGCCTGCTCCCACTTCTCTTTTCCCTGGGACGGCTGTGACCCTCCCACTGGAACTCTTCAGCCCTAGCCCATGTGCAGCAGGAAGTGAGACCTGGAAAGGGAAGAGGACACACTTCTGCTTTCCTGGGGACACTTGGTGATGTGGGTAGAGTGCAACTTATGCCTGACCTGGCATTTGAGGTCTCCCAAATCCAGCTGGCCTCTGGGATTGAATCTCAGCTTCGGCTTTCTAGCCCCGGGGAGGGGAGGAGGATGGGAGGAACTGAGGCCCAGAGAGGGGGCCCCTCTCTGGGCCTCAGTTCCTCACCTTGAAAACGGGAAGATTAATAGCCACTGTTTTTTGTTTTTTTTTTTCTCAGACAGAGTCTTACTCTGTCACCCAAGCTGGAGAGCAGAGGTTCAATCCTGCCTCACTGTAGCCTTGACTGCCAGGCTCAGGTGATTGTCCCACTTCAGCCTCCCGAGTATCTGGGACTACAGGTGTGTGCCACCACACTGAGCTAATTTTTTTGAATTTTTTGTACAGACCTGCCTCAGCCCCCCGAAGTGCTGGGATTACAGGCGTGAGCTATCATGCCCAGCCAATAGCCACTATTTTCTAGGTTTAAAACGACAAGCAGATGGGGTTGTGCTCAGAGCATGTAAGTATAAGACAATTCCTGTTTAATCAAGCACTGACTCTAAACATTTTCTCAGGGCCCAGCGCGGTGCCTCACGCCTGTAATCCCAGCACTTTGGGAGGCCGAGGTGGGCGGGTCACTTGAGGTCAAGAGTTCGAGACCAGCCTGACCAACATGGTGAAACCCTGTCTCTACTAAAAATACAAAAATTAGCTGGGCGTGGTGGTGGGCGCCTGTAATACCAGCTACTCAGGAGGCTGAGGCAAGAGAATTGCTTGAACCTAGGAGGCGGAGGTTGCAATAAGCCGTGATCACGCCACAGCACTCCAGTCTGGGTAACAGAGCGAGACTCTGTCTCAAAAAAAAAAGAAAAGAAAAAACAAAAAACAGTTTCTAAGGAGGTTAGGAGCATGACATGGGTTTGATGTGACCTTGGACAATCTGGTTAACCACTCTGAGCCTTAGTTTCTTCATCTGGAAAATGGGTGTATCCATAGACCCTCCTTCACAAACACACGAGCAGGTGTGCGTTAATGCAAGACCCGGTGCACAGCGGACACTCAGTAGAAATTGGTCATTCTTCATTACTGTCATCTACCATCATAGGCACTGTCCACCCCCCATCTCCAACTTTCTAATCTCAGAGAACTTCAGACCAGAATTAGGCCTTATATTTACAGATCTGTGAGTTTTGTTTTGGTTTTGGTTTTCTTCTTTCTTTCTTTCTTTTTTTTTTTTTCTTGAGACGGAAGTTCGCTCGTGTTACCCAAGCTGGAGTGCAATGGCACGATCTCGGCTCACTGCAACCTCTGCCTCCAGGGTTCAAGGGATTCTCCTGCCTCAGCCTCCTGAGTAGCTGGGATTACAGGTGTGTGCCACCACACCCGGCTAATTTTTTGTATTTTTAGTAGAAATGGGGTTTCACCATGTTAGCCAGGCTGGTCTCGAACTCCTGACCTCAGGTGATCCACCAGCCTTGGCCTCCCAAAGTGCTGGGGTTACAGGTGTAAGCCACCACACCTGGCCTGGTTTTGGTTTTCTTATTCTAGGAGCAACTTGAGGGCAGAGGCTGGGTCTAGCTCATCTGGGTTGTAATATATCCTTCTAGCGAATATTCCCTACTCTATGTCTGGTCCTGTGCTGGGCAAGAATGAGGAGCCAGTGGTGACTGGGACAGCTCCAGCCCTGCCCTGTCAGAGCTCACATTCCAGTAGGGGACAGACCCATCCCCAGACAGTGACCACACAGAGTGGCCAGGGCTGGGATGGGAGAAGTGGAGGGTTCTGGGTATCCAGTGGTGACAGAAATGGCTCCAGACTCTGCTGTCTCAGGGCTCCCACTCTGGCTAGAGTTAACATCACTAATACTGAAAATAATTAAAACAGCTGATCATTTTCATTTTGTTAAATTTTTTTTGTTGTTGTTTCTTTTTTTTTTTTGAGACAGAGTCTCGCTCTGTCACCCAGGCTGGAGAGCAGTGGCACGATCTTGGCTCACTGCAACCTCCGCCTCCCAGGTTCAAGCAATTCTCCTGCCTCAGCCTCCCCAGTAGCTGGGACTACAAGTGCGTCCCACCAGGCCCAGTTAATTTTTGTATTTTTAGTAGAAATGTGGTTTCACTATGTTGGCCAGGCTGGTCTCGAACTCCTGACCTCAAGTGATCCGCCCACCTCGGCCTCCCAAAGTGCTGGGATTACAGGTGTGAGCCACCGCGCCTGGCCAATTTTGTTAAATTTGTTTCCTATGTTCTATATACCATTTTAAGTTGGTAATTTGCATTCACTCATTGAATTTTCACACTAAGCATACCAGGTAGGCACTACCATTATGTCCATTTTGTAGACAAGAGAGCTGAGCCCCGGACAGATTAAGCCACCTACCCAAGGTCACACAGCCAGAAGGTGGTGGAGCTAGGATTCGAACCCAGGACATCTGGCTTAACCCCCCAGGCTCTACTGCTTCTCAACAGTGGCCGAGAAGTGGTGGGTTCCCAGGGAGAGGATGGGGGTTGTGGATGTGGGTGGAAGGAGGCCTGAGACTGAAATGAACCAAGTTTGGGAGTCTCACCTGCAGGGTGCAGTGGGTCAGGGGGTAGATGCCGCTCAGGCCTGGAGTCCAAGCCACCTCCAGCTCCGTGGGTTGGCGGGAGACCAGGTGGAGGTTACGGGGCTGCTGGGGGAGCACTGTGGACAAACGGGAGAGATTGACCCTGGGGAGCCTTTGCTCAAAGCTCCCTACCCTGCTCTCTGCCCCCACTCTGACCCCGGACCCAAACCCCACCCTCTGACGCCCAGCTCCCCACCTCCCAACTCTGTCACCTGTGATGGTGGCTGTGCGGGATGTGGTGACCCCCTTGGCGTTATGGGCTTCGCAGGAGAAAGAGGATGTCTTGTTCAGCCCTAGGGAGTCATATGAGGGAAGGGTCCAATATCAGAGAGGGGCAGGAAGGGCTCCGGGGCCATGCCGGGCCACTCCTACCATGGCCTGCCTGACCAGGGGCAGTGCAGCCCACACAGGCACTTGCCTGAAGGGAGGGTTAGCAGAGTTGAGGGCAATGAGTTAGGAACACAGCCTCCATCCCCAAACACAAGGATGGCTTGGTTTCAGCCCTAACCTCCCGCCACACAGACACACATAGTACAGACACACACAGACACACACAGGCACAGGCACAGGCACACACACTGTCTCACACACACATTCTTACACCCCAGAGACAGACACACTCATACACACACATAGACACACATACTCACACAGAAACACACAAAGACACACACAGCCACACACAGGCACAGGCACACACACTCATACACACAGACACACAGACACAGACACACACAAAGACACACAGCCACACACAGGCACAGGCATACACACACAAAAACACACATACACAAACACACATGAAGACACACAACCACACACAGTCACAGGCACACTCACTCTTACACCCCAGATAGAGACACACACTCATACACACACATAGACACATATGCTCAGACACACACACAGGCACAGGCGCATACACACACACACACACATTCTTACACCCCAGAGAGAGATACATACTCATACACACACATGCTCACACAGACTCACACACAGTCACACACAGGCACACACACACATTCTTACACCCCAGAGACACATACTCATACACACACATATAAACACATATGCTCACACACAGACACAGACACAGACACAGAAACAGACACAGCCACACACACACACTGTGTCTCACACACACAGATTCGTACACCTAGATACTCACATACTCATATACACATATATAGACACACACAGAAATACACGTGCTCATATATATGGACATAGACACATATATACATACTCACACATAGACACACAAAAGCATACACAGACACACACACACAAGGAGACACACAAACATGCACACACTCACATGCACAAACACAGGCACCCTCACTAACTCACAAGGACACAAGTATGAGCACACACACCTGCTAGACACACTTAGGGAAACTGGCCCATGGCTGTACATCAATGGAGACATGTCTGTTCATCTCTAAGCTCGCCTCCTACCAACCCCTCTCCCACTCTCCCTGTCACACGCTCTTCTCCGGCCACACTGGCCTCCAGTGTCTCTGGAACACATACATGAAGCATGTTTCCACTCCAAGAACTGTGCACTGTTCCCTGTGCTCAAAACAGTCTTCCACAAATGTCTACATGACTCGCACCCTCTTCTTTCATTTTTGTTCCTCAACAACACCTCTCAGTCCGCTAGGCCTGGCCACCCTGTTAATATTGGAGCTTGGCCAGGCATAGTGACTCATGACTGTAATCCCAGCACTTTGGGAGGCTGAGTCAGGAGGATCGCTTGAGGCCAGGAGTTAGAGACCAGCCTGGGCAACGTGGTGAGACCCCATCTCTACAAAAAAGAGAAAAATTAGCTGGGTGTGGTGGTGCACACCTGTAGTCCCAGCTACTTGGGAGGCTGAGGTGGGAGGACTACCTGTGCCCGGGGAGGTGGAGGCTGCAGTGAGCTGTGATCACACCACTGCACTCCAACCTGGGTGACAGAGTGAGACCCTGTCTCAAAAAAACTAAAAATAATAAAATGAAAAATAAAGGCTGGGCACGGTGGTTCATGCCCGTAATCCCAGCCTTAGGAGGCCGAGGTGGGTGGATCACCTGAGGTCCGAAGTTCGAGACCAGCCTGGCCAACATAGTGAAACCTCGTCTCTACTAAAAATACAAAAAATTAGCTGGGCATAGTGGCAGGCCCCTTTAATCCCAGCTACTCAGGAGGCTGAGGCAGGAGAATAGCTTGAACCCGGGAGGCAGAGGCTGCAGTGAGCTGAGATCACGCCATTGCACTCCAGCCTGGGCAACAAGAGTGAAACTCTGTCTCAAAAAAAAAAGAAAGAAAAGAAAAGACAAAGAAAGAAAGAAAAAATACAATAAAATTGGAGCTAATTGGAGCTTCCTCTCCAAATCTATCCCCTTCCCGCTTTACTTTTCCTCTTTGGTTCTTCTCATCACCCAACATACTTTACCTGTTACCCAAGTACCTTGCCCATTGTCAGTTTCTCCCACTAGAATGTCAGCTCTAGGAGGGCAGGGGTTGTGTCTGTTTCGTCCCCTGCTGTGTCAGGATGGCCTGGCACACAATAGGTGTGCCATAAATGCTTGTTGAATGAGTGAGTGAAATTGTGTTCAGCTATGTACTTATGAGCATTCCTGGGCATAGGTGTAGAAATATGAGCATGTGTAATTCCATAGGGGAGTTCACGTATTGTGTCTTGACTGTTTTTTTCTTTTGTTTTTTGAGAGTCTTGCTCTGTTGCCCAGGCTAAAGTGCAGTGGCATGATCTTGGCTCACTGCAACCTCTGCCTCCTGGGTTCAAGCCATTCTCCTGCCTCAGCCTTCTGAGTAGCTGGGATTACAGGAGCGCGCCACCATGCCCGGCTAATTTTTGTAATTTTTAGTAGAGATAGGGTTTCACCATGTTGGCCAGGCTGGTCTCGAACTCCTGACCTCAAGTGATCTGCCCATCTCAGCCTCCCAAAGTGCTGGGATCACAGGTGTGAGCCACCGTGCCCGGCCTTGAGTAACTGTTTTCGAGTGAAGGTGGATTGCCTTCCCTCCCTAACGTGGTGGTGTTGGTGTTGGTATGACCAGCGTGCACACACAGAAGCACGTACAATTACAGAGACAAACACGAGAGACACAGACCTGCAAGCACACAGAGATACCCAACACAAACCGCTATACAACGTACATCAGTCCCCCTTTATCCGAGGTTTCACTTTTTGAGGTTTCAGTTACACTTGGTCTAAAAATATTTCAATGGAAAATTCCAGATATAACTCCTAAGTTTTAAATTGCATGCCGTTCTGAGTACTGTGATGAAACCTCATGCCATCCCACTCTGGTTGGCCTAGAACGTGAATCCCCCCTTTGTCCAGCATCTCAGTGCTGTATCTGATACCTGTCTGTAAGTCACTTAGCTATCAGATCAACTGTCCTGGTACTGCAGTGCTCAAGTGCAGAGTTCAAGAAACTCTTATTTATCTAAATAATCGCCTGGCCGGGTGCTATGGCTCACATCTGTAATCCCAGCACTTTGGGAGGCCGAGGCGGGTGGATCACTTGAGATTAGGAGTTTAAGACAAGCCTGGGCAACACAGTGAAACCCCCGTCTCTACTAAAAATACAAAAAAATCAGCCGGGCATGGTGGCGCGTGCCTGTAATCCCAGCTACTCGGGAGGCTGAGGCACGATAACTGCTAGAACCCGGGCTGCGGAGGTTGCAGTGAGCCAAGGTCGCCACACTGCACTCCAGCCTGGGCGACAGAGAGAGACTCTGTCTAAAAAAAAAAAAAAAAGGCCCCAGGGTGCAAAATAGTGATGGCTGCAATTCGGATAGGCCAAAGAGAAGCCTTAAAGTGCTTCCTTTTAAGTGAAAAGGTGAAAATTCTCCACTTAGAAAAAGATAATCATATATATATGTACTGAGGTTGCTAAGATCTATAGTAAGAAAACAATCTATCTGCGAAATTGTGAAGGAAAAAGAAAGTTATGTGTAGTATATACAGGGTTTAGTATTATTCATTGTTTCAGGCTTTTGTGGGGGCTCTTAGAGAACGTATCCTGGTGAATAAGGGGAATCCCCCAACACAGATACACGTAGAAACATAGACACCCCCCTCCCCCAGCACACACACACAATGTCTGCGCTAGGATGTAAGAAGGACCAAGTTTTTCGTTTTGTTTTTTGAGACAGGTTCTTGCTCTATCTCCCAGGCTGCAGTACAGTGGCACAATCACGGCTCACTGCTGCCTTGACCTCCAGGGCTCAAGCGATCCTCCTGTCTCATCCTCCCAAGCAGCTGGGACTACAGGCGGCCACCACACTTGGCTAACTTTTCAATTTTTTTTTGTAGAGAAGAGGAGAGTCTCACCACGTTGCCCAGGCTGCTCTCAAACTTCTGGCCCCAAGCGATCCTCCCGCCTCGGCCTCCCAAAGTGCTGGATCGCAGGCAGAGCCACTCGGTGCCCGGCCCTGGGACCAAGTCTTGTAAGTGCGACTGCAGTTCTGCGTGTTGTTTACGCGTGTGCTTGTGCATCTGTGTTTGTGTTTCTGAGCTGGTATGTTTGTGACCCTGCGTGTATCTGTGGATGGTGTGTACGTGCATGTGTTGAGTATCTGTGTACGTGTCTCTCGTGTTTGCTCCGTGCGTGTACGCCTCTGTTCCCACCGCGTTGGCAAGGGAGGCTCTCCATCCGCAGACACAAAGTTTCCTTTTCTCCGTCAGCGGAGGGAGTGGAATGGTGCAAAGTCTGCAGAGGCCGGAAAGGGGAGGGTAGGGGAGCTCCTCAGTCGCGGCTTCCTAGGTGGCCGTTCCCAGACAAGGTCAGGTGCCCGCTCCCGCAGCCTCCGCGCCCTGAAGGCCCCGCGCCCGCAGCCCCCGCGCCGCCCGGAGGAGAAACAGTACAGTCCCGGGCGGGCGGCCCGAGTGGGGGCGGGGAGCCTGGGTCGGGTCCAGCCACCTGGCACGTGGGGCCCCGCCAGGGTCAGCGCGCGGGAGCTGGCGCCGCCGGCCGGAGAAGCCCTGGGGCTGGAGGTGGGTTCTGGAGCCGGGTCCCGTTCCGACCGCAGCATTCCTGCCCCCGCGTGAGTCACCGGGGGCACCTCCCCACCCCAGCGCTTCCGGCCGGCTTCGGGGGCGCGGAGCCAGAGCCGGGATCCCCCTTCCCAGGCCCCAACGGCCGCACCTTGAGTGAAGGGGACAGGAGGAACTGGGACCCCTTCCCCTCCAGAAGGTTCTTGCTTTACCGCAAGACGACAGGAGCAGGCCGATTCCAGATGTGCTTTCCAGATGTCCTGACCATCCCCCCACAACCCCTGCTCTCCGCCCCAGCTTTTCCAGAGAATGAGAGGGATGGAAGGAGGAGGGGCACGCCCTGAGTCAGATAGAGGGACAGACGCACACAAACGGACGAAATTCCTTCACACAGCAAACCCCCCCACACACACACTCACAATGAATCACACTTAAACACACAGGGGCTGTTATTAGCACAGAAGACGCAGCGCTTGGTAAGTTAACGGCACACAGATATGCAAGGGCTGATGTCACAAACACAGTGACACAAAAACACCGTGACTCACACATATACACGCGGGCTGACACTGATGTACATTCATAAAGAGACATGTATGCATACAAGCCAACGTGGGACAAACACATAAACACACAGTCACACATGTACACATTGATTACAAACACCTAGCGACGCAATGTACATCTAGGCTGATGCCAACACACACAGAAACTTAAATGTCCCTGTATATTCAGAGACACACACCACGTAACAGCGTACATGGAGTTGAGGTGGACAGATAGATACACACCAGGACACAATGAAGGGTCATTTTGACCTGCTCAGACACAGACACACCGACGCGTACACCTCACAGCCAAGCCTCCATCTACGCCATAAGATGGAGCTGGATGCGCCCAGGTTTCATGTTCACCCAGACACAGACTGATACAAAAACACATTTGCGCTGGGTGCGGTGGCTCACGCCTGTAATCCCAGTACTTTGGGAGGCCGAGGCCGGTGGATCACTTGAGGTCAGGAGTTTGAGACCAGCCTGGCCAACATGACAAACCTGTCATGAAACCCTGTCTTTACTAAAAATACAAAAATAAGCCAGGCGTGCCTGTAATCGCAGCTCCTCAGGAGGCTGAGGCAGGAGAATCCCTTGAACCCCGGAGGCGGAAGTTACAGTAAGCCAAGATCGTGCCACTGCACTCCAGCTTGGGTGACAGAGTGAGACTCCGTCTCAAAACAAAAACCCCAAAAAACAAAAAAACACAGTTTCGTAGATGCGCAGGCCTGATGCAGACACACAAGGATGGAGACACTGCCATGGACACATAGATTGACACAGAGACACATCTATACGCTGACTGGTAAGCATCCTTAGGTCATGTACTCAGAGGCAGCAGGGGCCAGTGCACACACAGGGAGACCAGAGAGAAGCAGAGGGTGCTGTTACACACACACACACACACACAGGTCTGTGACTACAGTCATACACCAACATGCTTACCCTGTGACATATACACACACGCCACAGAGACATCTATGGACACACACAGAAAGCTGGTAAGAGGCTGAGGGTTGAGAGCAGTGGCTCACGCCTGTAAATCCCAACACTTTGGGAGGCCGAGGCGGGAGGATCACTTGAGGCCAGGAGTTCAAGAGCAGCCTGGGCAACATGGCGAGACTCTGTCTCTACCAAAAAATTCAAAAACTATCTGGGTATGGTGGCACATGCCTATAGTCCCAGCTGCTTGAGGGGTGGGAGGGTGCTGAGGTAGGAGGATTGCTTGAGCCCAGGAGGTGGAGGCTACAGTGAGCCATGATCACAGTACTGCACTCCAGCCTGGGTTACACAGCGGGAGCTTATCTTGAAAAAAAATAAGGGGGAAAAAAGGTGGTAAGAAACACAAGTTATCCATGGACACGTTCTGATTCTGCAAGGGAACACAAGCTCTCACTAGGACACTCTCACACCCATAGCTGCACACCTGTGGGCTGACACTACCACCTCCATACAGAGAGGTGTGCACCATAGCCCCAAACCCACTACCCTCCAGGCACACTTTACTTTCATACAGTGAGTCCCAGCTGTGAACACACAAACACAAAAAAGAGGGACAGACACAGGCTGACACTGGTACACTCCATCATGCGCACACACACAGACACCCACACACGGGCAACCCCTAAGAAACGTAGAGAGAGAGACATGCTATAAAGATCCAAACACATATTGGGACAGAATCCAAGCTGAAGGAAATATATTTAGTCACACACACACACACACACACCACACATGGGACATCCACAGAAGTCCACCCTCGCCAAGGCACACCCTCACACAGAGGTTGTGCTGACGGATACACTAACACTCAGATCCAGAACACACAGATATCCAGACACCCCACCACCACCACACAGACATGCACAGATCCTCACACCTGTGCAGCCCCCATTTCTCTCCCTCCCCTCCCCTTCTCATGGGACCTGCCAGGCTGACTCATGCCCGATCCCCAACCCTGGTCCCTACTCAGCCACTCGAGCCATGGGCCTGAGTCACTCCTCTGGGGTCAGCATGCTCACCAGGTCTTCCTTGCAACTCAGGGTCCCAGGAATGCTGAGAATGTGAGCTCCTCCCTCCACCCTGGAGACCCCCAGTCAGAAGGCCCCTCCTCATTCCAGCAGAGAGAGGCAGCAGGTTGGGAGTGCGGGAAGCTGATGCCCTCCAGGCTGCAGCCTCCTTCCTTTACAGAGCCTCTGCCATCTGCTCCTCTGTCTTTCCTCCTTCAGTAGGGAGAACCCCCTGAATCCAGGGTCCCCCAGTGATGCCCCTGACCACTGCATAACCCTGAGCTCGGTCCTTCCTCGTCTGCATGGTGCAGAAGGGAATGGTCCCCAAGAAGGAGAGGGTTTCTGTCACTCCAACTTCCCTGTCCTGTCTTTCATTTTGTTTTGTTTTTCGTTTTGAGACAGAGTCTTGCTCTGTCACCCAGGCTGGAGTGCAGTGGTGTGATCTCGGCTCACTGCAACCTCCATCTCCCGGGTTCAAGCGATTCTCCTGCCTCAGCCTCCCAAGTAGCTGGGACTACAGATGCCCGTCACCACGCCTGGCTAATTTTTGTATTTTTGGTAAAGATGGAGTTTTGTCATGTTGGCCAGGCTGGTCTCGAACTCCCAGCCTCAAGTGATCCACCTGCCTCAGCCTCCCAAAGTGCTGGGATTACAGGCGTGAGCCACCATGCCCGGCCTCTCTGTCCTGTCTATGTTCATCTTGGGTCACTGTGGCCTGTCCCTTCCAGTGTATGTCATTCTATCTCTCTCTGTCTCCCACTTTCTTTTTTTTTTTTTTTCTTTTGAGATGGAGTCTCGCCCTGTCGCCCAGGCTGGAGTGCAGTGGCGCAATCTCGGCTCACTGCAAGCTCCGCCTCTCGGGTTCCTGCCATTCTCCTGCCTCAGCCTCCCGAGTAGCTGGGACTACAGGCGCCCGCCACCACGCCCGGCTAATTTTTTGTATTTTTAGTAGAGATGGGGTTTCACCGTGTTAGCCAGGATGGTCTTGATCTCCTGACCTCGTGATCCGCCCGCCTCAGCCTCCCAAAGTGCTGGGATTACAGGCGTGAGCCACCACGCCCAGCCTCTGTCTCCTACTTTCTTCCTGCTCTCTCTTCTTTGGGTTCCATCTCCCCAGTGGGGACCGGGCTGGACATCCTCCCTTTGACTGAGGCCAGCAGGCTTGTTAGGGCAGGAGGTGGGCCGGTTGTGGAGGGAGGCGGAGGAGAGGAGGGCACGGTTGATTCCGGTGCCCTGCTTGGGTCAAGGGCTGACAAAGGGGCACCAGGCCCACACGCACTCGAGCCATGGAACAGCTCAGAGGAAACCCAGGACAAAGAATTCTATTCAGAGAGAGGCCGGGGTGAATGGAGGGAGAGAGAAGCAGAGAGACAGAGAGAGAGACACATACAAAGAGAGACAGAAAGACACACACACCAAGAGACAGAAAGAGACAGAAAAAGGCATACGGAGAGAAATAAGATAGGTAGAGACAGAGAGGCAGAGACAGACTCAGAGGGAGAAACGAGAGAGACAGACAGTGAGGGACAGAAGGACAGTCAGACACTCACGCAGAGGTAGCAATGTTCCCTTGCTCCTGACTTCAGCCCTGCCCGGCCCCCTATTCGGAGCTGACCCACATCCCCGGACTCACCTGGAACATGCAGGCTGCGCTGGGGGCCGTGACCTGGAGCCGTGGCCAGGGGGACAGCATCCTGGAGCCAGAGTAGGTCCACGGGCTCTGGGGGTCCCTGAGCTTGGCAGCTCAGGTTGAAGGGGGTGTTGGCGGCCACAGTCCTGTCTTCGGGCTCCTCCAGGAAGTAAGGCAAGCCTAGCGGGGTGGGCAGTGGTAGAGGCTGGGGTCCCTCTGAGGCCCCAAGATGCCTGACTCACCACTAGGATGCTGTAGGCTTTGGGCAGCAAACCCACCCTGCAGGGTCATTGACTTGCCTTATCTGATCCCCGAGGGCACCTGAGCCATACCCAACACACACGTGACCCCAATATCTGATTCCTCCCATGTCAGACCCCCCACGATAGCTGAGCTCCTCATGTCTCTCTTCCAGAATGTCTGACAGCTCATCCTCATCTCATTCTATGGATGAGAAAAAAGAGACCGCTGGGGTCGTGGGGACAGGGGTACGTTGCGTGCCTCTGACGCCTTATCTGAAGACCAGAATGGCCTCCTGTGACCTGATGGTGTCTGATGCCTAGGACATCCAACTACCCCCAAGAAGTCTTTTCACCCAGAACATATAATCCCCCAGCCTTGGCACCATAACTTATATGGACTCCCAGCTTCTTGACCACCCAAAACTCTGACATTCTTAGGCTGTATGACGCTAGGTTCATCCTGAATCCTCCAGCACCCTTTGACCTTGACCCCTCAGGATTCCTGACTTCCCACAACCTATGAGCGCCACATGTCCTCTGACCCCTCAGGACCCCTGACCCCAGAGCTCACCCTCCAGCCCAACATAGCCAGGCTGGGACACGAAGGTCTGATGTCCCAGAAACACCAAACACTGGTACTGTCCCGTGTCGGAAAGCTGCAGGGAGGTGATTCTGACAGGGCAAGAGGAGAGACAGAGAGGTTCAGGGTCAGAGCTGGACACTGGGAGGGGGTCTGTCAGAACGGAAAGAGGGTGTCCAGTCTGGAAGCTCATGACAACCACGAAGTATGTCCTATTATTAACTCATTTTGCAGAAGAGGAAAACGAAACCTAGAGGTTCCATCACATGCTCAAAGCCGCACGGCTGACAAGTGGTCAAACTGGGGTTCCCACCCAGGTGGGCTTTCTGCCCTCTGTGTGACGGAGGTGGGAGTGGGATTCGGGGATGTGGCCACACACCTGAGCTGGCTGACCACTATCCAGTCATCCTGTTCATCCTCACCCAGGGGCACCTGGGTCTGGGTGCTGTCCGCGAGCTCCAGGATCTGTCCATCCCGAAGCCAATGTACCTCGGGGGGCTCTCCCTGAACCTGGAGCTGACACCGAAGGGTGCCCGTGAGTCCCCGGGCACCTGTGATATTCCCTGGGTTGCCCACGAAGGGACTTTCTTCAGCCTGCGTGCCTGGAGGGGAGATGGGAAGAGTTAGCTTAGGAACCCCCCAGCTCCTTCCGGCCCTCAGTTCCACCCTGTCCTTGCCTGCCCACCGGCGGCCAGGACCCCGCCAGGCCCTTAGGCCGACATAGTTGCAGAGTGACCTCAGAGTGGGGTGGAGGGCGGAGGCTCTGAGAGGAGGACGGGAGCCCTCCCAAGGGACTGGGATCTAGCGTCCATCCCGTCGGGAAGGAGGCTCGGGATCTGGCAGCCTCCCACGCCCTGCACTGCCTGGCAGGGCCAGCCCCTGCCCCCTCCGTCCTCTCTTAGGTCTCTAGAGACTTAACAGGTCGCGCTGGTGCTGGTGGATGGAGGGGAAGAATCAGGGGTTGGGGGAGAGAGATAAGGGTGGTGGTGGGGGGAGATAAGGGTGGTGGCGGAGGGAGAAGCCAGAGAAAGGCAGGGGAGATGAGACAGAGAGGAGCACAGATACAAGGCAAGACAGAAAAAATGAAGAAACAGCCCTCAAGAGAGAAGAAAAGGTGGGGGCGGAGGGGGGATACAGTCACAGAGGGAGGCTGAGAAGAGAGAGAGAGACTCAGAGAGCAGGGAGAGATAAAGGCAGAGACTGTGAAAGAGAGAGAAACAGAGACCCACAGAGATAGCAGAGCTGGAGGCAGAGACAGAGAGACAAAGTGAGAGCCTCCTCCCCAGAGATGGAGTGGACTGGTGGGGTAGGGACAAGTGGCGGGTCAGGGGGGTGGTGTTGGCAGGGAGAAGCGTTTTCCCCCAGGGCTCCAGAGCCCTCCTCATCCCACTGCCTGACTCGGTGCCCCTTCGGAAAGATTTCTTCCTTCCTGGCGACCCTCAGCTCAGCCCCTCTCCCCATGGCCCCCTTCTCAGGTCCAGCCCCCACCCCTGCCCTCAGCTTCTCCTTGTCTGTCTGTCTCTCCGGGTCCTCTCTTCTGTCCCCCCTGCCCTTCAGTTCCTCTCTCAGTCTTTCTCTCCCTCTGCCGCACTTGGTGTCTCTGAGTCTGTGTCTCCCTCCCTTGAAGTCCCTTTTCTGTGGTCCCAAGGAAACTCCCTAAGCCAGCCCAGGCCCCCCACACCTGCCATCATCCCCCACCTCCTACCCCTGCCCCAGCCCCTCCGAGGGGATCCCTGCCCCAAGGAGCCCCCATCACTCACCCCTGGGGGCCATGCACGCCCAGCCGCACAGCGCCAAGCACCAGGCCAGCGGGACCCTGCCCATCCTGGGGCACCGCCACGCCATGGGTGCCAAACTTTCCTCAGAAGTTGTTGGGCTCCCAGCGGGGGAGGGGGCAGGGCCGGGCTGTCCCCGGCCCTCCCCCCAGCTCCAGGCTCCCCGGATTTGGCACTGCCTGCCTGGCACAGCGGCAGGGGAGGCCCTTGCCACCGGCTCTGCCCAGCAGCCGCCTTCTCAGCACCCCTGCCTCCTTCCCTCACTCCCAGACTTGGGCAACCCTTTCTCCGCCCCTGGCTCCCCCTTTGCCTCCGCCCACCAGGGCCAGAGCCCAGGGGCCACCTGGACAATCAGGGGTTAACTCAAGAGAGGAGAGGATCAGCTCTTTCTTAAAGGGGCCAGGGAGGGAGCTGAGGAGGGGGAAGGGGACCCTGGTGGCTGTGCCCCCTGTCCTGAGCCAGTGAGGCCGTGTCTCTCTATCCGGGCTCTGGGCGCTGTCCCTCTGGGCTCTGTGTCTGGTAAACATTCCTCCAGAACTCCACTCCCCTCTCAGCTCAGGCCGTGACGCCCCTCTCCCCGCCTCCACCCCCAGCCCAGCCCCAGCCAGGCCTCCTTGGCCCTTCATTCCCCCTCACTCTCTCGGCTCCTCGGACAAGGACACACACACACACACACACACGCACGCACGCACGCACGCACACACACTCTTAGACGTCACTGACACACACAGGCTAGGACAAGCAGAGACACGCAGAGGGACCCAGACGGGCAGGGGCATGCTACTGGCCCACAGACACACTCAGACAAGCCAGGCCAGGAGCTCGATTCCTGGAGAAACCTCAGAGACAGGAGGACACGGCTGGGTGGGCATCCATGGGGGACACTTACTTGGGGAGACACAGATCTTCAGACACGCCAAAACCTGCATGGACGCCTAAATGGGACACCAAATACAGGCGACATGAAGGGGACCCAAGTTGGAATCCCAGTGCTACCACTAACTGTGGGCTACAGGCAAGTGACTGGCCTCCTGAGCCTCAGTTTGTCCATCTGTAAAATGGGAATAAGAATAGTTGTTGGCCGGGCACAGTAACTCACTCCTGTAATCCCAGCACTTTGGGAGGCCAAGGTGGGAGGATCGCTTGAGCCCAGGAGTTCGAGACCAGACTGGTCAATGCACTGAGACCCCCATCTCTACAAGAAGTTTAAAAATTAAAACTTAACCAGGTATCATGGCGTGTGCCTGTGGTCCCAGCTACTAGGGAGGCTGGAGTGAGAGGAACGCTTGAGTCCAAGAGATCGAGGCTGCAGTGAGCCCTGATCATTCCACTGCTCTCTCCTTCTGGTGGGACTGTGTGTCCTGGTTATTGCAGATCTGCTGCCTGCGTATCGGCTCTGCTGCACTTCCATTCCTCGGCCCTGTGTGTTTGGCACGTGGAGGGCTCTGCATGCCTGGATGTCTGTGAGGAGGAGGCTGGGCGTCTATCCCTCTGCTCTTGGCCACCTGTGTTTGGGTACTGGTATACCTACGGTGCATCATAAAGTCCTATCTGTTTGGCCTCCTGATGTCTCTTCTACCTGCCCCTTCCCAGCACCCCCGTCTGATCCTGCCTTCTCCTGCCTCTACTGTCACTCCTTTCTCCCATTTAGCAACCAGAGGACTGTTTCTGAAAGTCAAATCCTACCCTGTCCCTTCTCTGCTTGCCCATGGCCTCCTGCTGCCCTCAGGGCAAGCTCCCAGCTCCTTGTCACTGGCCACTTAGGGCCCTTCACCGTTGTCTCCCTGGGCTGTGTCTTTTTTTTTTTTTTTTTTTTTGAGACCCAGTCTTGCTTTGTTGCCCAGGCTGGAGTGCAATGGCTCGATCTCGGCTCACTGCAACCTCCATCTCCTGGGTTCAAGTGATCCTCCCACCTCAGCTTCCTGAGTTGCTGGGATTACAGGTGTGCACCACCATGCCAGGTTAATTTTTGTATTTTTGGTAGAGACGGGGTTTCACCATGTTGGCCAGGCTGGTCTGGAACTCCTGAACTCGTGATCTGCCCGCCTCGGCCTCCCAAAGGGCTGGGATTACAGGCGTGGGTCACTGTGCCCGGCCATGGGCTGCTGGCTTCTGTTGCTCCTTCCAACCTGTCTCCCACTCAACAGTCAGAAGGCTTCTTCCCAATCTCAAACCAAACCCTTTCCCACCTCTGCCCCAAACCTTTCAGCAGAACCCTAAACTCCTTATGTTTCTGTGACCCTCCCCTCGCCTCCCCAGGCTTCTCTCGCTTTCTCACCCAAAGAGCCCCCTCAGAGGACTTGGAGCAACCTCCTGCAGCACTTTGTCCCCAACTCTATCATCCCTTCTCCATCGCATCACTGCCTGGCCCCCCCAGCCCAATCTAGGTCCTCATATTGTTCACTCCCAACATGCTGTCCCTTTCCTTGGCAACACTTTGCCTGGGTTGTCATTATATATTTATTGGCATGATTATGTGTCTCACATCTGTCTCCTCCCACTGGCCTGTGGGCTCTGCGGGGGAAGGGACTGGGTATATTTTGGGAACTGCTGCATCTTCACCGCCCTGTAAAAGGCCTGCCATAAAGGGGACAATTCCTTATTGTGGCATTTTTTTTTTCTTGAGACAGAGTCTCACTCTGTCGCCCAGGCTGGAGTGCGGTGGCTGTATCTTAGCAGACTGCAAACTCCACTTCCCAGTTCAAGCATTCTGTCTTCTTGCTCTGTCATCCAGACTGGAATGCAGTGGCGCCATCATAGCTTGCTGAAGCCTCAAACTCCTGGGCTTATGTGACCCTCCTGCCTCAGCCTCCCCGAGTAGCCAAGACTATGTGTGCAAGCACACCTGGCTAATTTTAAAAAACTGTTTTAGGGGCCAGACGTGGCTGCTCAAGCCTGTAATCCCAGCACTTTGGGAGGCCGAGGCGAGTGGATCACGAGGTAAGCCTGGCCAATCATTCCACCTGGGCCTCCTAAAGTATGGGATTATAGGCGTGACCCACTGCGTGACCCACTGTGTGATCCACTGCACCCAGCCCGATCTCTTTTTTTCTTTTTGGTTGGGGAGATGGTCTCTCGCTGTCACCCAGGCTGGAGTGCAGTGGCGCAATCCGGGCTCACTGCAAACTCCAACTCCCAGGTACAAGAGATTCTCCTGCCTCAGCCTCCTGAGTAGCTGGGACTGCAGGAACTACCGTAATGCCTGGCTAATTTTTGTATTCATAGTAGAAATGGGGTTTCACCATGTTGGCCAGGCTGGTCTCAAACTCCTGACCTCAGGTGATGTGCCTGCCTCGGCCTCCCAAAGTTCTGGGATTACAGGTGTGAGCCACCACGCTCGGCCTATTGTGGCATTTTTGAGGGGTGCAAATATGTGCAAAGATCTGTTCACTTGTTTAGATATGTTGGGGGGCCCCTGCCCACCCTAGGGCTCAGTGGACCCAGCTGGTTGATGGCCTACTTGAACCTGTGAATTCATTCACTCATGAACTATATGAACTATTTGCTGAGCACCTGCTATGTGCCTGCAATTTACTTTGAAATGCATTTTAAAAAATGAGACGGGGGCCGGGCTTGGTGGCTCACATCTGTAATCCCAGCACTTTGGGAGGCCCGGGTGGGTGGATCATTTGAGGTCAGGAGCGCGAGACTAGCCTTGCCAACATTTTAAAACCCCATCTCTACTAAAAATACAAAAAAAATTAGCCAGGCATGGTGGTGTGCACCTGTAGTCCCAGTTACTTGGGAGGCTGAGGCAGGATAATCTCTTGAACCTGGGAGGTGGAGGTTGCAGTGAGCCAGGATTATGCCACTGCACTCCAGCCTGGGTGACAGCAGAGACCATCCCCCCTCCCCCCCCAAAAAAGAGAAAAAGATTCGGGGCTGGGTGCAGTGGGTCGCACCTATAATCCCACACTTTAGGAGGCCCAGGTTGGAGGGTTGCTTGAGGCTAGGGGTTTAAGACCAGCCTGGCAACATAGCCAGACCCTGTGTCTTCCAAAAAATTTTTTTAATTAGCCAGGTGTTCTTGCACACATAGTCTTGGCTACTTGGGGAGACTGAGGCAGGAGGATCGCTTGAGCCCAGGAGTTTGAGGCTGCAACAAGCTATGATGGTGCCAATGCATTCCAGTCTGGATGACAGAGTGAGACCCTATCTCTAAAAAAAAAAGAAAAGAAAAGATGGACAGGTGGTGCTGGGGTGGGGTTTCTACAATGAGCAAGACAAGTCCACATCCTACTGGAGTTTCCATTCAAAGGGGAAGAGAAATAACACTCACATAAATACTTATCATGTTGCAAGATGTGCAGTGAAGAAAAATAAAGCAAGGGCCAGGCACAGTGGCTCATGCCTATAATCCCAGCACTTTGGGAGGCCGAGGTGGGCGGATCACCTGAGGTCAGGAGCTTGAGACCAGCCTGGCCAACATGGTGAAACCCATCTCTACTAAAAATACAAAAATTAGTCAGGCACTGTGGTTCACGCCTGTAATCCCAGCACTTTGGGAGGCTGAGACAGGCGGATCACAAGGTCACGAGTTTGAGACCAGCCTGGCCAACATGGTGAAACCCTGTCTCTACTAAAAATACAAAAATTATCTTGGTGTGGTGGTGCGCACCTGTAGTCCCAGCTACTCGGGAGGCTGAGGCAGGAGAATTGCTTGAATGCAGTAGGCAGAGGTTGCAGGAAGTGAGCCGAGATCACGCCACTGCACTACAGCCTGGGTGACAGAGCAGGATTCCGTCTTAAAAAAAAAATTTTAAAAACCCAAAATTATCTGGGTGTGGTGGTACACACCTGTAATCCCAGCTACTTGGGAGGCTGAGGCAGGAGAATCACTTGAACCCCAATGGAGGAGGTTGCTTTGAGCCAAGATCGCTTCATTGCACTCCAACCTGGGCGACAGAGCAAAACTCCATCTCAAAAAACAAACAAACAAACAAACAAACAAAAACAAAAAAAGAAAAAGGAAAAGAAAGCAGGGGATAGTGAGAGGTGTGGGTGCTGTTTTAGAGAGGATGATGGGGGAAGGCTTCTCTCAGGCTATGATTGAGATCTGAAGTAAATTAGCAAGTGAGCCCTGTGGGGAACAGCATTCCAGGTGGAGGGAATAGCCAGTGCAAAGGCCCAGAGGCAGGCGTGTGGCAGGCATGTGAAGAACTGTGAGGAGGCCTGTTTGTGGCTGGAACAGTTGGGGGCAGGAGTAGAGGGAAGGTGGGCTTGGGGTGAGGGCAAGCCTTGGCCTGGCAAAAACTTTGGTCTTTGTTTTAACTATGATATGAACAGGAGTGATACCATCTGATCTAGTTTTAAAGGATCCCTCTGCTAAGGCAAGTGAAAGGTTGATACGTTCTTCCTCTGTTGCCCAGGCTGGAGTGCAGTGGCATGAACACAGCTCACTGCAGCCTCGACCTCCTAGGCTCAAGTGATCCTCCCACTTCAGCCTCCCAAGTAGCTGGGACCACAGGTGTGTGCCACAATAACTGGCTAATTTTTTAAGTTTTTCGTAGAGACAGTGTCTCACTTTGTTATCTGGGCTGGTTTTGCACTCCTAGGCTCAAGAGATCCTCCCGTCTCGGCCTTCCAAAGTGCTGGGATTACAGGCGTGAGTCACTGTGCACCTGGCTGGTTGGCAGAGTTTCTAACAGAGGGATCAGGACCTGGACACGTTAATTTTAAGCGTCACTACACATGGGACCATCAATTTTGCAATGTGATGCAACAAGATGTGGCCCAGCACCTCCAGGGAGGATCTCTTGCCAGAATGAGCCTGAATCTGATCTAATTCCCAGTTTACAGGAGATCCTGGGAACAGAAGGACATCTTGAACAGCACCACAAAGATGCTGCCAGCCTAATCCAGAATGTGAAAAATTGCACAGGGCCAAAGACCCAGTTGATTCAAGAAATTAATGGCATGTAAAAGGATGGGTAACAGTTACAGATTTTAAAAACTTAATAGACATTTCAAACAAAATTCAGATTCTGATTTGAACAAACCAATTTTAAAAGACATTAATATTCCAGCACTTTGGGAGGCCAAGGAGAGAGGATTGCTTGAGCCCAAGAGTTTGAGGCCAGCCTGTGAAACATAATGAAATCCCATCTCTACAAAAAAAAAAAAATTTTTTTTTAAATTAGCCAGGTGTGGTGGTGTGTGCCTATAATCGCAGCTACTCAGGAGGCTGAGACGAGAGGATCACTTGAGCCTGGGAAGCAGAGGTTGCAGTGAGCAGAGATTGTGCCACTGCACTCCAGCCTATCTTTTTTTTTTTTTTTTTTTAAAGGACAGGCCAGGTGCAGTGGCTCACACCTGTAATCCCAGCATGTTGGGAGGCCAAGGCAGGCAAATTAGCAGATCAGGAGTTCCAGGCCAGCCTGACCAACGTGGTGAAACTCCATCTCTACTAAAAATACAAAAATTAGCCAGGTGTGGTGGCGCACACTGGTAGTCTCAGCTACTTGGGAGCTCGGGAGGCTAAGGCAGGAGAATCACTTGAACCCCGGAGGCGGAGGTTGCAGTGAGCCGAGATCATGCCACTACACTCCAGCCTGGGCAACAGAGCGAGACTCCATCTCAAAAAAAAAAAAAAAGGACATTTATGAGACTATCAGAGAAATGTGAAAATGTGAACACTATGAATCACTATGAATACAATGAATGAATAACAGAATTGTTCGTTGTGATAGGTGTGAAAATGAGTATTGTAGTTTTGACTTTTAAAAAATAAACTTTAATGGGGAGTTATTGTGTTTTTTGTTGTTGTTGTTTGAGATGGGCTCACTCTGTCACCCAGGCTGGGGTGCAGTGGTGTGATCAAAGCCCACTGCAGCCTTGTCCTCCCAGGCTCAGGTGATCCTCCCACCTCAGCCTCCTGAGTAACTGGGACTACAAGTGTGCACCACCACACCAGTCTCACTTTTTGTAGAGATAGCGTTTCCCTATGTTGCCCAGGCTGGTCTTGAACTCTTGGGCTTAAGAGATCCGCCTGCCTTGGACTCACAAAGTGCTGAGATTACAGGTGTGAGCCACCACGCCCAGCCAGAGTTATTATTTAATGGGTAGTTTTTGTTGGAAACAATGGAAACATTTTGGGCACAAATAGTTGTGATGGTTATACAACATTGTGAATATTTTTTTTGTTTTTTTTTTGAGACAGAGTTTCACTCTTGTTGCCCAGGCTGGAGTGCAGGTTGCTCACTGCAACCTCCACCTGCCGGGTTCAAGCAATTCTCCTGCCTGAGCCTCCTGAGTAGCTGGGATTACAGGCATGTACCCCCACGCTCGACTAATTTTGTATTTTTAGTAGAGAGGGGGTTTCTCTATGTTGGTCAGGCTGGTCTCGAACTCCCTACCTCAGGTGATCCGCCTGTCTCGGCCTCCCAAAGTGATGGGATTACAGGCGTGAGCCACCACGCCTGGCCCATTGCGAATATATTTAATGCTACTAAATTGTATACTTCTAAATGGTTAAAATAATATTATTATGTGTATATTTTAACACACGCAGAAAACTATTTGAAGACCACACCGATTCCATTTTTACTTTGGGGACCAATAATTCTTCTTTATTGTTTAAGCCATTTTGAGTTTCTGTATTTTTTTACTTGCTACTGAAATCATCCTGATGTCAACTTTTATATTGATACAGTGCAAAGTCTGTGCCTTTGTTTGTTTGTTTGTTTTCTTTTTTGTACAGATGGGGTCTCACTATATTGTCCAGGCTGGTCTCAAGCTCCTAGGCTCAAGCGATTCTCCTACCTCAGCCTACCAAAGTGCTAAGATTATAGGTATAAGCCACCATGCCCAGGCCGACATGCCTCTTTATTTATTTATTTATGTATTTATGTATTTATTTATTTATTTATTTTTGAGACAGAGTCTTGCCTTGTCGCCCAGGCTGGAGTGCAGTGGCACTATCTCAGCTCACTGCAAGCTCTGCCTCCCGGGTTCACACCACTCTCCTGCCTCAGTAGCTGGGACTACAGGCGCCCACCACCACGCCTGGCTACTTTTTTGTATTTTTAGTAGAGACGGGGTTTCACCATGTTAACCAGGATGGTCTCGATCTCCTGACCTCGTGATCCGCCCACCTCAGCCTCCCAAAGTGCTGGGATTACAGGCGTGAGCCACCGTGCCCAGCCCGCCTCTTTATTATTTTTTTTATTATTTAAAAAAAAAAATTTTTTTTTTGAGGCAGAGTCTCACTCTGTCGCTTAGGCTGGAGTGCAGTGGTGTGATCTCGGCTCACTGCAAGCTCTGCCTCCCGGGTTCACACCATTCTCCTGCCTCAGCCTCCTAAGTAGCTGGGACTACAGGTGCCCGCCACCATGCCCGGCTATAGCCCACCTCTTTAAATAAATAGGTCTGCTTGTATTTCTACCTGATTCCAGATTTCCCTGAATGTGAATTTTGACTGCAAAGGAATGCAAATCATTGCCTTAATTTAATTTTTTATTTTTTTGAGATGGAGTCTTACTCTGTCACCCAGGCTGGAGTGCTGTGGCACAGTCCTGGCTCACTGCAACCTCTGCCTGCTGGGTTCAAGCAATTCTCCTGTCTCAGCCTCCTGAGTAGCTGGGATTACAGGTGCCTGCCATCATGCCTGGCTAGTTTTTGTATCTTTGGTAAAGACCGCGTTTCACCATGTTGTCCAGGCTGCTCTCGAACTCCTGACCTCAAGTGATCTGCCTGCCTCAGCCTCCCCAAAGTGCTGGGATTAAAGGCGTGAGCCACCGCACCTGGCCCCATTGCCTTACTTTTAAAAGAAGAAAACCTTAAACTTCATTCCTTTTCAAAGTGCACCGACATATAAAAAATAGTAATAATATTAAATCCAAGAAGAACTTAGCAGATATTTATTTCCTACGAAGTTCTGAAAGTTTTCACATTTCTTTCTGGATTTTTTTTTTTTCCCTTGAATCAGAGTCTTGCCCTTTTGGCCAGGCTGGTCTTGAACCCTTGGGCTCAAGCAATCCTCCCACCTCGGTCCCTCAACAAGGGTTACAGGTGTGAGCCACTGTGCCTGGCCCACATTTCTTACATCTTATCAATTTATTAAGGCTTTAAGATGGTAAAGCCTCAGTCAAGGTGTGACCAGCTAGGAGGTGGCAAAGTTAGGATCTGATTCCAATCTCATCTTTCAGTTCTCTATTATTCTCTGTTTTGTGCTATCTCTATAGAACTTAAGCCAATAAAGTGTTAACATCTTGGATTTTTTTTTTTAAAAAAGAAGCTTTCGCTAATGATATATGCATTGCTTAAGTTTTTTGATGAACTGATACGTGCGTTTACTCGGAAATGCCTAAAAAGTCCTGAACTGGTCTGGGCATGGTGGCTCACACCTGGCCAACACGATGAAACCCCATCTGTACTAAAAAAACAAAAATTAACCAGGCGCTCGCTGGTAATCCCAGTTACTCAGGAGGCTGAGGCAGGAGAATCGCTTGAACCTGGGAGGTGGAGGCTGCAGTGAGCCAAGATCATGCCACTGCACTCCAGGTTGGGTGACAGAGTGAGACTTCGTCTAAAAAAAAAAAAAATTGGCCAGGCGCAGTGGCTCACACCTGTAGTCCCAGCACTTTGGGAGGCAGAGGCAGGCAGATCACATGAGGTCGGGAGTTTGAGGCCAGCTTGACCAATATGGAGAAATCCCGTCTCTACTAAAAACACAAAAATTAGCCACGCGTGGTGGCGCATGCCTGTAATCCCGGCTATTTGGGAGGCTGAGGCAGAAGAATCACTTGAACCCAGGAGGTGGAGGTTGCCGTGAGCCGAGATCACACCATTGCACTCCAGTCTGGGCAACAAGAGCAAAACTCTGTCTCAAAATAAATAGATAAATAAATAAATCCTGAGCTGGTGGTCAGGTGTGTAGAAACGTCAGAAAGCAGTGTAGCAAAGTGCTAGTGGGAGAACCCAGGAAGTGCACAAGGTGTTCCTTGTACAATTCCCTCAACTTTGCTGCATGTTTGAAAACTGTCCTCATAAAATGTCAAGGGCAAAAATATCTTTAACTCTCAGAAATGTGCATTAAATTGCTTTCTGTAATTTGCCTTAAAATAATCTTTAAGGCCAGGCGCGGTGGCTCACACCTGTAATCCCAGCACTTTGGGAGGCCGAGATGGGCGGATCACCTGAGGTTGGGAGTTTGAGACCAGCCTGACCAACCTGGAGAAACCTCGTCTCTACTAAAAATACAAAATTAGCTGGACATGGTGGTGCATGCCTGTAATCCCAGCTACTAGGGATGCTGAGGCAGGAGAATCGCTTGAACCTGGGAGGCGGAGGTTGCGGTGAGCTGAGATCACGCCATTGCACTCCAGCCTGGGCAACAATAGCGAAACTCCATCTCAAATAAAAAAATAATAATAATAAAAAAATAATCTTTAAAAAGCAATAGGTGGCCAGGCACGGTGGCTCATACCAGTAATCTCAGCACTTTGGGAGGCCAAGGTGGGCAGATCACCTGAGGTCAGGAGTTCGAGACCAGCCTGGTCAACATGGCAAAACCCCATCTCTACTACAAATAAAAAAATTAGCCAGGCTTGGTGGCAGGCACCTGTAATTCCAGCTACTCGGGAGGTCAAGGCAGGAGAACTGCTTGAACCTAAGAGGCGGAGGTTACAGTGAGCCGAGATGATGCCACTGCACTCCAGCATGGGCAACAGAGTGAGACTCTGTCTCAAAAATAAAAGATAAATAAGTAAATAAAAAGCAATAGATAAAATAAAAATATCAGGGCAGGGTGCAGTGACTCACGCCTATAATCCCAGCACTTTGGGAGGCTGGGATGGAAACTCTTGAGGCCTGGAATTTGAGACCAGCACAGGCTGTATAGTGAGACTTTCTCTATAGAAAATAAAAATAAGAAATTTAGCTGGGTGTGGTGGCACGCATCTGTAGTCCCAGCTGCTTGGAGGCCGAGGCGGGAGGATCACTTGAGCCTAGGAGTCTGAAGCCACAGTGAACTATGAGATCATGCTACTGCACCCCAGCTTGGGCAACAAAGCAAAACCCTATCTCAAAATAAAAAAAAAAAAAAAGAGGCAGAAAAGGATATAGATGAAGTAAAAGCTGCAGAAAGTTGATGACTATTGAAATGAGGCTGGGTGATGGGCACCTGGGGGCTCATTGTATCTTTCTACTTTTGCGTATGTTTGCAAACTTCTTTGCTAGATAAGAAATTTATCTAGTAGCGACTCACGCCTGTAATCCCAGCATTTTGGGAGGCCGAGACTGGCAGATCATCTGAGGTCAGGAGTTCGAGACCAGCCTGGCCAACATGGTGAAACCCCATCTCTACTAAAAATACAAAAATTAGCTGGGCGTGGTGGCACACACCTGTAATCCCAGCTACTTGGGAGGCTGAGGCAGGAGAATGGCTTGAACCCGGAGGCGGAGGCTGCAGTGAGCCAAGATCACACCACTGCACTCCAGCCTGGGTGACAGAGTGAGACTCCGTCTCAAAAAAAAAAAAAAAAAAAAAAAGAAAGGAAATTTACAAATGCCTCTGGTTTCCTTGTGAAGGGGAGGCAAGAGAAAAAGGGTGGAAGAAATGGGAGTGGGCTTAGAGTCTGTGTTGCAAGCTAGTTCCTGTACTCAAGTTTGAAGAGTCTCTAGGGTCTGGATCTAGTTGGCTTCAGGCTCTCCCTGGCTGAGGAAGCCCCCAAGGTCCACAGTCCAGCTTGGGTTACCCCCTCCTTGCCCACTTCCCACCGCCGGACACCTTGGCCCTTTTTGGAAATGAGGCCCAGGGCGTCACCAGCCCTGCCCCTCCTCCCAGCTCCACATCTGGTCCTGATGTCAACAGCCAGGGTGGGCGGTGGCCATGTTTTTCAGCTCCCGCCCAGCCTCAGGGGAGGGGTGGACTCCCCTGTCCCCACCCCTTACTCACAGTGACTGACACGGGTCACACACGCAGTAGGCTAAAGGCCAGAAACAAACTTTAATTCCCAAGCCGGACCCTTAAGTCACAAGGAACGTCAGATCCGGCTCACTCCCTGACAGGGTGAATTGGAAACTGGCCCCTACTTGGTCTCTAACCCCTTCCACTGGGTCTAGTGGGGACTCTGACGCCGAACAGGGGCTGTAGATCAGTGAGTGTGTATGTGTGTGTGGAGGGGCAGCAGGGGCCGCTTTCCACGTGGTTACATAAGCACGTGTTGGGGTTGGGCAGGTGTTCCTCCGGTCTGAGGGTCCTCGTATGTCCAAAGTCTCTGTGCATAATCGCAGACCCAGATGTGTTTGCATTTGGTAGAATCAGGGTGCTTAAAAAGGGGTGACTGAGGGCTGCAGTTGCAGAGGTGGCTGGGGACTGTGCCTCTGTGGGGGCGGCGTGTCTCAGTGGGAAGATACTCTGGGGAGCCAGGACGATGTCGTACGTGGGTAGCTGTGTGGACAAGTGGTTGGGGGTGTGTGGACATCGGTGGTCACAGGCTGGGAGAGTGGTGTAGCCAAGAGAGGGAGCATGAGTTGGGGCCATAGACAGCGACAGTCTCTGGGTGGCATGACCCCGGAGGGGGCATGCTGTTCCCTGTGCCAGGCACCAGGGACAGGGACACTGAGAAGTTCGATGAATGGAGAGGGCGTGTGAGCTGTGAACATGTGTGGCCGTTTCTGTGGCTTGTGAAGGTGACAGCCAGACTCCCACGTGTGGGCTGCAGATCCAGGGGAGTTGGTGGGTTACCTGGCTATGTGCTTGTGATTGCAGATGGACTATATTTATGTCTGTGGAAAGCTAACCCAGCAGTTGCTTTGTGGCCCTTGTAGTTGTGTATGGGTGTGCGGTTGTGCATCTTAGCAGCATGAGTCAAGTGAGCGTGTGGGCCGTGGGACAGACTCCGGAAAACAACTGCAGGCGTGTAAATGTGGCTGCCTGCAGTGTACACTCTGGAGACATTAACCCTGTCCATGCCCACTGTTGAGGCTGGAGGCACCGTCCTGGGCACCCACCACTTCCAAGTTGCCTTCCTTCATCTGGTCTGCGTGGTGGAGTGAAGGTCAGTGGGACGGACTTGCAGCTGGAAGGCTGGGGGAATGTTGAAAAGGCCACTGACGGTGGGCTTGAGGCTCAGGGTGTCCGGCGGGCACGGGCTCTCCAGGGAGAAGGCTTGTAGGATGGTGGTGAAGAAGAGGAAGAGCTCCGCTTTTGCCAGGCCCTCTCCAAGGCAGACACGCTTCCCTGGTGAGGAGAGAGAGAGAGAGAGGGCTGAGTCAGTATTCCTCACACCCAGGCCCACGGGGGGAACAGCAGGTGGAGGAGCCAACAGTAAGCCCAGGGTGCAGAAGGGTGCCCCCAGCTGGCACAGATGCCTGGAGTTCGCCAGCACCTGCTTGTGATACCCAGGGCTGCAGCAGATACCTAAGGAGAAGGGCAGGAACGCCTCATGCTTCCTGAACCGTCCATCTGCATCCAGGAAACGGTCTGGGTTGAACTCTTCTGGGTGCTTGAAGATGTTGGGGTCATGCAGGATGGAGCCAAGGAGGGGGAAGACCTCCGTGCCCTGAGGGGAAATAATAATGAAACTATAAACCCCTTCCCACCCCAGTCCATTTGGTCCTCGAGTGTGGAGTACAAGTCTCGGGTGCCAGGGACACTAGTTCACAAAACCTAATGGCATCAACATTTGTGGAGTGTTGAGTGGCGTGCAGTGGCTCATGCCTGTAATCCCAGCCACGTGGGAGGCTGAGGTGAGAGAAGCATTTGAGCCCAGGAGTTTGAGACCAGCCTGGGCAATATAACAAGACCTTGTCTCTAGGAAAAATTAAAAAATTAGCCAGGCATGGTGGTATGAGCCCGTTGTCCCAGCTGCTCAGGAGGCTGACGTGGGAGGATCACTTGAGCCTAGGAGTTCAAGGCTGCTGTGAGCTATGCTTGTACCACTGCACCCCAGCCTGGGAGACAAAGAGAGACCCTGTCAAGAAAGAAAGAGAGAAAGAGAGGAAGACAGGAAGGGAGGAAGGGAGGAAGGGAGGAAGGAAGAAAGGAAGAAAGAGAGAGAGAGAGAAAGAAAAAGAAAAGAAAGAAAGAGAGAGAGAGAGAAAGAAAGAAAGAAAGAGAGAAAGAAAGAGAGAGAGAGAAAGAAAGAAAGAAAGAAAGAAAGAAAGAAAGAAAGAAAAAAAGAAAGAAAGAAAGGCAAAGAATAGTAGTTAAGGCATAGTCTCTGAGTTCAAATCTTGAATCTACTATTTGCAGGCTGGGGGACCTTGGCAAATCCTCTAAAAACTTTTCAAGCTCTCAGTTTCCTTATCTGTAAGATGGGCATGATAATGGTATAGGGTTGCTTTAAAGATTAAATGAGATAATAGATATGCAAAGCACTCAGAATAACCCCTGGTGCAGAGCAGGTCCTCAAGCCTGGATACCTGTCATTATCATCATTAAATTGTTGCTGCCTGGTACACAGGACCGGTTCCCAAGAGTTGAGTTGGTGTTTGTTTTACAAGCATTATCTTACAGCTTCAAGTTGATACTATTATTGTTTCTAATGTAGAGGAGGGATATATTGAGGTTCAGGGGGGGAAGTGATTTGCCCAAGGCCCCATCTACAAAACAGGAGGGGGTAGGCCAGGTGCAGTGGCTCACGCCTGTAATCCCAGCACTTTAGGAGGCCGAGGCAGGCAGTTCATGAGGTCAGGAGTTTGAGACCAGCCTGACCAACATGGTGAAAACCCATCTCTACTAAAAAGACAAAAATTAGCCGGGTGTGGTGGCATACACCTGTAATCCCAGCTACCCAGGAGGCTGAGGCAAGAGAATTGCTTGAACCTGGGAGGCGGAGGTTGCAGTGAGCCGAGATCACGCCAGTGCACTCCAGCCTGGGCAACAGAGCGAGACTCCATCTCGGAAAAAAAAAAAAAAAAAAAAAGAAGAAGAAGAAAAAGAAAATAGCAGCATAGCAGCACTGGATCCTAACTGCCATAGGTTTGATTCTGCAGTGAAGGTGGAGGAGGGAGCTGCTTGCATAAACTGCTGGGGTTTCTGGGGAAACATCGCCCCCTTTTGGTTCTGCATCGGAGCTGCTCTCCAGTGAAGGGCACTGAGATTGAGAGAGAGAGACAGAGGAGAGAATGTGTCTGCAGCAGGGGCTAAGGGTCAAGAGGGCTTCCCTTAGTCCTGGACTTGCTCCTCAGTTTTCAAACTGCTTCTCTGTATGTTACCTCATTCGATTGTCCCAACCACCTTGGAAGGAGGTAGAATTGGGAGATCTGTGGGGCAGATGGGGCCCAGAGATAGAGTCAAAGGGGAAGAAAACACAAACCAAAAAGAAACAGAAAGAGTTAAAAGATGCAGAAAGCATGGCTGGGTGCGGTGGCTCACGCCTGTAATCCCAGCACTTTGGGAGGCCGAAGCGGGCAGATCACGAGGTCAGGAGTTCAAGACCAGCCTGACCAACATAATGAAACCCCGTGTCTACTAAAAATACAAAAAATTAGCTGGGCGTGGTGGTGGGCACCTGTAATCCCAGCTACTCAGGAGGCTGAGGCAGGAGAATCACTTGAACCTGGGAGGCGGAGGTTGCAGTGAGCTGAGATCACGCCATTGCACTCCAGCCCGGGCGACAGTGCGAGACTCTGTCTCAAAAAAAGAAAAAAAATATATGCAGAAAGGGAGGGGGTGTCAGAGAAAGAAGGAGAAGAAAGATGCAGGGGGGTAGGAGTGGAGGAGGAAGACAGAGACAGAGAAAGAGAGGGAGATAAAGACAGAGAGAGAGAGAGAGAGACACTAAGATCAAGAAAAAGTCAGGGAGACACTGACAGCAAACCACCCGGGCTCAGGCCCCGAGGCAGAGAACCATGGGTGGCAGCCATACGCATACCCACCTGGGGCAGGGTGTACCCTCGGAAGCGGGTGGTCCGCATGAGGGTGCGGGGTATTCCCATGGGCACCAGCGCCAGCAGCCGCTGCGCCTCATGCAGAACCGCGTCGGTGTAAGGGAGGCGGGTACGGTCCCCTAGGCTTGGTGCCTGGCCAGCCCCCAGCTCCCGATTCAGCTCCTCACGTACCCACTCTGCAAGCAAGAGGAGGGCAGGAGTCAGACGGGGGTAGGGCCCAGGGATCCTCCTCTCAGAAGCCCATCTGCTTGCATAGCTGTAGTTTGGGGTGAGGCTGACAGGTGGGGAGGAGTGGTCCCCCAGCCCTCACTGAGCCCAAAGACCACACATCTTGTGTGTTGGGTGTTCCATCTATCTTCTCTCTCTCTTATTTTATTTTATTTTATTTCATTTTATTATTATTATTTTTTTTTGCAACGGAGTTTTGCTCTTGTTGCCCAGGCTGGAGTGCAATGGTGCGATCTTGGCTCACCACAACCTCTGCCTCCCGGATTCAAGCGATTCTCCCGCCTCAGCCTCCTGAGTAGCTGGGATTACACGCTCTGCCACCCAGGCTGGAGTGCAGTGGCGCGATCCTGGCTTGCTGCAACTCCGCCTCCCGGGTTCAGGAGATTCTCCCACCTCAGCCTCCCGAGTAGCTGGGACTACAGACGCCTGCCATCATGCCCAGCTCATTTTTGTATTTTCAATAGAGACAGGGTTTCACCATGTTAGCGAGGCTGGTCTCGAACTCCTGACCTCAGGTGATCCACCTGCCTTGGCCTCCCAAAGTGCTGGGATTACAGATGTGAGCCACCGTACCTGGCCTTCTCTCTCTCTCTTTTTTTTTTGAGACAGGGTCTTACTCTGTTGCCCAGGCTGGTGCAGTAGTACAATGACGGCTCACTGTAATAGCCTTCATCTCACCTCCTGGGCTCAGGTGATCCTTCCACCTCAGTCTCCTGAGTAGCTATGACCACAGGCACGCACCACCACACCCAGCTAATTTTTCTATTTTCGGTAGAGACAGGGCCTCATTATGCTGCCCAGGCTGATCTTGAACTCCTAGCCTCAAGTGATCCTCCCACCTCAGCCTCCCAAAGTGCTGGGATTACAGGTATAAGCCACCATGCCTGGCTCATCCATACTTTCTTAATTCCCATAGCACCCTTGTGAGGTACATATTGTTATCCATCCCCATTTCCTAGGTGAGGAAACAGACTCAGAGAACCCAAGTCACTGCTGGAAGTCACAGCTAATTCCACTCCTGCAACACTACCAGGACCTCCACTCCCATATTCCAGGTCAGCCCGTCCCCATGGCCCACAGCAGCTGCCTGACCCGAAAATGCTAGAGTTGGGCTGGGTGCCTTGGCTCATGCCTGTAATCCCAGCACTTTGCAAGGCTGAGGTGGGCAGATCACTTGAGGTCAGGAGTTCGGGACCAGCCTGGCCAACATGGGGAAACCCTGTCTCTACTAAACATACAAAAGTTAGCTGGGCGTGGTGGTGCATGCTTGTAATCCTAGCTACTTGGGAGGCTGAGGCAGGAGAATTGCTTGAACCCAGGAGGCCGGAGGTTGCAGTGGGCCGAGATCGCACTACTGCACTCCAGCCTGGGCAACAGAGTGAGAGTCTATCCCCCACAAAAAGTAAAAAAAATAAAAATAAAAAACCAATTTGACCTTGCCCTCCCCTGCTCAAAGTCATTGCATTGCTCCCCATGGCTCAGGATAAGGCACCTAATGTATCACTAAGGCGATGAGGCCCACAGACACCTGCCTTGTTTTTCACTGTGCCTCATACTGCAATCAGCAACTCCTGAACCTCTTCTGGCTCCTCGACATCTCAAACGCCATGCCCATCGATGCCTCAAAGATCTAACTCAGCCTGTCTGCTTGGCCCACCCACTCTTCCCTCTAGAATTCTCACTTTTTTTTTTTTGAAACAGTGTCTCGCTCTGTCGCCCAGGCTGGAGTGCAGTGGTGTGATGTCAGCTCACTGCAACTTCTACCTCCTGGGCTCAAACAATTCTCACTCCTCAGCCACCTGAGTGCTGGGATTACAAGTGCATGCCACCACACCCGCTAATTTTTGTATTTTCAGTAGAGATGGGGTTTCACTGTGTTGGCCAGGCTGGTCTTAAACTCCTATTCTCAAGTGATCAGCCCGCCTCAGCCTCCCAAAGTGCTGGGATTATAGGCGTGAGCCACCTTGCTCAGCCTAGAACCCTGACTTCTGTTCCCAAGGCCTGGCAAGTGGAAAAGGCTCTTACTTTGGACATGAGGGTATTTCATCAGGAGCAGGAGGGTATAGCCGACCGTGGTGCTGACCGTCATCGTCCCAGCAAACAGCAAATAAATGACTGTCATCAGCATGTTCTTGTTGGTGAATTCTGTGCCTGGGTTTTGTTCCTCCTGAAAGAAACCAGGCAGAGGGGCTGAGAGAACACAGCCTTTGGGAAGTAAATGTCCAGAACAGCCAAGCCTGGGGTCGGAAACACAAGTTAAAGTTTTGTCACGGGGTTTAGATAAATTTTTGGGAAGGTTGGGAAGTAGACTTTTTTTTTTTGAGACAGAGTCTTGCTTTGTTGCCCAGGCTGAGTGCAGTGGCACGATCTCGGCTCACTGCAACCTCCGCCTCCTGGGTTCAAGCAATTCTCCTGCCTCAGCCTCCCGAGTAGCTGGGATTACAGGTGCGCACCACCATGCCTGGCTAATTTTTGTACATTTAATGGAGACGGGGTTTCTGCATGTTGGCCAGGTTGGTTTCAAACTCCTGACCTCAGGTAACTGCTGTACCATTTTCCACAGGGCTGCGTCGTTTCACATTCCCACCAATGGTATACATGGGTTTCAAAGTCTCCACATCTTCATCAATCCTTATAACTTTCTGTGTTTTTGTTATTAGTCATTCTCTTTCATTTTTAAAAACATTTCAACCAGAGAGAACTAATATCAAGAGTCTACTTCCTGGCCAGGCACAGTGGCTCACGCCTGTAGTCCCAGCACTTTGGGAGGCCGAGGCGGGTGGATCACTTGAGGCCAGGAGTTTGAGATCAGCCTGGCTAACACGATGAAACTCCATCTCTACTAAAAATACAAAAAATTAGCCAGGCGTGGTGACGGGCACCTGTAGTCCCAGCTGCTTGGGAGACTGAGGCAGGAGAATGGCATGAACCCGGGAGGCGGAGCTTGCAGTGAGCCGAGATCGAGCCACCGCACTCTAGCCTGGGTGACAGAGTGAGACTTCATCTCAAAAAAAAAAAGGTGATTGCCAGGGGTTGGAGGAGGGAGGAACAGGCAGTTGTTTAATGGGTATAGAGTTTCAGCTTTGCAACATGAAGAGTTCTGGAGACTGATTGCATAACAGTATGAATGTACTGAACACTACTGTACTGTATACCTAAAAATGGTTAAGATGGTAAACGTTATGTGTATTTTACTATAGTTAAAACTAAAAAATATTCAATAAAAGAGAAAAGAAATGGGGCAATAGGGTTAAGAAAAATTTTTCTTTCTCCACAAACAGGGAGGCTGCATTTAATTAAAGAATTGGCCCCATTCTTCCAAAAGTTCGTACAGTTAAAAACTATTTATTTCCTTAGGAGTCACCTTAATTCTAGTTTACTTATAGGGCATGGTGTCTTTTTTCTTTTTTTCTTTTTTTTTTTTTTTGAGATGGAATTTCGCTCTTGTTGCCCAGGCTGGAGTGCAATGGTGCAATCTCAGCTCACCGCAACCTAAGCCTCCCGGGTTCAAGCGATTCTCCTGCCTCAGCCTCCCTAGTAGCTGGGATTACAGGCATGTGCCACCACGTCCGGCTAATTTTGTATTTTTTTTTTTAGTAGAGATGGGGTTTCTCCATGTTGGTCAGGCTGGTCTCGAACTCCCGACCTCAGGTGATCCGCCCGTCTCGGCCTCCCAAAGTCCTGAGATTACAGGCATGAGCCACTGTGCCCGACCGGGCATGATGTCTTATGCCTATAGTCCCAGCACTTTGGGAGTTCAAGGCAGCAGGAGGATTACATGAGCCCAGGAATTCAAGACCAGCCTGGGTAACATAGTGAGAGTCTATCTCTACAAAGAAAAAAAAAAAATTTAGCCAGGTGTGGTGGTGCACACCTGTTGTCCCAGCTACTCAGGAGCCCGAGGCAGGAGGATTGCTTGAGCCCAGGAGTTCAAGGTTGCAGTGAGCTATGATTTTGCAACTGTACTCTAGCCTGGGCAACAGAAAGAGATCCTGTCTCTTTAAAAAGAAAAGAAAAAAAAAAGGAAAAGAAATATTGTTCTTATATAATTAATAAAGTGGACTTTATTAACATAACTTGATATTGCAAGGCTTCCTAATAAATGACCATAATTCACATAAAATTGTGAATTTACATAAAAGTCTGGGGAGGCTGCAGGGGATGGGATGAAGTGATCCTGGGGATTGCTGGTGTAGGACCCTGGGCATGGGGCCTGAACACAAGGGCCGAGGTGGGAGGGAGAAAGAGGAGAGATGCTGGAGAGACAGACAGCCCGGCACAAATGCCCAGGTCGGGGGCGGGAGAGGCAGTGAGAGCAACGCCCTGAAAGGGACAGACAGATGTGCAGAGAAGGGATGCACACACATGCACAGAGACACTCATACTCACAGAGACATGCAGAGAGAGAAAGAGAGAGGAACCCAATTGAGGTCCCCAGGGACACCTGGCTGGGGACCTGCCAGGTCACCACGCCCATTCAGAGAGGGGGTCCCTGCACCCTTCCCACACCTGTGCCATCTTCAGCAGGAAGGCATCGACAAGGTCACGTGCGGGGCCCGAAGCATCCAGGTTCCCCTGGTGCTGCTGCACCTGCCGGACTGTGAAGGCAGCCAAGGTGCTGACGTGGTGGAGGAGCTGCTTGTGGGGGCCTGGCAGGGGCCGCAGGAACCAGGAGAACATCTCGTAGGTCTGTGGGGAGAAGGGCAGCTAGTTCTCATGGGACCTTGGCAGGAACCTTCAGGGAAGGTAGTTGGAGAGGGGTCCCACCCACTCACCTGACCCCCCTGGGAGCTGACTCCCAGCAGGGTACCACCAGCTGCCCGGACCACGGCCTGGAACTCCTTATCCTCATAGGAGAAGCGGAGGCCAAAGAGGAGGGAGCAGACTACGTTGGAGGTGGCCTGGGCCAGCAGCAGGGAGGGATCGAATGGGCGTCCTGGGGGGAATGGGGGCAGGGAGGTAGGCTGTGATGGAGCCAGGCAGAGGGGAGCAGGTTGGAGCTGAACCCAACCAGAGAGAGACAGGGAGGCAGGGAAAGATGGATGGACAGCGCAGGGAGAGAGCTAAACAGGCAAAGAAGGATACAGACAGATAGGGACAGAGAAACAGACAGGGAGAAAGAAACAGAGTGACCATCACACAGACAGGGAGACAGAAACAGAGATAGACTGAGGGCCCAAAAAATAGAGGAAAGGAGAGAGAAAGAAAAGAGACAGAGAGAGAGATGGAGACCCAGGAAGAATGGGATGATAGCACCAGAGACACACAGAGAGATGTCATGACAGCCTCGGAGAGACAGTGGGACAGAGACAGAAGGTGGCAGTGAACAGAACCCCCAGGCCAGCCCTAGAGTTCAAGGCTTCCCCTCCTGCCCATTCCAGGACCTGGGTTGGGGCCACCCCCAGCCACAGTAGGAGAGTTTTCCCTTTCACTCGGCTGGAGACCCTGGGGTGACCCCGCCATGCTGACCTTCTGTCCCCTGGAATGTCTCCACCAGACACCGGGCCTCCGCCTGGATCAGCTCCTCGCCTTCTCGCTTCCCCATGCCCAGGTCCCGCAGAGCAAGCATGGTAAACTTCCTCAGCTGCCTCCACCGCTCCCCGTTGGAGAAGAAAACCCCTGCGCAGAAGGCTAGACTCAAAAAGGGACCGGCCCCTCTCCCCCATTCCCCCTTCTTCCTTTCTTTCTTTTTTTTTTTGAGACGGAATCTCGCTCTGTTGCCCAGGCTGGAGTGCAGTGGCGTGATCTCGTCTCACTGCAACCTCTGCCTCCCGGGTTCAAGCAATTCTCCTGCCTCAGCCTCCTGAGTAGCTGGGACTACAGGCGCCCGCCACCATGCCTGGCTCATTTTTTGTATTTTTAGTAGAGATGGGGTTTCACTGTGTTAGCCAGGATGGTCTCGATCTCCTGACCTTGTGATCCACCCACCTCAGCCTCCCAAAGTGTTGGGATTACAGGCGTGAGCCACCGCGCCCGGCCGATTCCTCCTTCTTTCTAGTGAGGTTCCCTGAGGGGGACTCTTCAGGCTCCATCTGAGTCCATTCCAGCCTAGCCCAGGGATGAGGACTCAGTAGGTGCTCAATAAATGCATAATCAAACTGGTTCTCCCATCCTTTGCCCTTGGGTAAGGGAGTACATTCTCCTGAAAAGTAGGTAGCTGGGATGACCCAGGCTCCTTCTGTTTTGTAATTATTATTATTATTGAGACGAGGTCTTGCTTTGTCACCCAGGCTGGAGTGCAATGGCACGATCTCAGCTCACCGCAACCTCTGCCTCTCGGGTTCAAGCGATTCTCCTGCCTCAGCTTCCCGACTAGCTGGGATTACAGGCATATGCCACTACGCCCAGCTAATTTTATATCTTCAGTAGAGATGGGGTTTCTCTACGTTGTCTAGGCTGGTCTTGAACTCCTGACCTGAGGTAATCCACCCACCTCAGCCTCCCAAAGTGCTAGAATGGCAAGCGTGAGCACCGCACCTGGCCTGTTCTGTAAATAACCAGGATGAATGAAGAGTTGTTTCCTCCTTCCTTCCTTCCATCCACCCATCCCATCATTTATGGAGTCCCACTGGGTCCTGTGCCCCATGTAGTTTAGAGGTTGAACAGAGAGGGAGGAGGATGGAACTGCACCATTTTCCTCCCTTATCCAAGACACCTGCTCCAGACAGACCTTCCCTGTCCAATGCCAGCCTGTCGTGGTCTCTTGGGCACTTCCCCTTGGGTGTCTCCTGTCCTTGCCCTACTGTGTTCCAAAGTGGCCTAAGCATCTCTCCTCTCCCTGTTTCAGCCCACCATCCATTCCTCGGCCAGAGCCCCAGGCCTCTCCCAATTACTCCTTCCTCCCCATCCCCTGGCCCCAGCCCTGGTCCATCACCGCGGACCTCCCAGCCTCCCCATCACCCTGGATCCTCCCTATCACCCTGGGCTCCTAGCCTCCAGTTTCATCCCCTTCAGGCAGCAACCACAGGATCTTCCCAACTCTGAATACAGCTGTTCCCTGCTTAAAATCGACTGCTCCCAGGAAAAACAAAAGCCCAAACACTCTGACGTGACTCACAGGCCCTGCATGACCAGGGATTTCCCTGGCTTCTCAGCTTTGTTACTTAACCCACTACGACTGCGCTGGTCTTCTCTCACTTCCTCAAGGGCGTCAGGATCCCCTGTCTAGGCCTATGATCCTGCAGTTCCCTCTGCCTCCATCACTCTCACCCCTTTCCATCCCATCCTTGGTGAACTAACTCGTTCATCCTTCATGTCCCGGCTTAAATGTCACCTTCTCTGAGAAGCCTTCCCTGATTCCCTCTTTACCCTCGTACATATGCCTGTGCCCTGTGTTTGCTCTCAAATCTGTACCTCTCATTTTAGGATTATATTCCCTCCCTCTATTGTCTTACTGCAGTATAAGCCCGCCTCTCCCACAGTAGGAGAGGACACCATATCTGCCTGAGTCATTTCTATGTACCTGGTACCCATGGTACCAGGTATAATGATTTTTTGTTTGTTTGTTTGTTTTGTGGAGGCAGGGTCTCACCATGTTGCCCAGGCTTGTCACAAATGCCTAGGCTCAAGTCATCCTCCCCATTCAGCCTTCCAAAGTGCTGGGATTACAGGCATGAGCCAGCGTGCCCAGTCTGAAAATTCATCAGTTGAATGGATGAATGCTTCTCTCAAAGTCATGCTTTTGTAGGTGCTGGTCTTTCTGCCTGGAACACCCTCCCCACTCATCTTATGAGTCTCAGCTCCGACAGCCTCTCTTCCAGGAAGACTTCCTGAAGCTCCCTCACCAAACATGCCGGGTCAGGTACCTCCTCTAAATTCCTACAGTCCCAGGGCTTCCCTCAGCCTGGCCCTGACCCCTCTTGCCCTGACCCCTCCCCATCCCACCCTGACCTTTCTCCCCGTGCTTCCCCATCTTGGCCCTGACCACTCTGGGCTGGGACTGTGTGGTGAGTCTGTTTCCCCACTGGCCTAGGTGCGCTGGGGAAGCAGCACCGGTGCTGTCTTAGTTACTACTGAGTTCCTGGCAGCACCCAGCATGGGCCTCCTGCTTTCTGTTGTAATACAGAGAACTGTTTCTATTATTCGAGGGCTTGCCCACCAATCCCCAGCACCTTGAAAGCGCTCCGGCATCTTTCTGAACCCTCAGGGCTTTACCTGGATCATTGATGGTTATCACTGATACTACAACCTGGTGATTAGTGAGTGCTCACTTTGCACAAGGCTCAGTCCTCACTCAATCACTCAATCCTACATGATGGGCACTGCTTTTTGTTTGTTTGTTTGAGATGGAGGCTCACTCTGTTGCCCAGACTGGAGTGCAGTGGCACAGTCTTGGTTCACTGCAACATCTGCCTCCCGGGTTCAAGCGATTCTCCTGCCTCAACCTCCCAAGTATCTGGGATTACAGGTACGCACCACCATGCCCAGCTAATTTTTATATTTTTAGTAGAGACAGGGTTTCACCATGTTGGCCAGGCTGGTCTCGAACTCCTGACCTCAAGTGATCCACCCACCTCCGCCTCCCAAAGTGTTGGGATTTCAGGCACTAGCCACTGCACCCGGCTGATGGGCACTGTTATCACTCCATTTGACAGATGAGGCAACAGAGGGACTAAGCCATGTGCAAAGGTCACACACCAGTAAGTGGTGGCAGGCTGTGAGCGGAGGGCCTAGCAGCCCTTGACTTACCATGGCCATCAAAAGTCCCTTCCAGCATCGCTACGGTTCCCCGGCCGCTGAACTCCTCAGCCTGACCTCCCAGGGCCTCCCGCACAGCCTCCTGCCCAACCAGGACCACCACAGGCCGCCAGGGTCCCAGGTAGATGGTGAACACCGGTCCGTACTTCTTACTCAGCTGGGGGTAGGGAGGAAGAAAGAGGAGGGTGCTGTGACCTCTTCGATCCAAGGTGTCTCCATCATGGCCCCTGTCACTTGAGGAGCCACCGGGTCTAGCTTCTACGCCCTCTACCAGGAACCTGCCCCCATCCCAGCAGAAATAGCTGAGGCTCAGTTCTCTTTTTGCACTAGGCTCCCGGGCCTCCTCCCCCAGTACATCCTTCAGTGGCATCCCCCAACTTCCTGTCGTTCCCTTGCTTCCTGCTGAACCCTAACCTCTGACGCTGGGCAATCCAGAAGCAGTTTGGGTCTCCCTTAATTCCTTAGGGCCCTCCCTGCCCCCCAAATATCCAGCCACCCCTTTCAGTCACCACAAAACCCTGAAATTCTGGAGCAGACACTGCTGAGTATCCGCCCCATCTCTCCCCCAAGACCCCACCCTTTTTTCTACGTCCTTGAAGTCACCCAGAATCCTTTTGAATGGGAAACTTCAGGCCTCTGCCCACTCCCACCTGCTATCCCCTAAGGCTGGGGCTGCCTCTGCCTTCTTTCTTGCTCTCCTTCCTCCCCAGTCCCAGGAACTCCCAACTGAGCTCCACCCATCCTCCCATCCTGCATTCTCTGCTGGCAGATTCCTTCAGCGGGACCCCCTCTCTGAGCCTGCAACCCTCCAGCCTCTTCTCTGCCTCCAACTCCCCGCAGGGACGCCTCCCCCTTTTCTTCTTTGTGCCCTCTTCAGCATGCCCCACCTGTATGGCTCCAGCTACCTCTCCCTCTGGGACAAGCCCAGCTGCATCAGCTTCTCCTCGGCTGGAGGACTCCTGTCTCTTTCAGCCTCGGTCCCTGCCCATCACCTTCCCAGGATTCTGTAGGCAGAGGTCTCTGCCCCTCCTAGCCCTGGTCCCCCACCCCACGATCCTCTCTCCCGGGCACCTCTCCCCTTCTCAGCCCTGGACAACCTGCTCCTGCCCCCAACCCCAGGACAGCAGCAGCCCCTTTGCCTTGGGACCCCTGCCCCTGCCTCCTCCCTAGGATACCCGAAAAGCCCCTCACCCTGGCACTCGGGTTTCTCTCCCAGGAATCCTCCCACCCCTAGCCAGGACGTCCCCAGAGCCCCTTACCCGCATGAGCCCTGAATACAGCGCCCCGGGCCGTAGCTGCAGGAGGTTTCCCAGCAGTGGTAGCGGCGTGGGCCCGGGGGGCAGGTGGCCTCGGGCCCTGGTCCCGGACAGCGCCAGCGTCAGCAGCAGGAGCAGCGCCAGCGCCAGCAGCAGCGCCCAGGTGCCGGTCGCCTCCATCTCGGCAGGTCGGCTCCTTCTCCTCTCCCAGGCGCTCCGCGCGGCTGGGCTAGTTAGGGGCGGGAGCCGGGCGTCTCCCTCCCCAACGAAGTCAGGCGCGGGGCGGGGCAGCTAGCCCAGCCCCCTGCCTCCTGGGCAGGCTTATCTCCCCGCCGCCGGGTTTCTCCCGGACCACCGCCGCCGCCTGATGTCGGGAACTCATGCTCCAACGGATGTCTCCGAGGTCACCCAGGTTTACGCGGGGCTTGGGCGGCGGAGACAGCGCCTTGGGCCCCCGGATAGGGAGTAAGCAAACAGAAGAACCTGGAAGTCAGAGACTTTGGCCGCCTGGAGGTTGCCACACCCCGCATCTGGCGGTGACCCCGCGCCACTCTCCCCAGCTCCTACCTCGCTCATTGTTCGGATGTGGGTTCCTGTGTGCGTGCGTGTATGGGGTGTCTTTGAGTCAATTTTCTCCAGCATCTTACATCTTCACGAACTGAGAGGAAGGACTTGACCTTTAAGGATAAACAATCTGAAGTCCAGGGAGATAAATCGGTTGGCCCCAGGTCAACTTGGCTGAGTGGCAGAGTTAATATTTTGACTTGGGCCAGTTAGAATGATTGAGTCATTCATTCATTCGTTTAGAGGCAGTTTGCAGAGCGGTTAGGACCGTGATGGCTGAAGCCAGACTGCTTGAATTCACAGCCTAATTCCTCTGTGCCTCTGTTAGCCTTGTAAAATGGGGCTAGTTTTCAGGATTAAATAGTACATCTGTGCACACCATTTAAAGCAGACGCAGGTGCACATGTAACAAGCACTAAATAGATGTTAGCTAATATTTCTGCAACTAACTGTTATTGAGGTCTTACTATAAACAAGACCTTGTTCTAGACCCGAGGGTGCAGCTATGAGCGATGGAGAGAAGGGCTCTGGCCTTCCTGAGCTCATATCCACATGCAGATGAAGATGAGATGAAAACAATTTCAGGAAGTGAGAAGGCCTGCCAGGGGAATGGGCTTCTTGAGAAGGAAGAATGTTAGAACCATTTGTGCATGAATTATTGTAGGTTTGGTTCACTGCTGTATCCCCAACATATAGTGCAGTGCCTGACACACAGTAGGCACTCAATAAATATTTGTTATATTTTCAAAGATTGAATGTAGGAGATAAGATTCATGAAGTCTGCAGGGGCCATCTTGCAAGGTCTTGGAAAAGACTGCATTTTATTTCTATTGCAAACGGAAGCTGTCTGGAGGGGTTTTCAGCAGGGCAGTTACTTTGTTTGCTTTGCATTTTGATTTCGTATTTTATTATAAAAATATTAAAATTTCAAACATACAGTGAACACCTGTATACCCATCAGATTCCACCATTTTATTATCCTTTCTTTGTTACCTATCTATTCTTTTTTTGTTTGAGATAGAGTCTCACTCTGTTGCCCAGAGTGGAGTGCAATAGCATACAGTCTTGGCTCATTGCAACCTCTGCCTCCCGGGTTCAAGCAATTCTCCTGCTTCAGCCTCTCAAGTAGCTGCGATTACAGGCGTGCACCACCATGCCTGGCTATTTTTTGTATTTTTAGTAGAGACGGGGTTTTTGCCATGTTGACCAGGCTGGTCTCAAACTCCTGACCTCAGGTGATCTTCTCACCTCAGCCTCCCAAAGTGCTGGGATTACAGGCATGAGCCACTGTGCCTGGCCCTTTTTTCATTACATATCTGTTCATTTTGCCTATCCATTGATTTTTTTTTAAGCATTTCAAAGTCAGTTGCAGATACCAGTACACTTCACTCCCAAATACATCAGCATGCATATCAGTAGCTAGAGCTCAGTATTTGTTTACAGATACTTTTTGTTCCTCAAGGTATCTTATATACAATGAAATACATAACTCTTAAGTGTATAATTAGATGAGCTTTGAGTTGCATATGCTGGAGTTTTAAAATATTAGATTCTTTGGGAGGCTGAGGCGGGCGGATCACGAGGTCAGGAGATCGAGACCATCCTGGCTAAAATGGTGAAACCCCGTCTCTACTAAAAATACAAAAAATTAGCCGGGCGTAGTGGCGGGCGCCTGTAGTCCCAGCTACTTGGGAGGCTGAGGCAGGAGAATGGCGTGAACCCGGGAGGCGGAGCTTGCAGTGAGCCGAGATCCCGCCACTGCACTCCAGCCTGGGCGACAGAGCGAGACTCCGTCTCAAAAAAAAAAAAAAAAAAAAAAAAATTAGATTCTTAGAATTTTCACAATCTTTTTTTGAGACAGGGTCTCGCTCTGTTGCCCAGGCTGGAGTGCAGTGGCACGATCTTGGCTCACTGCAATCTCTGCCTCCTGGGTTCATGTGATTCTCCTGCCTCAGCCTCCTGAGTAGCTGGGATTACAAGCGCCCACCACCACTCCCAGCTAACTTTTGTATTTTTAGTAGAGTTGGGGTTTCACCATGTTGGCCAGGCTGGTCTCGACCTCCTGACCTCAGGCAATTTACCCACCTCGGCCTCCCACAGTGCTGGGATTACAGGCATGAGCCACTGCCCCCGGCCTGCAATCTTGCAATTTGTATTCTAGTCCAGAGCCCTTTCTCTCAAGAGCATAGCCAGAGTGCTCCCTGGAGTCTGGGGAATCCTTGACTGTGGTCTTCTTTAGCATTGATTCTAGCCTCTAACATTCCAGGGGTGCCCTGAAGCCAAAGGAGGAGGGGTGGGGAGGCTCATACGCTCTTGCTATGAAGTAAATGCCAGTTCTCAGTTCCTCCTTTGCCTTGTTCTGGAAGGTTTCTAGGACGTTCCAAATCCAACCTTGAGCCTATCTGCTCCCTCTGTTCTACCCCTGGGAGAGCTAACAGACATCTCAAACTTCATGGATATAAAAGAATTCCCGATTCCCCCACCTCCTGCAAAGTGGGCTGTACCAGCTTCCCACCCCATCTGGGAATACTTTCTCTCACCTCCTTCCTTACCTCTGTAAAAGGTATCACCATCTTTTCACTTGCTGATGACAACAAAATATAGGAGAGGCCGGGCGCGGTGTCTCATGCCTGCAATCCCAGTACTTTGGGAGGCTGAGGTGGGCAGATCACCTGAGGTCAGGAGTTTGAGACCAGCCTGGCCAACATGGTGAAACCCCGTCTCTACTAAAAATACAAAATTAGCCAGGTGTGGTGGTGCATGCCTGTAATCCCAGCTACTCAGGGAGGCTGAGGCAGGAGAATCGCTTGAATCCGGGAGGCGGAGGTTGCAGTGAGCCGAGATCGCGCCATTGCACTCCAGCTTGGGCAACAAGAGTGAAACTCCGTCTCAAAAAAAAAATAGGAGGAGGGGAAAAAATTAGTTTCATTAGACAACACATCCTTCTGGGTTATCAGATTCTGGTCTTGTTCATTGTTTTTACAGCCATCTTTCCCCCTGATGCAATAGTCTTTCTGCATAATGTCTCTACTCGCCTGAGACCACATCTGTTTTTATTTGTCAGGTTTAACCTTGATTTCTCTCTTTGACTTTAAACCCAGTTTGTCAGCAAATCCTGCTGGCTCTACCTCCAAATACATTCCAAATTTATCCATTTCCTCCTTTCCCTACCACCCTGATCCAACTGACACCAGCCCTGATTCAAGGTACTGTCATTGCTTGCCAGGATTTTGCAGTAGCTTCCCCACTGAGCTACCTGCTTCCTCTCTCCTTCTCCCCCTCCTCCACAATTCATTCACTGGATGCCAGCCAGAAAGGTCTTTTTAAATGCAAGGAGAAAACTAATCTACGGTGGGAGGGAAGAGGGATCAGTACAGACTCCAGGGAGCATTCTCGTTTTGTTTTTGAGACAAAGGTCTCCAGCCTAGAATAAAAATAGAAAGACTGTTGACCAGGCACAGTGGCCAAGGCGGGTGGATCACCTGAGGTCAGGAGTTTGAGACCAGCCTAGCCAGCGTGGTGAAATCCTGTCTCTACTGAAAATATAAAAATTAACCGGCCAGGCGCAGTGGCTCACGCCTGTAATCCCAGTACTTTGGGAGACCGAGGTGGGTGGATCACGGGGTCAGGAGTTCAAGACCAGTCTGGCCAAGATGATGAAACCCCGTCTCTACTAAAAATACAAAAATTAGCCAGACGTGGTGGTGGGCACTTCTAATCCCAGCTAGTCGGGAGGCTGTGGCAGAGAATTGCTTGCTTGAACCCACAAGGCGGAGGTTTCAGTGAGCTGAGATCTCCCCACTGAACTCTAGCCTGGGCGACAGAACGAGACTCCGTCTCAAAAAAAAAAAAAAAATTAACTGGATGTGGTGGTGCACGCCTGTAGTCCCCAGCCACTGGGGTGGCTGAGGCAGGAGAATCACTTGAACCCAGGAGGTGGAGGTTGTAGTGAGCCAAGATTGTGCCACTGTACTCCAGCCTGGGCGATAAAGTGAGACTCAGTGTCAAAAAAAAAAAAAAAAAAAAAAAAAAAATATATATATATATATATATATGGCAAGATTATTATAAAGATTCCATGTCTAATGTTTAAAGATGATGATTGCAACATCCTATAGATAAGAAAACTTAAAAGTTCTTGCCGGGCGTGGTGGCTCACGCCTGTAATCCCAGCACTTTGGGAGGCCGAGACGGGCAGATCACGAGGTCAGGAGATCAAGACCATCCTGGCTAACGCGGTGAAACCCCATCTCTACTAAAAATACAAAAAATTAGCCGGGCGTGGTGTCAGGCGTCTATAGTCCCAGCTACTCGGCAGGCTGAGGCAGGAGAATGGCGTGAACCTGGGAGGTGGAGCTTGCAGTGAGCTGAGATTGTGCCACTGCACTCCAGCCTGGGTGACAGAGTGAGACTCCGTCTGAAAAAAAAAAAAAAATTAGCCGGTTATGGTGGCACGTGCCTGTAATCGCAGCTACTCTGGAGGCTGAGGCAGGAGGATTGCTTGAACCCAAGAGGCAGAGGTTGCAGTGAGCTGAGATTGTGCCACTGCCTTCCAGCCTGGGCAACAGAGTGAGACTCCGTCTCAAAAAAAAAGGGAACTTATTCCTTCTGTCTAGGTGTATTAACCAACCTCTCTCCCCACCCCACCCCACCCATACGCCTTTCCCAGTCTCTAGTATCCATCATTCCATTCTCTACCTCCATGTGATCAACTTTTTTAGCTTCCACTTGGGAGTAAGAACATGCATTGTTTATCTTTCTGTGCCTGGCTTATTTCAATTAATGTAATGACCTCCAGTTACATCCATGTGTAATTGTAATAGGTTTGTTGCCCAATGCACACAGCAAGTCAGTATATCGAGACACTGTGAAACCATTCCCACAGGGCTGACAAGAATTGCATGCTGGGTTCTGGACAGAAACATACTTATAATTAAGTGTTATTCGGGCTGCACTTTGGTCCATTTCCTTGTTGCTAAAACTCAGGTAGAGCTAGATACTGACCATGTGCACCCCCATTGTTCCTATAGACAGAATCTCTGATATTAGAGTCATAAGGCTTTTGTTAAAGAAAGAATCACTTAAGATGCTTTTCAGGGCCAGGCACGGTGGCTCACACCCATAATCCCAACACTTTGGGAGGCTGAGGTGGGTAGGTCACTTGAGGTCAGGACTTCAAGATCAACCCAGTCAACATGGTGAAACCCTATCTCTACTAAAAATACAAAGGACATTAGCGGAGTGGAGGTGGTGGGGGGAGGTGGTTCACACCTGTAATCCCAGCTACTCAGGAGGCTGAGACAGGAGAATTGCTTGAACCCAGGAGGCAGAGGTTGCAGTGAGCCGAGATTGTACCACTATACTCCAACCTGGGAGACAGAGTGAGACTCCATCTCAATAATAATAATAATAATAATAATAATAATAATAATAATAATAAATACATAAACAAAAATGTAAAAAGATGCTTTTCAGACCTTGAATTCCAGCAACCAGTGTGAAGGCTACCCACTGGGGAATGGGATCAGCATGAGAATGTGGCTTCTTCATCTCCCTGTCCCGTGACTTCACCCTACATTCTTCAACTCCTCATCTCTTTTGGCGACCCTACGATGAAACCTCTTCTCTCCTGCAACCCAGTGTCTCCTGTTGATTTGCTGTGTGCACTGGGCAATGAGCCTACTACAGTTATAACTGGTTTGCAGCAGAGAAGCAGGTTTAATTGTAGGGTCACTGAATGAGGAGATGGGGGGAAACCTCACATCCATCTCCCCTAAGAGTTTGGGGCTAGGGTGTTCAAGGGTTTTGGAGTGGGCTGAAGGGTGGAGATCGTTGATTGGTTGAAGAGTGCAGAGTGAAGTCACGGGACAGAGGGTGGAAGAAGAAGTTATAGTCTCATGCTGATCCCTTTCACTCGCGTCCGTGTGAAGAGACCACCAAACAGGCTTTGTGTGAGCAACAAGGCTGTTTATTTCACCTGGGTGCAGGCGGGCTGAGTCCAAAAAGAGTCAGTGAAGGGAGATAGGGGTGGGGCCGTTTTATAGGATTTGGGTAGGTAGTGGAAAATTACAGTCAAAGGGGGTTGTTCTCTGGCTGGCAGGGGTGGGGGTCACAAGGTGTTCAGCCGGGGAGCTTTTGAGCCAGGATGAGCCAGGAGAAGGAATTTCACAAGGTAATGTCATCAGTTAAGGCAGGAACAGGCCATTTTCACTTCTTTTGTGATTCTTCAGTTACTTCAGGCCATCTAGATGTATACGTGCAGGTCACAGGGGATGTGATGGCTTAGCTTGGGCTCAGAGGCCTGACAATCCCCATCCTCTGTAGGGGTCTTCAAACTGGTGGCTGGAATTGGGGGTCCAAAAAACATCTGACGTGATCCTTAACAAAAACATCATGATTCTAAGGTCAGCGATGCTGTCTATAAGAACAATGGGGATACAAATGGTCAGCATCTAGAGCTATGTGGCTTTCAGCAACAAGGAAGTGGACCAAAGTGCAGCATGATTAATGCTTAATTTTCTTTCTTTCTTTCTTTTTCTTTTTTTTTTTTTTTTTTGAGTCTCACTCTGTCACCCAAGCTGGGAGTGCAATGGCATGATCTCGGCTCACTGCAACCTCTGCCTCCCGGGTTCAAGCAATTCTGCCTAGGCCTCCCAAGTAGCTGAGATTACAGGCACCTGCCATCACACCCAGCTACTTTTTGTATTTTTAGTAGAGACAGGGTTTCACCATGTTGGCCAGGCTGGTCTCGAACACCTGCCCTCAAGTGATCTGCCCACCTCGGCCTCGCAAAGTGCTGGGATTACAGGTGTGAGCCACTGTGCCCAGCCAATGCTTAATTATATTTCTATCTAGAACCTGGCTTGCAGTTCTTGTCAACCCTGTAGGGACAGACAGTTTCACATGTTGCTGCAAATGACAGGATTTTATTCTTTTTCTAACGGCCAAATAGTTTTCCATTGTGTAGATGTACCACATATTCTTTATCCATTCATCTGTTGATGGACATTTAGGTTGATTCCATATCTTTGCTATTGTGAATAGTGCTGTAATAAACATTGCTGTGTAGCTATCCCTTTGATACACTGATTTCTTTTCCTTTCCATAAATTCCCAGTAGTGGGATTGCTGGATCATATGATTGTTTTTTGTTTGTTTTTTGAGATGGAGTCTTGCTCTGTCGCCCATGCTGGAGTGCAGTGGTGCCATCTCGGCTCACTGCAAGCTTCGCCTCCTGGGTTCACGCCATTCTCCTGCCTCAGCCTTCTGAGTAGCTGGGACTACAGGTGCCCGCCGCCATGGCCAGCTAATTTTTTTTTTTTTTTGTATTTTTAGTAGAGACGGGGTTTCACCGTGTTAGCCAGGATGGTCTGGATCTCCTGACCTTGTGATCCACCCACCTCGGCCTCCCAAAGTGCTGGGATTACAGGCGTGAGCCACCGCACCCAGCCCTTATGATAGTTTTTTGAGAAATTTCCATACTGTTTCTCATAGTGGCTGGACTAATTTACATTCTCACCAACAGGGTATGTTTCCTTTCCTCCACATCATTGCCAACGTGTATTATTTTTTGTCTTTTTATATTTTATATATTGATTCACTTTCTTTTTTGAGATGGAGTCTCACACTTGTTGCCCAGGCTGGAGTGCAGTGGTGTGATCTCCGTTCACTGCAACCTCTGCCTCCTGGATTCAAGTGATACTCCTGCCTCAGCTTCCTGAGTAGCTGGGACTACAGGCATGTGACACCATGCCTAGCTAATTTTTGTATTTTTAGTAGAGACAGGGTTTCACCATGTTGGCCAGGCTGGTCTTGAACTTCTGACCTCACTCAAGTGATCCACCCACCTTGGCCTCCCAAAGTTCTGGTATTACAGGCATGAGCCACTGGGCCCGGCCCTGCCCGGCCTACTTTTTTTTTTTTTTAAAGACAGAGTTTTGCTCTGTTGCCTAAGCTGGAGTGCAGTAGTGTGATCTCTGCTCACTGAAGCCTCTGCCTCACAGATGTCAGCGATCCTCCTGCCTCGACCTCCTGAGTAGCTGGGACTACAGGTACGCGCTCCATGCCTGGCTAATTTTTTGTAGAGACAGGGTTTAGCTATGTTGCCCAGGGCTCAAGCGATCCACCTGCCTCGGCCTCCCAAAGTTCTGGGATTACTGGTGGGAGCCACTGCTCCCGACCTTGATTTGCTTTTTTATACTCCCTTTTCCCACTGAAATGGTCTCTCCATAAGGGCCGATTCTCTGTCTGTTTTGTGTGTTGCTGTATCCCCAGTGCCTAACACACTGTGGATGCTCAATAAACATCTTGTCGAATAAACACTTTCAATACAATTTATAAATCTCTAAAATTCATCCAGAAAGCAATCAAGTGTCCAAAATTCTCAAGTCTAGAAAGCAAACATTCTTAGGTTCCCAAGATAGATTTCACAGTAACTGAGTGATTCCAGGTGGATTCTGGCCTTTCTGCAATGCCAAATCCCCACCCTGGGCCAGGAGATGCCCATTTGTATAGTTCAGCTGAAAACAGCCTGACTTTTTCCACCACTCCTTGCCCTGACCCCAGCTACTTCCCATCAGAAACCCTCTGATCTGGGCTGGACAGTGCTGGAGTGATCATTTTTGTGTCTGGCCCCCTACTGTGGATTTTCTTTTTCTTTCTTTCTTTTTTTTTTTTTGAGACGGAGTCTCGCTCTGTTGCCCAGGTGGAGTGCAATGGCGCGATCTCGGCTCACTGCAATATCTGCCTCCCGGGTTCAAGTGATTCTCCTGCCCCAGCCTCCCGAGTAGCTGGGATTACAGGCGCATGCCACCATGCCCAGCTAATTTTTTGTATTTTTAGTAGAGACGGGGTTTCACCGTGTTAACCAGTATGGTTTCGATCTCCTGACCTAGTGATCCGCCTGCCTTGGCTTCCCTAAGTGCTGGGATTACAGGCATGAGCCACCGCGCCTGACCACTACTGTGGATTTTCCTAACCATTCTGGAAGCTGCCAACCCCAGGGTTCTGGCAAGCTGTGTGATGGATGGGTTTAAGAAACTGCTGGGGGATTTAGTTTGCTAAGGCTCCTCCAAGCATATGGCTCTGGAACCCCACCTGCTGTCCAAGGCTAAGCCACAGCCTGTCTGCTCTGTGGTCCACTTTACCAGGCTCACTCTGCCTGCCCACTCTGATTTTTTCCTCTCAGTCTTGTTTATCTTAGTCTCTCTCCTTTCTCTTCTTCAGAGGTGCCTCATTCAGCACCTGGAACTAGATAGAAGGGGAAGTCCAAGATGAGTCCTGCTTCCAGGCCTTGGACTTCCCCAGATTCTGTGAGCATCATCCGTGGCTGGGAATAGTGTCAGTGAGTTGAGGTGATTACATCATCGACCCCAAAGCAGCAATGTTCTCTGCTCTGGGCTTCTACAGCCGTCTCGTCATCCTATCCCTCCTCCCTTCCCTATTTATCCTGTCATCCATCCACTCGTGCACCCCACCATCAGGAGAGCACTGCCTCCCCCATGCTCTCATTTACCCCCACCTATCCCTTATCCAGTCCTTCATTCCATCCCCTCATCCCACTGCTCATCCTGTCCCATTATCCTACATCCTCACCCCATCACCTCACCCCATCCTTTCTTTTCCTGACATGTTCTATGTACTGTGGACCTAAAAGAAAGAAGTCAAGGGGTGGGTGCAGTGGCTCATGCCTGTAATCCCAGCACTTTGGGAGGCCGGGGCGGGCAGATCACCTGAGGTCAGGAGTTTGAGACCTGCCTGGCCAACATGGAGAAAACCCATCTCCACTAAACATACAAAAATTAGCTGGGCGTGGTGGCGCGCACCTTATTGGCCAGGCTGGTCTCAAACTCCTGAGAGTTATGTTATTTTTGTAAACCAATAAGAATTCCTGACAAGCATTTTTTTTTTTTTTTTTTTTTAGCGGGGGTGGTTATTGAGTTTTTTTGAGACAGGGTCTCACCCCATAGCCCAGACTGGAGTGCAGTGGCAGGTTCATGGCTCACTGCAGCCTCGACCTCCCAGGCCCAGGTGATTCTCCCACCTCAGCCTCCTGAGTAGGTGGAATCACAGGCATGCACCACCATGCCTGCCTAATTTTTGTACTTTTTTTTGTAGAGATGAGGTTTCGCCATGTTGCCCAGTCTGGTCTTAAACTCTTGGGCTCAAGCGATCCACTTGTGTCAGTCCCACTCCCTGTCCCCCTTTTTTTACCTTTAAAAATCCACTTGTTCGCTGGGCACAGTGGCTCATGCCTGTAATCCCAGCACTGTGGGAGGCCATGGTGGGCAGATCACCTGAGGTCAGAAGTTCGAGACCAGCCTGGCAGACATGGAGAAACCACGCCTCTACTAAAAATACAAAAACTAAGAAAAACTAAAAAAAAAAAAAAAGATTAAAATAAAAATTCAAAAACTAGCCAGGGATGGTGGTGCACGTCTGCAATCCCAGCTACTTGGGAGGCTGAGGCAGGAGGATTGCTTGAAACTGGGAGGCAGAGGTGCATCAGCTGAGATCGCGCCATTGCACTCCAGCCCAGGCAAGAGAGTGAGACTCCGTCTCAAAAAAGAAAAAAAATCCACTGGTAGGCTGAGGCAAGAGGATCATTTAATCCCAGGAGTTCAAGACTGTGGTGAGCTATGATCTTGTTGCTACCCTCCAGCCTGGGTGACACGGTGAGACCCTGTCTCAGACCAAAAAATAAAATAAAATAAAATAAAATAAATCCAACTTGCAAGTACTGCTAAATCAGAGTGCATATTCAGGGCAATTTGAATCTATACTTCTGATTTGCAACCCTCAAGCTTGGCTCAAATAAATAAACTCTCTACTTTTGCCTTGACTTCTTCGTTTTTGTTTTTTTTTTTTTAACGGAGTCTCCCTCTGTTGCCCAGGCTGGAGTGCAGTGGCACGATCTCAGCTCACTGCAACCTCTGCCTCCCAAGTTCAAGCAATTCTCCTGCCTCAGCTTCCTGAGTAGCTGCGATTACAGACGCCTGCCACCATGCCCAACTAATTTTTTTTATTCTTTTTTTTTTTTTTTTTTTTTTTAATTTTTTTTTATTGATCATTCTTGGGTGTTTCTCGCAGAGGGGGATTTGGCAGGGTCATAGGACAATAGTGGAGGGAAGGTTGGCAGATAAACAAGTGAACAAAGGTCTCTGGTTTTCCTAGGCAGAGGACCCTGCGGCCTTCCGCAGTGTTTGTGTCCCTGGGTACTTGAGATTAAGGAGTGGTGATGACTCTTAACGAGCATGCTGCCTTCAAGCATCTGTTTAACAAAGCACATCTTGCACCGCCCTTAATCCATTTAACCCTGAGTGGACACAGCACATGTTTCAGAGAGCACAGGGTTGGGGGTAAGGTCACCGATCAACAGGATCCCAAGGCAGAAGAATTTATCTTAGTACAGAACAAAATGAAAAGTCTCCCATGTCTACTTCTTTCTACACAGACCCGGCAACCATCCGATTTCTCAATCTTTTCCCCACCTTTCCCCCCTTTCTATTCCACAAAACCGCCATTGTCATCCCGGCCCGTTCTCAATGAGCTGTTGGGTACACCTCCCAGACGAGGTGGTGGCTGGGAGAGGGGCTCCTCACTTCCTAGTAGGGGCGGCCGGGCAGAGGCGCCCCTCACCTCCCGGACGGGGCGTCTGGCCGGGCGGGGGGCTGACCCCCCCACCTCCCTCCCGGACGGGGCGGCTGGCCGGGCGGGGGGCTGACCCCCCCACCTCCCTCCCGGACGGGCTGGCTGGCCGGGCGGGGGCTGTCCCCCCCACCTCCCTCCCGGACGGGGCGGCTGGCCGGGCGGGGTGCTGATCCCCCCACCTCCCTCCCGGACGGGTCGGCTGGCCGGGCGGGGGGCTGAGCCCCCCACCTCCCTCCCGGACGGGGCGGCTGGCCGGGTGGGGGGCTGACTCCCCCACCTCCCTCCTGGACGGGGTGGCTGGCCAGGCAGAGGGGCTCCTCACTTCCCAGTAGGGGCGGCTGGGCAGAGGTGCCCCTCACCTCCCGGACGGGGCGGCTGGCCGGGCGGGGGGCTGACCCCACCTCCCTCCCAGACGGGGCGGCTGGCCGGGCGGGGGGCTGACCCCCCCACCTCCCTCCTGGACAGGGCGGCTGGCCGGGCAGGGGGCTGACCCCCCCACCTCCCTCCCGGACGGGGCGGCTGGCCGGGTGGGGGGCTGACTCCCCCACCTCCCTCCTGGACGGGGTGGCTGGCCAGGCAGAGGGGCTCCTCACTTCCCAGTAGGGGCGGCTGGGCAGAGGCGCCCCTCACCTCCCGGACGGGGCGGCTGGCCGGGAGGGGGGCTGACCCCCCACCTCCCTCCCGGACGGGGCGGCTGGCCGGGCGGGGGGCTGACCCCCCCACCTCCCTCCCGGATGGGGCGGCTGGCCGGGCGGGGGGCTGACCGCCCCCACCTCCCTCCCGGACGGGGGGCTGACCCCCCCACCTCCCTCCCGGACGGGGCGGCTGGCCGGGCGGGGGGCTGACCCCCCCACCTCCCTCCCGGCCGGGGCGGCTGCCGGGCGGAGACGCTCCTCACTTCCCAGACTGGGTGGCTGCCGGGCAGAGGGACTCCTCACTTCTCAGACGGGGCGGCTGCCGGGCGG